>NC_000011.10:132293928-132603116 GCF_000001405.40 Homo sapiens
TTTATAGAAAACGTTGGCTGACCCTATTTTACAGAATTGGTTATGGAAGTCTCCTGGAGACGAGTGGTAACTGGAGCTGATACCAGGGTCTTCAAAGCACCATGGGATGCTACAGTGGTGTGCAGGCTAGCTGTCCCCACAGGCATCATAGGAAAGCATGGTTAAGGCTAACACCTCCCGAAGGTGTCACTATGACTTCGAGCTTTAATGAGAACACGGTAGTCACAGGAGCAAGCTTCTGATTTACCTAAGCAACTGAATAATTACCTTCAGCAATCATGTGTGTTCTGGTTACTTTCTCTGTTTGACGTGCAATTTTATCATCTGCTTGTGCTCTCTGGCTCTCTCACACTCCCCTCGCCTTCCCCTCCCCTCATTCCTTCATCCCAGTTTTTTATCAGCTGCTAACTCCATTGGTTAATGCATGAGCTCCTGTCTGCTCTTGTACTGTACCATGGAAGGTGCCATTCAAGTCTTAGAGTGGAAATTCGTCTTCTGAAGTTGAGATTTAGAACTGAAATAAAAAATAACTTAAAACTCATCAGTTAAGGTTGCTAGTTTTTTCACGCCAAGATCCAGTAAAATGTTCCTTTATTTTCCCTTGGAATTATCGGGAAGGAGGAGTTACTGGGGTTGAAGAAGTCTAGAGGAATGGGAATTAATGCAACTTACATCGAGCAGTTGAGGACAGGAGGAGGCAGGAAGGACAGCACTGTCAATGGCAGGCAAAGCCCTTAGTCCTGAGACCAAGCAGGTGCAGGAAAGTCACAGGAGCATGTTGAGGCTCATTTTGTAGTGATGGCAGCAGTTTTTTCCTTGCCTGTCCCAGGAAGGTAGAGAGTTTAATCTCACTCCTTGCAATCATTCCACTACTAATTACAGACAGACAGAGCTGAATGGCCAGGCTGATTCCACTAAGAAAAAATTCAACCTAATTGATGATGACATAAGAAAGCTCTCTGAGACCATTTTTATTAGGGCACACTGCATGCCAAGGAAGCAGGGACATTGGCTATAAGAGCTTTTAACTAAGAATATTTGTGAAGGTGGCCAAACCTGGCTCTTCTCTTATTAATTCCAGGCCTAGCTTGATGAAGGCTCTTTTAGTTCCCCTTAAGAAATATGGAATAAAATTATTTAGCCTTAGGAGATTTTAAGACATCTCTTCATGAATCCAGCCCTCTCTCTCTCTCTCTGTCTCTCTCACACACACAAACACACACACACACAGACACACACGAGAAAGAAAAACCTTAAAAAATATACCCACTGTTTTCTTAAAGGTCATCAAAGGGTGTTCTGAATCATTGATATGATTAACAATTGATATGATATAACGATATCATAATGAATTATGATAGGCTAGAACAGCCATCAAAAGTCTAGTCAGCTAGTTTATTCATTCAACCTTTGCCCACATGATCATGTGGCCCCTTCTACGTGCTAAACCTGCTATAGATATTGGAGATGTAGAGGTGCATAACAGAGTCACTGCTCTCTTGGAAATTAGAGTCCAGTGGGGTAAACATATATAAATAAATAACAATACCGTGTGATTAGCAATGCTAGAGAAACAAATAAACAATAATAAACTAGGTGGGGAGGAGGCCCGGAAGTTTGAATGTGACGAAAGGGTTCCCAGAGCAGTGATTGCTGGGATAGTTTTGAAGGCTGCATAGACATTTGAAGGTGGACAAAAGAGAAGACAAACAGGCACAGATCAATACAATGCCTCGTGTTTTAGGAACTTCACTGGTGTGTCCAGTGGGTGTAGGGGGAAGTGAGATGGCAATAAAGAACCCAGAGATGTAGGCAAGAGCCAGCTCATGGGAACCTTCACATTCCATGCCACGGAGCAATGTGGAGCAGTGGTAGGATTTAAGCAGAGGTGGGACTGACTCTTATTTTTGGCAATTATTTTGGCAATAAAGAAAAGAATAAATGGGAGGCGTGGAGACTCATAAAGAGGATATTGTAATAATCCAGAGTAGATAATGAGGGCCTGAATTAAGACAGTAACAATGATGAGGAAAAGAAGAGAATGGATTTGGAAGCTGTAAAGTGAGTGGAAACAGCAGGGTTTGTTGATTGAAGGTGAGGAATAAGGGAAAGAGAGCAAGCAATGTAACTCACTTTTATCTTACGAGAATGGGGATTCGACAATGCTGCCAAGAGAGATCAGATGCAGGAGTTAAGAGCAGATGTAAGGGCAAGGTGGTGAATTCAGCCTGCGGTGTCTGGGAAGCATACAGAGTAGGCATTTCACAGGCAGTTATGGGCCTGGAGCTCAGCAGGTCCTCCAGGACGGCCATGCAGATGTGGAGATCATGAGCACAGCTGGCCATCTACAGTGCTGAGATGGCATTTAAAAGAATAGGTTTACCTGGGGAGGGGGTAGAAGTAGTAGAGGAGTGGGCCTTATGTGATGCTGTTATTTAGGGATTGAATGTCCCAAACTTTTCCTATAGTTTGTTCCTTCTAACATTTTTAAAATTATTTCCCACGTGTTAATCATTCTTCCATATGTTTGCACAACTTCTCTCATATAATTTTCAGACCCAATATATGAGTATTTGAGTCATAAATAAACAGCCACATTTTACTAAGGAGGGAACTGAGGCCCAGTTATTTCCTCAAGGCTACCAGTTCCTAAGAGACGTCGCCATACTGAGGATTCAGGAGTTCTGTGTTTGTCTGCTTGTTTTAATACATTGCATTCTACCCAAGACCCAGGTGTGTGTGTGCCTATATTTAGATTTTATGTGAAGTGAAGTAGAAAGGCACAGTAGTAGTGTGCCCAGTGAAAGAGTAAATCGGCTATTCTTTTCCTTCCCATACACCGTCTTTTTATAGATTTCATGTAGGTGAAAATTCCACCTGGCAGTGGAATGCTAAGAACAGAGGGGCAAGGCATTCAAAAGTAAGTGGGCAGAGCCCATGCACGTGTTTCCAGCAGGATGATTTGGCCTACCTGCTGGAAAGTAGCTATGGTGCAGAATAGATTTTGAGAAATGTTTATAAAGACTCATTTTTTTCCAGTCAAAGGCTTTAATTAAATGTTACAAATACAAGGGCTTTCAGTCATGTCTCCCTTTCTCCTGAGGCCCAAACAATCCTACTCCAATAGGCTTCCTGCTCTTCTGTAGAATTGTGCTGTGGTTTCCCAAGTTATTCCCTTCTGCACATGGGCTGGTGTCTGCCCTCTCCATGCCAATTGAAAATACACAGATGGCACTTCCATCTTGAGTATTCCTGGCACCTTGTAGTTTTCTCCCAGAATCTGATCTGAATTTATTCATTAGATTGTCTTAACTATAGATTTGACCCCACCCCAGGTTTTCTGCTCCCTCTGTCCCCCAAGTGGTCCCCTTGTCATTGAGGTTTTGCTTGATACCATCACTAATAAATGGGATTCTTCAGGAAAGCCTGCGTTTTGCTCTGCATCTGAGGATGCTGCTTGCAAAGGGAAAGCCTGGCTTCCCTCCTCCTTCTATGTGCAAGAAGCCTCTAGTTCATCAGCCAGTGGGCATGGGCCTCTGCAGGAATGGGCAGAGCCCTGCATCCTCCGTGCATTTCAACTTAGCTTTGGTGGGAAAAGACTTTCCCCCATTTAGTGAAAAAAGAACTCCCCAGATCGATATATCTATTCTTCAAAAGGATTATTTATAAGTTATTTCACTTCCCATCCTCCACAAAATATTTAATGAAACATACGTAAGGCTCTGCTTCCCCGTGGAGTGATGTTCTTTTGCCTATCATCATCTACATTTTTGCGGGCTTTTTCTTGGCAGACATGTGAGTTGACATGGATTTGGTTCTGCACCATCACTAGGGGATGATCCAGAGGATCATAGCAAGGGGGTACCAAGCCGTGTGTGTCCTGGGCTCCTTTTACATCCTTTTCAGAGAGCTGTAGAATCTCTTCTTAAGGAAAACACACACCAATGCACGTATGCATAATATTATTTCCTGGTATTCAAAACCCCTGAGGTTAACAGTTCCACAATTCTCAGATTAAGAACCCCTGCCCTACAAAATGTATTGATGGCTAAATCATAGGCTGCCCTGCTTCCCAAGGCTGTTGGGATCCAGGTAGTGAAGGTGACTTCTTATCTGATCCTGAGCACAATGGTGTCAGGAGAACCTTAACCCTTTAGGAGCCTCTTAAGTCAATAGAATTCCCTTAAATTAATCTGGGTGAGGAATTGAAAGCAATTAACTCCTTCAAAGTTATCAGCACTCAGTACTGGCTTATATCTCCAGTGATTTAGAAAAAGGGAAAGCAAACAGCCAAGATACTGAGGCAATATGACATTGCGGAGTGCTATATTTATCCCCTATCAATGTCTTTCAGATCAAATTGGCTGAGTTTACAAATCAAAAGCTGATTTATTTTTTTATTTTTATTTTTTTAGCAGCCATCAGCTGCACTACTGCAAATACACAGTTCCCAGACATCAAGCTGCAAACTCTAAACACCCAGCTGTGTGCTTTCTGACTTTGATATCATCACGCGTAATAGAGGGTCTGCATGCAGATTTGAGCTGACAGGCCTCCTGAGAAGGCTCACAGCAGAAGAGCACCCAACTCCAGGGCCAGCCCAGCTTCTGAAGCCACATCTGCAAAGAAAACCCACGTCATGTTGTTATGGGAAGGGATGGGCCTCAGAAATGCACAGGGCCTGGCTCTGTGGAGTACAAAGGGTTCACTTTCTTATAATTACACTTTAAGTTGAAGCTTCTCTTTAATATGAAGCTAATTATTATTCCCAGATTTCCCTATCAAAAAAAAATTAAGGGAATTTGTTTCTACGTATCTATAAAATGTTATAGTTGATATATGCGTAGCTATGCATATTCAACCATATACACATATTCAGTTCCAACTATCAAATGAGTTCTTAATATGTGTCAGGATCTATGATAAATGTTTTGTTGATATTGATAGACACATATATGTGTGTATACACACACACACACACACGAAATTTATAGTTGGCACCAGTTTGTATAATATTTTTATTGAATCTATATTTATTGCTTTATGAAAAAATCTGGTTAATAAATTAATTTAAGAACTATTCATGGCCAGGTGCGGTGGCTCACGCCTGTAATCCCAGAACTTTGGGAGGCCAAGAAGGGTGGATCATGAGGTCAGGAGGTCGAGACCATCCTGGCTAACACAATGAAACCCCGTCTCTACTGAAAATAAAAAAAATTAGCTGGGCGTGGTGGCAGGCGCCTGTAGTCCCAGCTACTCAGGAGGCTGAGGCAGGAGAATATTGTGAATCCAGGAGGCAGAACTTGCAGTGAGCTGAGATTGCGCCACTGCACTCCAGCCTGGGTGACAGAGCGAGACTCTGTCTCAAAAAAACAAAACAAAACAAAACAAAAAATACTATTCATTTGCATTTCTAGCTTATGCAAAGGGTATAGTGAACATGGAAGTTGTTTGAGGAAGGGAACATGGTGCAAAAGAAGGTATGGCAAGGTGGAGGAGCCCAGGAAGAAGCAGTTTCTGTGTATCCAACAGAAAGGGTATCCTGAGAGAAAGGAGGAGATAAGTTTCCCAGGTATAAAAGAAGTTCAGGTGAAGTAAATAGGAATCTGAGCTGACAAAGAGGCAATGTCGTGGGGTTGTTGCCATATGCATACTCTACGACTTACGCACAGCTCACAAGCGGCCAGCATGGGCCTATTTAAGAATGCTTTCTCTTATATGATGGGAACCACCTATTTAGAACAATTCAGCTGTCCCATTTCCCAGAGTTGGGCTCTATGTTTGTTATCAACTGTGTGAGGTCTGTCCTGCAGTGTTACAACAGGCAAACGTAGGTTTGAGCCCTTCAGAACTTTTCCTATGAAACATCTTTTAAATTTGCCCATTTTTGGCAAGATCATCAGATTCTCTTTTCCGCCAGCCATGCTACCTGTATCCAAAGGAAATGTCAAGGAACTATGTGTAATATATATGTACGTATATTACATATATATATAGATATAAAATATATTTATATCCTTTTATTTTTAGTTCTGAAACCAGAGACATTTTTTAAGCTCTCAGCAGTTCTTACCTGGGCTATGCAGCTATACCTGCTTTTTTAAAATAAATGATCATGAGAAATTATATTTATTATCAATCACATCCTGTTTTAAGTCAAGAGAGTAGAGTTTTCTAGTTAAAGGATATGTGGTGAATCCTTTGTAAGATTTATTATTATTAAGTTCCTACTGGCAAAGCAGAGGTCTGATTATTATTTCATTTCTGAGTTGAGATGTTCTTGTATCAAGGATCATGTGTATTAAAAATGTGATAAAGCCTAATTAGGGTTGCAGTAAAAATAAAGATCATGATAGCTACGATTTCCTGAGAGCTTCCTATATGCTAAGTACTTTACTCATATTTAGTCATTTAATGCTCACAATAATACTATAAGGTAATCTTATGTTCTCCATTTTACAGAAGAGGAATCTGAAGTGCACAGAACTGAACTGTCAGATAATACTGTCTATAGGGCTCGAGTGCAGAAATACTAGAGCTCATCACTGCCCCCACAGTGCAGCCGGGGGAAGTGGTGCTTACAGCTGCTATCAACTCTTCAACCATTGCTCCAGCCTAGTATCAGGCCTACAGAAGCTATCCTATGCAGATCATTCGACATGAATGTCACATTGTGGAAACACTTTTTAACACTGATGGTTTCACCCTGTTGCAGCGGATATTGCTGTGTGGGTTATGTGGGTAGCTCCCATGTCCCCAGCCTTGTCTAGCTTAGCGGCACAGATTTGCATTAATTCCATATTACTGTGCCTCTCAGCACCCATCTGCCTGCCTGGGACCCTCCGTTTACCTCAGAACTGGCTCTGGTATTTCTTGGAGTCCCTGTTACGTGCTTAAATACAAGTCTTCTTGTGCCACCCCCTTTGACAGTCTCTCACATGGCCTCTGCTGCCACTTGGAGTGGGGCTGTTTTTGAGCCTTATTGTTCTATGCTTTCCAGCTCCCAGGACTGCACTGATTCCTCAAGGGGGACCTGGTGTGAAGAAGGCCTTCCCCAGTTCATCAGCAGGCCTTGACACCAGAACTCACAGTGGCACCATACACCTCTGTATTAGTCTGTTCTCACACTGCTATAAGGACATACCCAAGACTGGATAATTTATAAAGAAAAGAGGTTTAATCGACTCACAGTTCCTCAGGGCTGGGGAGGCCTCAGGAACTTACAATCAGGGCAGAAGGGGAAATAAACACGTCCTTCTTCACAAGGCAGCAGGAAGAAGAGTGAGTGCCCAGCGAAGTGGGAAGCTCCTTATAAAACCATCAGATCTTGTGAGAACTAACTCACTATCATGAGAACGGGATGGGGGAAACCACTCCCATGATTCAATTATCTCCACCTGGTCCCTCCCATGACATGTGGGGATTATGGGAACTACAATGCAAGATGAGATTTGGGTAGGGACACAGCCAAACCTCTAAAGTCTTTCATGAAAACAGCTTCTTTCCTTTCTGGCCAAGCCCACTTTCTTCATGAGACCTCAAAATCAGTTCCTGGGGCTTGCACATGTTGGTATTGAGGAAGAGGAGTCTCACCTCTGTCTGTCTTATCTCCCAGCATCTGAGCAAAACCATGCCTTCATCCAGTCAAAACAGAAAACCTTGAATGTTCATCAGCCATCATAATGGCACTGGGGGAATACAACTGTCCTTGAGGTCAGCCTGGGTTTAACAGGAACACCTGATGCAACCTGAGATGGTGGAGAGAGCAGAGGCTGCAGAGCTGGTGCAGGACTGGAATGTCACTGCTAGTCATGGGATATGGGCTAAATTTTAAAAATGATTCCTTCCAACTCTCCAATTCTGGGATTCTATGTTCTGTATCTTTTTCAATTTCTGACGTCCAAAGATTGTATCTCAGCTGGTATATATGCCATAAAAATATTAAGCAAGGAGGCAGCTGTGTCCTCTCCTCTCCAGTAGCTACAGCTGTACTCCTGACAAGCTTATTCTTGGGTATGATAAAAATGATCACTGTGGGTATTATTATTTTCAGTTATAAAGATTTTTAATGCCCAATCTATGAAGTCAGAAATGTGGGATTTTCTTTTCCAAAGGGATGTTATGCACACAAGACAGTCTCTGTCATTCGATTAGTTGTAAATGCTAAGCTCAGCACTTTGGACAACACCAAAACCCCTGTGGGGATTTGGGGGCAGGTGTGATCACATATCCAGCTTGCTTCATTTCCCTGCTTCGGTTGTCGTATTCCACTTAATGAAATAGCTGTATTTCCAAAAAGTTGGCTGTAAAACAAATTTCTGTTAGATAAATCATACTTCTTCATTGATCTACACTTTTAAATTAAGGATGCCTTCTCCTGAGGAAATAATTGGCCCCAAAACTAAATATAAATTATACTACACACTCGATAAACCTTTTAAAATCACATATTTAAAGAAAATCTTTTCTGTTAGAACACTAATAGTGATGATATTTCCTAAAGTCAGGAAATACAATGATCATGCTAAGAACTACGACTGTACATGGTGTTCTTTTGGGATTGGGGCCACAGGAGGGTTAGGTGAGCAACAAGGGGTCTCTGACTTTTTTTCATTGAATTCAACGTGTTGTTCTGGGTCTGTCAGCCAGAAGTTAGTCAATAAGAAGTTGGCAAATTTTAAAATTATGTAAACTGGTTTCCTAGCTGTCTTGAGAGCCAGAGATGTCCAAGAACCTGGTTTCTGCTGTCAAAGGCCTTCAATCGCATTGGAAAAAGAAGCCCCCTGTGTGCAGCACAAGACAGCTACTCAAAAACTTGATTACAGTTGCAGGAGCAGTGGATTGGACATCAGGAGGCCTGGTGTGCTCCATCACTGACCAGATGTGTGCCCACAGACTCCTCTAAGCTTCAGTTTCCCACAAGAAAAATACGAGGCTTGAGCGAAATCACTAGTTCCCAAACTTGCCTATTTGTGAGAATTTCCTAGGAAGATTATGCAAGCACCTCATCCCAGGAGATTCTGGTTTAGTGGGTATGAGTGGGACCTAGAATTCTATATTTTAAGCAACTACTCTAGTGAATTCTACTGCAGACAGACTATGTACTAGCAGAGCAACTATGGAATTATATAACCATTCATGTCCCCTTAAGCTCTTTAATTCTGTTATGATTTTAAAGACTAGATGAACTGAATGTGCAACAATAGTGCAGAACAGCCAGAGGCACCAAGAGTTAGGAGACAAAAGGGAATGTATTAGTGTCCCAGGACTACTGTGACAAGGCACAAAAAACTGGGTGCTTTACAACAAGAAAACTGTACAGTGCTGGAGGCTAGAAGTCAAAATCAAGTGATTGGTTGGACCATGCTCTCTCTGACAGTGACAGGGGAGAACCCTCCCTCGCCTCTCCTGGCTTCTGGTATGCACCAGCAATTCCTGGCGTTCCTTGGCTCCTAGAAGCATCACTCCTATCACATGGTCATCTTCACCCTGTGTGTCTTCACACTACCCTTTCTCTGTGCATGTCTGCCCGAATCCCTTTTTATAAGGACACCAGTCAGATTAGATTAGGGTCTACCATAATACCTCATTTTAACTTAATTACCTTTGTAAAGACCTTTTTCCAAATATAGTCACTCTCTGAGGTACTGATGGTTAGGATCTCAACATACCTTTTTTGGGAGGACACAATTGAACCCATAATAGGGTGTTTGCAAGGAAGAGTTAAAATTTGAAAGAAAGGTGGTATTTGCTTAGATAGATAGGGCACAGCTTTCTAGGTGACAAAAAAAAAAAAAAAAAAACAATCTGTGAAGAACAAATCATCATGTTGGTCCAGGATGAGAACTAGCATGGCCTGGCAGGAGAGCTGCAGCAGTGGCAGTGGTGGCGTGGTATACCAGTTGTTTAGACTAAGTTCTACAGAGGGCTTCTCCTGGGCCCCTCAGTGTCCCCACTGCACTCCACGTGTTGTCTTTCACAGCAACCCTAGAAGTAGGTAACGTTATTCTGATTGTGCAGATGAAGATATGGTGGTACAGGGGAGTTAGGTGACCTACCCCATCATGAAACTAGAGGGTAGAGAATTGGTTTCTTCTGATCCCAAACTTTTGCCTCTTAGGACGATGATCTGTTGCCTTCTTCATAGCACTTGTGCAAAATAAACTTGGGTGAATAGATCAGGGCTACTTTGTGGAGGGCTTTGATAATAAGGGAGTAGAGTTTGTGTTTGATGTGACAGAAAAATAAGGAGCCATTTCTAGTGTCTGAAGAAGTGGACCATGATGAAGGGGTATTTCAGGAAGATGAGTGTGTTATTTCCACCTGAGGATGCATTTTCTTTACAGAAAGAAAAAGCAGACTTATAATGAGAAGCTGTTGACCGTGAAGTTTCTTTTCATAGGGTTATATCAAGTGGTTTGCCTCTTCCCCACTGATGTCTCTTAACCAAGAATATCCTTCAGCACTTTAAAGACTATGCTTGCTTTTTTTTTTTTTACCCAATATGCTTTGTAAGTTCCTCACACTAGTGATAAAGCACTGATCACTTCATAGCCACAGCACAAATGCTTTTAAACGAAACTTTTCGTTGATTTATTAACTCTAGAAAGTCAGATTGCAGTTTAGTGTTTTGGGGGGCTTGTTTGAGGCATCTCCTTTAGGAACCTGATTTTGGGTGGTTCAAAGTTTATTTTGTTATGTGTAAACTGACCAACTTTCTCTCTGGTTTTGCCATATATGCCTCTAGTAGAGAAAAAGGTGGGTGAGGAGAAAAGTGAGCATAATGACAATGAAAGCTTAAATTTATTAAGCATATTACTATGTACAAGTCACTTTTTACATGCCTTACCCAACTTAATCAAAAAGTGTACATGTAATAACTGGTGAGCAATGAAGTCATTGTGATTTCTCTGGGATTGCACATTTGGTCCAGGGAACATAGGAAAGTAGGATTAAGCCTCACTGTTCCTGCAGGATGACTTGAGGAAAAATCTCCTTTCTCTGGAATTAGAAATTTGGATCAGTAGAGACCATACGCCTTCCCCAAAACTTGAGCCACCCAACGTCCTTTCCTACACAAGATCACCTGACATAAATATACAAAACTACACATAAATTAATGTGGCACCCATGTCCCCACAGAAAACTGATGAGTTCTCGATTTTGACTGCCTTAATATTTGTGTAACTGCATTTCAGTCCAGGACTGTCATGCCTCCAACAGGCCTTTCCATTTGGATGTCCATGACAAGTTGGCCCCTGCAAATCTCGCTGTGGCCACAAAAGAGCATATTTGAATTATGGAATTGAAACAGATGCATGAACTTTAGCTGGAGAGCACAAGAGATCCAGAGAACCTCTGTCTTTTTGTTTGTTTCCCCGCTTTGGTGATGTAATACACAGCTTCACAGGAGACCTGAGGTCCTATCAGTCCCTGCTCCGACCCTGGAGCTCAATCCAGAAACAGCTGTCCAGAGCTAATTTATTTCCTAATGCTGCGGCACTGTTAATTTATAAATTACACTGGTAATTCGAGCTATTATTAATTTCAGATGGTGTAGGGCAAGCCTAATTAAAATATGACACCAATTGCCACACATATGTACCAAGGACTACCATTTAAAATTAATGGGAATATTAAGTGTGACACTGGTCTCCGAGATGCTTGGCACAGTAATTATAGCATTCTGGCAGGGGAAGATCTGACAAATGTAAGCCCGTGGTTGGTAGCAAATAAACAAGGACAACACAAGAGGAATTACAGATTCTTCATTTAAAGCTCTTCTCAATTCTTCCACCCATCCTCAAATCAAGGTTAGTACCTTTCCCCTAAAGATGCTTATCAAACAATATTCATAAAGGCTACTGAGACCATTAGAAGTGTCTTACTGGTAGGAACTATGAGTCTATTTGGGTTAATGTTGTTTGTCCTCTTCACATCCTGGTCTTTTTGGCTGTGTTTTCTACTTATGAAGAGGTTCCTTCTTTGTCTTGTGAATTTAGTATCTCTTTCTTGTTTGTTGTAATGGACATAGGCTGTTCTTTTCCTCTTCTGTATGTAACAGAGGCAAGAAACCGTCTGTACATACATAGTGTAGTTTGCATATGGCATGAAGATGTATGAGATGAGGCCCCGGTTGGGCCTACTGCTGGGCAGTGGCACAGACTTATCATGGCCAAAGAGTGCTGATCGAATGGAACAAGGCAGTGGCCCTTGTTCACAAGACCATGGTCTTGTTGTTGTTGCTGTTGTTATTGTTATTGTGGTTATCTTGACAAAACAGTGACTTCAACACTGTTATGGAACACATACAATCATCCCTTACATACCGCACACATCATCCCTTGTTGTATCGGTTTTTTACAGCTACTGTTTTCGTGCTCTGGGCCAGCAGAAACACGTGGCATTATGGAAGGGTTTTCTCACCTGGAGAGAAATGTCCCTTTGTTCCCTTTCTTGGGCCACTCATGTTAATACAGTGCTGCACCCCCTGAAGCTGTGCCTCCAACCAGATTATAGGAGTAATAACTAAATCAACAGGTGGGCAGCACACGAGAGTTTTGGAGTGCTTTCGTGCATGTGTGTGTGTGAGTGTGTACATATATATGTAGGCATGTTTGTGTGTTAGTCTAAATAGCCCCGTGACCCTGTGAGGTATTAGGATTGTATGTATATTATGTTTGGGAAAATGCTTCTCAATTGCTAGGGACAGCCTTATGCCTGTTGTCTGCTAATAATCATTAATTACTAGCACCTCATTTCCTTTTAAAGGTATCCAGGTTTAGGATGCTGTCTTTCTAATTACCCTCATTTAAGAGAGAAGGGAGGATAGCTTGGGATGTAAGCCCTAACTTTTGTTTTTCATTGTCTTTTGGCAAGGAAGCGAAGGCTCAGGTGCCTCTGGGAGAGAACTTTGAAATCTCCTCTAGCCTTAAATATCTTGGTCTTTCAATAACTGAGTGCTCATGGCCAGACGTCAGGCACAGAGTCTGGTATGTGAAGCGTTGTTATTATTACTCATAATTTTTCACTGAAGACAATGAGTCCCGCAATGATTAGGGGACTGAGTGGATTCGCAGCCACGTCGCCTGATGAATCTCTGACATGCTTACAACTAGGCATCGAGTGCGGAGTCCCATTGCTGGTCTGTCTTTAGGATCTTGTACCTAGGAGCTCTAGCAGATCGAAGTTTAGCACGTTGATTTCTGCCTATCCAATTAATTGTCTGAGTCAAAAAACAGAAAATTAAATTTTTTATGTTAGTGTTTCTGCTACCTTTGTGATGCACGTGTGTGTGTGTATGTGTATGTAGCTGCTGGTGTGGCATTTTCAATTAATTTATGCTCAAGTGTGCAGTCATAAATTTTATATTCAAGGCTCAGTCTAAGTGATACCTTGAGATCAGAAAGAGTTAAGGTGCCTGACTCAGATCCCAGAGCACGACGGCTTGGTAAGATACAGGCAGTGTAAATGTCAAAATTATTAATCACTTATTGGGACCAGTAATTCTCTAGGCACTGTGCTTTGTTCAGTTAGGAACACAAACATTTCAGCTGTTCCACTGGGGAGCCAAGGAAAAGTTGGTGGTGCGGAGGTGTAGAAGAGACGGAGGAGGGATAACCCACACAGTTCCTCAGAATCTGAACTTACAACTGGCAAATTATCTGCAGACATAACCATTTTATACTTTGTTTTCTAAGTGAACATGTTTGGTCTTTTTTTTCCTTGTATTTCACCACACGTTACCGGTTTTCCCGCAGCGGTTGGCTTTGTGAGTGAAGACGAATACTTGGAAATTCAGGGCATCACCAGGGAGCAGTCAGGGGACTACGAGTGCAGTGCCTCCAATGACGTGGCCGCGCCCGTGGTACGGAGAGTAAAGGTCACCGTGAACTGTAAGTGTTCTCACCACCACGCGCCCTGCACGTGCATCAGGCTGGCCTGTTGTCACAGCCACCACCCAGAGCCCATTGGCACAGCCAGCTACTGACTTAGGGTGGGAAGAATGCAGCACCACTTTCCACACTCTGCTTTCAGGAGCAAACATTTCAAACTCGAGTTTTTGACACTTCAAGGTGTCACAGTGTCACGCTGAAAGAAAAAGTAGCTAAAGTAACTGAAAATAATGCCAAACTTGACTTGCATGGCTGGCAGATCATTAAATGGCATTCAGCTCATAATTTTTTAAACACGTCTTCAAATCCAAAATTTTCCCATAATTTACTCACACAATACAGTTGTGCTGGAGCCTCTCACTGTCTAGACCAGACATCTCCATAATGGGACAAGAAACCATGTGCTAGAGTGTATGAAGGAAGTTTCAAACTTCCATTTATGGTATGTCTATTATATCTCATTATTTTACAATTATAGATGTGCATGGTATACATACAAATAGTTACGATATAGATCTTAGAGGATGTAACAATAAATTTGCTTGTTACTAATAGAGATACAGAATCCAAAAAGTTTGGAAGGTGCTGTGTGGACCCCTCATTCTCCTTTCTCAGCCTTCCAGATTGTCTCTGACATCAATCCTACTTGAATTTGCTACCTCCTTTCACTCTTTTCCCTCTGGGTCCCTCATTATGTACCTTGCCTTAGCTCCCTACAACATTCTGGAGGTTTTCTCTGCTGTGCACATTCCAGGAAGACTTACGAAGCAATAGAACTCAATAACTAAATCGGCAAACGAGATGACTTCCCTTCAAAACTTGGGTGGCGTGGAGTTAGGAGAAGGATACTGTATCTAGGAGAATATCCAGTCTTTCAGATTTAGGTTTGTGTTACAATGTGAACCCAGTCAATATGAAGCGGTTTAAGAAGCAAGGCAATAGGTATAAAAATGCTGTCATTTTAAAAATCATATCACAAGTTTTTACAAAGGGACTTAAGAGGATTTACAGTTTATAAAGATGAACTTAAAACATAAAGAAACAGAAGCAAAGAAAAAATACGCTTAGGAAAATGAGTGAAAGCTAGGAAAACCTCAGCACATGAAATATTACCACAAGACTGCTAGGTGCAGGTGCAGAATTTGGCTCAGCCTTGCTAAAGCAAAGAGGGAAACATCACCTGCTTTAAGATTTATGTTGTCCATAAGATAAAAGCAAATTAGTTGCTTGGGAGAAACACTGCTTTTCGTGGTACTGAGACCCTAGAGAAAATTCTCTTCAGGGTCTCCACAAATAGAGCACTTTGGGAGAGAGTCAGCAACATCATGTACAATATTTCTGCATTAAATAGAATAGCCAGTTTATTGTGGCTGTTTTTCATAATACCCTTTAATATAAACTGGTAGAATGTGAAGAGTAGTTTGGTAAAGACGTCAAATGAATGCAAACCAAGTGCGTAGGCCTAGCTTGGTCACTTGCTCTGGTTTGATTCAGGGATCTGTTTTAGAATACCAAGAATGACTGATCTGTATATCCTTCAGGCAATTCTCCTTGAATATTATTTCTTGCAACTGAGCTTTTGATGGGAATTGAATAGTTCGAGGTTATATACTTTTGGCAAGAACCTGGTGTGCAGAAATTCTAGAAGGCTGATTAAAGGTGCTGACTGTCAACCCGTGGAGTGTAGGGTTGATGGGCTGGCATCATCCTATGAAAGTTAAAAAGTTTAAACAGAAAAAATGCTTGAGTACATGGTCATTTCAACTCTGTACAGAGGAGAACAAAAGCAGTACATGAAAGGAAGACCCAGCTTTTTCTTAGAGCGGCATCAAAAAGGTTTTTATTCTCTGGTACAATTTATGTAGCAGTTTTACCTTCTAAGTAAGCAGAGCCAGGGCAGAGACTGAGAAACAAAATCAACAAATGAAGCAGCCTTCTTCATTTTAAAATGCTGTAGATCAGGTGCAGTGCCCTGTAATCCCAGCCCTTTTGGAGGCTGAGGCGAGCAGATCACCTGAGGTCAGGAGTTGGAGACCAGCCTGGCCAACATGGTGAAACCCCGTCGCTGCTAAAAATACAAAAATTAGGCAGGCATGGTGCCGTGCACCTGTAATCCCAATTACTTGGGAAGCTGATGCAGGAGAATTGCTTGAACCCGGGAGGCAGAACGTGCAGTGAGCCAAGATCATGCCACTGCATTCCAGCCTGAGCCACAAGAGCAAGACTCCATCTCAAAAAAAAAAAAAAAAAAGGTGGGGGGGCGGCTATGAGACATCTTCTTTTTGCAGATCCACCATACATTTCAGAAGCCAAGGGTACAGGTGTCCCCGTGGGACAAAAGGGGACACTGCAGTGTGAAGCCTCAGCAGTCCCCTCAGCAGAATTCCAGTGGTACAAGGATGACAAAAGGTAAAGCTTCCTTCTTTCCTATCCCACCCCTACCCCCATCTCCAGGAGAAACTTTTCCAGGGTCCTGATTCCACATTGTTGCAAACGAGTTCTATAAAATCCTCTTCTGAACTTATCTCTATAGGGGGCAAATGTGCAAAGAAGTCTTTTCTTAACATTAATGGATTTCAGCTACGTTTTTAATGTCACCATGTAGAATTATCACTGGCCAACCAACAGATCTGAAAGGTAACTTTTTTTAGGAAGGCAAAATCACAAAGGAAAGGCCACCAGGAGCATTGTAAGGCCTGTGAATTTTTTATAGGCCAAGAACATAATGTGTTCTGCCTGAAGCTATTTTTACCACATTCTCAGGCTTGCGTAAAGGAGTTAGGAAGGCTCTCAGGGCCCTGGGAGTGGCTAATAAGTTAGCTGCAGCTAGTAGGTCTCCCCTCCTGTTCCAGACACTATCAGTAGCGGTGTATAAGAGTCCATGACCCAATTTAGCCCTCCCTTTGTGCCCAAGTTGTTCTTTTACTGTAGGAGAAAAGAGAAGGGACTATTCCCTTCCTTCCCATTGTCACAGCATCCTCGGGATATTTGTTGTGAGTCACTGAAGATGATCATTTCCAGGCTTTATCAAATGACATATCAGTGCAGGGATCAGTAGCTCAGTACAGCCAGGCACCATGGCAATTGCTGTTATCAAAGAGCCATTTTTAAGGGGGATGAACAACGGGAAATGGGCAAGAGCTGCCTGTGTTCAGAACATTTTCATTGAAAAAGAGGTGGTGGTATAGGGGATGCTAGAGAGTCCTGAGGTGTATGTGGGGTGGAGTAAGAGCAAGGAGTGGGGGAGGCCAGGAGGCTGAGAAGGAAAAACAATGAAGAGGGCATTCTGAGAAGGAGAGCAGCATGAGAAACTGCAGGCCAGGAGCAAGTGAATGGCCGCCCACGCTGTGTGCACGTCTTCAGCCAGCCTTGGCTTTGTTTCCTTATGAGGTCAGTCAGAAACCTAAAGCTCTTTCTAGTCTCTAGATCGAAAATTGAATTTTGTTTAGAACCACGTCAATCAGTTTTAAGATTCACTGGGTTTTATCATAATCCTCCCAAATGAAAAGCAGTGTTTTGTTTTTTTAAAAAAAAATTTTTAAGGACACATTCTGGCAGCTTCTAGTGAGATGTATTATATTCATGTAGCCCATTTTACAGATGAAAGAACTAAGACACAAAGGGGAAAAACAAACTCATGAAGAAATAGAGCTGGCTTTCCCCTTCTTCCAAGAAAGAAGAATCAAGCAGACTGGAGCGTGTTTTTCTGATAAATATGGTTTCCTTACTTAGAAATTCTGTTTCACTTATGCGTTTCCTCTTCGACCTTCTTATTGTACTAAGAAGTAAACTGAGGCATAAAAATTAATTATTGAACCAAACCAAACAAAAAACCTATTGAGCTATGGGGTCAGTTCCCAAATCTTCAATTGTCTAGGTCTTAATGAAAAGTCATCAGCTGCGTCCTATTATTCCAATTCTTTATTGGAGAAAAATAGAAAAAATACATATAAGGGAAAGCAAAATCTTAGAGGAAAATAAAGCAAAAGTGGCCAATGGCGAGTAAAAGGATGAGAGAGCTCTCCTCTGTGCAGCATCTCTGGTCACAATAGGGACAGCTGTCCCTGCCACCATTCACCCAGGAGGAGAGAGCAGGCTGGCAGGGCCAGGGACAGTCTTCAGAGGCCCCTGGCTCAGGCAGCTTTGTTTCTGTCTTTCTTTCAGTTCTTCTGATGGCCTCTCCTTTTCTCCCCTTTCCATTTAGTGGTTTAGTCAGTTTTCCCTTCCCTGCACATGTATTTATTTATTTCCAGTGTGCTGGCATGAGACAGGGGCTGTCTTTCCTCCTGGCACCCAGCTCAGCTGCAGCATCCCTGCCTCTGAGGTCCTGGTCACAGCAAGTTGGGTCTGCCAGGTAGGTCTCCCAAGGCATATTGTGTCTGCCCTGGGGGGAAGGCCAGCTCTAGCCCATCTCCCATTTTCAGTGAGATGAGCAGACTACCAAGGCAGATTAAAGGAAACTGTGTGGTGAGGACAGGCAGTTTTCTCAAGAGTTAGTTAGGTGAGAAGTCTTTTGGCCACATGCCAGAATGACTCAACTGCACGCTATTGTATGTGTTATCCAACAAAGGAAGAGGAATGGAATGCTATACCTACGGAAGGCCACCCATCCAACAGGGGCATTGACCAATGAAAAGTCCACAGCTTTGGTAAGAAACTGAGGCCTGGAAGCAGTGCGGGATGGAGGGGATGTGTGCCCGCACAGAGAAGGGGAAAGCGTGTCCTCCCAGGAGCTGCAAAGCCTGCAAAGTGCTGCTGGCCCCCTGTGCTGTTTTTAGCTAAAGACATTTCAGAGCTGTCAAGCAGGAGCCTACTTTCAGTTAAGTCTCTCCCCACTGCAGAGCTGAAATCTCATTCACAGTTTGGTTATGATGGGAAAGCTTCCTCCCCATGGTGGACGAATGGTGTCAAAACGGCCAGTGGGATCAATCAGCCTGACTTGCTCGCAGAATCCTCCCGGTGAGTGGTATGGACAGCACCCCCTAGAGGATCAATGTATACATAGCAAGCTGGAAATGTAAAAGTGGCCTGTGGCTGCACAGCCGGATGCCTCATTCCATTTGGACAGTGCTAGCATTTTAATGAAGCCGTGGACTCAGGCCAGTTCATTGCCCCTAGCGTTTGGAGAGGAAGGCTCCCAGAGGAACATCTACATAATGAAAAGCAAGGCAAGTCTGTCCAACCTATCTTCTGACTTCCCTGGAGGCAGATGTTGGGTGAGAACTCCGGCCAGAACCTGCCTCTCTTTTCTGATCAAGGTTACTGTAAGTTGCAGGAGTGGAGAAATTATTCTGTAATCCCACAGAGACAGGTCTTCAGATAATGACAAAGCAGCTGCACTCTATGCCAAAAAACACTGTGACCCAGGGATGGGCAAGAGTCATCTATGTCTAACTCCATAGAAATACATTATACTGATGCCATTGTGCGGTCCGCAAAGCATTTCCTCATCATTGTCAAACAGCCTTGAGTACTGTTTGTTTTTCTCAATAGCATCCATTTGCCCCAAAGCATGTCCCCTGAATCTGTTCCAGTGTGCTCCCGCCATGTTATTATCTGCTTGCTACAAGCTGTGCTCCAGCCAGGCCCTAAACAGGAAACTTAGCTTTGTGTCCATATTCCCTGAGATCCTTCATCAAGAAGGGGTTTTTTGCCCCAAGAGTATTCATCTTTCCCATAGCATAGAATCAGCTTCAGGGCAAGGATTACAGATTGTTTGTTTCAGGGAAAAAGTAAAAGGTTGGCTTAAAGCTCATTCTAAGAAATGGACATTTCGGAATCTTGCAAAGGAAAGTAGGTGGTATCCATGATCGCCATAGGAATTGCTGTTAACAACTTCCTGAGAAGGAGGACATGTGCCTACTGACTCCAATAGCAGCTTTCTCCTTACCCTTTTATCTGCCTGGTAATAGAATCCATGGTTCTAATAAGCATACCTCACTTCCCCCAACTAACTAACTCCCTGTGGCATTTCTGTAGTGGCCCCCAGACCAATGCAAGTCCTTGTGGCTTACTGGGCTGCCATTGTGGAGCTCAGGGAGACTGTCCTGGCTCTAAAGGGACATATTCTTGGGAACCTCTAATCCTTCCAGACTAATCCTCTATAACAGTCTGGGCAGATCACTCCTCCCAAGCCCTTCAGAGTCCCCTGATGAGAAAAATGAGAAAATGATGATTTTTCTCCTCTTCATAGCCAAAAAATTAAGTATTATCTATACAATGCAATGCTTCTGGTGCTTCAGGAGAAATTAGATTACCAGGTGCTCGAAAAACATTTTTCTTTCAAATTCCTCAGGTGGCTCTTCTCTCAGAAGTTTGAGTTTTTCATTTGCATGGTTGTCATCATCACCATCACCATCATCATCATCAGGCCCACACATTTGAACCACCTACTGTGTGAATCGTATTGCTCTGAATGCCACACAGCTGGCAGGGGTTATTTGTTGTGGTGTTGCTGTCAGACTACAAAGCAAGGATGAGAGGCTAGGGAGATCAGATG
This sequence comes from Homo sapiens, assembly GCF_000001405.40. Classification (NCBI taxonomy): domain Eukaryota; kingdom Metazoa; phylum Chordata; class Mammalia; order Primates; family Hominidae; genus Homo; species Homo sapiens. Next base: position 132,314,323 of record NC_000011.10, read on the forward strand.
TTCTGGTAGGAGTGCCCCTGGGCACATGTGTGAAAATCAAGAAACAACGTGTCACTCACTGTCTGTGAACTACTACTACATTATGGTGTGGTTGAGTGGATCAAATAATGGTTATAATGATGTCAGAAAGGGGGGCAAGGAGAAGACCAGGAATCCCTGGGCCTATCTTCTTCCTATGAGGACACATAACCATCTTGTTTTCTTCTTTTTTGTCTTTTGTTTCTCTCAGACTGATTGAAGGAAAGAAAGGGGTGAAAGTGGAAAACAGACCTTTCCTCTCAAAACTCATCTTCTTCAATGTCTCTGAACATGACTATGGGAACTACACTTGCGTGGCCTCCAACAAGCTGGGCCACACCAATGCCAGCATCATGCTATTTGGTGAGACTGTGCTCTGAGCTGGGCAAGAAGAGGGGAGAGGGTGCAGAACGGGAGAGCTGGGTGGGAGGGCCCCTCAAGGCCAGGGTCAGAGGTTAGCAGGGTATCAGTGGACATGGAGAGGGAGGAAAAAAAAGAGAGAGACACAGAAAGAAATGGAGAGAGAGGGACAGAGAGACAGGGAGGAGGCAGACAGAAAGAGAAAGAACAAGAGATACAGTTTACATGTATACAAAGTAGTATATGTATAGTACATGTATAAAAGTAGATCTCAGAAGTGGGAAAAGGAAAATGAAAAAGAATGTTCATGTTTCATTCTATAATGGAAAAGATCCCGAGATAGGAGAAAAATACTTTGGAATGCCAAAAATGACATTTGATTTTTTTTTTCTCAGTGATGATGGCTCCTAAGCTGACTGTGGGAATCATAATTGGGTAAAATAGTCAAGAACTCAGAGGGGAATGTTTGCTATTTCAGTCTTTGCTTACTGGCTTAGTGTAAAATTTTCCTTTTTCCAAAACTGTCTCCAGTCGCTGGGACATGAAGAGCCCCACCTTCGTCACATATCTGGCTACTGTATTGATATCAGAAGAAAGTGAGCGAGCTCCCTTGTAAACCCTGATGCCTGCCCCTGCTAGCAGACAGCTGTGCAGACATGAGCCTGCCTTCCTGGTGGTGCCACCAGGCAGGGCCCTGGGCCTCTCATGATGGCTCCATCCCTTGATGAACGCAGATTCTCCCTAAAGGCCACAGGATTAAATTCCGGTTGTGTTTTGGGCAAATTCCTTCATACCCCATCAAGTTCTTTGAGCTTGAGATTTTTCAAACCTGTCTCCCCAATCCCTCATGTTAACAAGCACTCTTGAATGTGATGGGGAAGTAAGGGGAGGCATTTGACAGATAATTTGCAAGAACACAAATTCCTTATATTCTGAAAACTTTGGGATAATCCCATGGCCCAGCCATGTGCCCTCGGTGCTAGCGTATGTGGCTTGCTCTGAATCACGAGCCTGCACTGCTTCACCACACGATCTCTGCTCACCCATTACATCCTCCTGCATTCTACCCGGCACAAATAGTAAATCCCAGCTTTATCTGAGAGAGCTGGGAAGGAGAAAGCCGCCCTTGATCCCCGAGCCAGTGGCTTGGAATGGGCAGAGCTGTGATTTGAGTGATTGATGTGTCTGGCATCTCTCACACAGGGATGATCATAAGAGCCCCTTGCATTTTTCATGCCTTTTTGCCTTTTTGGCAGGCGTCTGTCTGCATGAACAGAGACCAGGATTAGGAAGGAACAGACCCCTCCTTCCCTTGCTTTGCAAATCTAAATCTAAGGCTCCCCCTCAGTTTCCCATTAACCCAAGTCCTGCTCTCCACCCACAGCACTCCTCATCCTCACAGGGGTAGTCTTCCCCCCGCCACCCCCCACTTTGACCTACTCTCTCCTGACTTGGTTGCATGAAATGGTTCAGCCATTGGCTTTATCATGATTGTATACTTCCCCGGCTTCTTCTCCTTAAGCCATCTCAGGATGAGAATAGGGAGAAGCAGCAAACAAACAGTTCTCGTAAGAGTTGAATAGATGACATTTATGACAAGGAAAGCAGTGAAGTGCAGGTCATAAATATGCTCTTTTCAGCAGGCACACATGTAGCAATTACAATGTCTACTTCCCATGCCCCCCACCCTATGGGTCTATCAATCAGCATCTGCCCTGTGCCTCCTTTGGGACGTTTCTACCATTGCCAGCTCTCTGGCGTCCAGGGTTTTCTAAAAAGGACATGGAAAAGTAGTAGTATGTATTCAAATATGTTTAGAAAGAGTGGGTCACACCAAGATGAGTGGGGTACATGTGGGGATGTTCTTTAATGCCAGAAGTCCCGGAGCCTTAACATGCTAAATCTCTAGGGGAGAAAAAGTTTGCAGGATGTTTCAATCAGAAACCAATTTAATTTGTTAGCTTCAGTTGAGAGATCATTCCTGAGGAGTCCATCACTAGCAATGCTGCCTGGGTAACATAATTCTGTGGAGCTCGCAAACCCCATTCCTGTGTGAGATGAGTATTTGCAGCCAATAGTTCGGATGTTATTGTGGCTCCTAGGTTCATTATTGAGGCTCACCATCAATGAGGTCTTTTGACAAATATGAATTTGTTTGTTTGTTAGGGAATTTTCCATGTCAGTTTCCATTAAAAGCCAACAAGCACACTTGGGGCAGGTTGGAAAGCAGCATGTACTTTTTGCGAATATACAAACTTCTTGATGAAGTTAGAAAGGCAGCAAAATTATCATCATTTTGCCACCAACTTGTGCATAAACTGCACGCTCTCTCCAAGTGGCCTAGACGTTGAGAAGTGAGGAATTCTGGTGCAAGAGACCATAGTCGGCGGTCTGGGAATACTTAAGCCAAACGGGAGCAGGTTAGTCCTTCCCATCACAAGCACCTGATCGCTAAGGTGACAGGGCTTGCAGGGGCCTCTGAGAGTTCTGCTCCCGCACTCCTGAATCACAGTGCTCTGGGGAGCTCGTTCGTTCCTACCGTGGTGCCAGGGGCAAAAATTTCTGAATTTGGTGTCCTAAGATGAAACGATGGGGGTGGGGAAGTGGGAAACAAGTCTCATCTGGAAGGAAACTTTAGTCCTTTGTTATCCAGTTAGTAGCATGGCTCAGCATGAGCTAAGAGTGAATCCAACTGCACCAGAATATGTATGGCGTAACCAGCTCCCTGCCTTCCCAGTCACGGCATTCAATATGGAAACATAAAGCATGTCAGCGTTTCTCTTGCCGCACCTTGTCCTACGCCTTTGGTTTCTGTCTTCCTTTTTTTTATATAATCCCCCAGAAATGTCTGTGAAAGGCAGTATACAAACTATATATGACAAATATATAGCACTGTATATAATATATGTGTTTGTTCTCATTTTTCTCTCCTGTGTGTCCCTCAACCGATTTAGAACTAAATGAGCCTACGAGCTCAACTTTGTTGCAAGGTCAGTATCTTCCTTGCTTTATGTTTTGTCTCCCCTTCCCTCTATCCCAGAGGCCCCCTTCCCCTGCTGTGCATTACCCGAAGCACTTGTCTGTAAAGTGTCTTAGAGGATGTGGAAGGCTATTGAAGGAGGTGATTGATTGGGAGCCAGGGAGACTTCAAGCTCCCTTTGCTTTGCTCATCCCTTGCTCTCACTCCCCCAGGAGGGCTGGGAAGGGGAAAGAAAGAAAGAAAAGTATCGTTAAATTCTCAATGCCCAGGGATCAGCACAAAGGCAAAGGGTAGAGAGTGAGTCTGGGACCCATAGGAAGACTACTTCAACTGACTGAGCAGTTTTCATAAAAAGGGTCTTATTGATGACCCCTCAGCAGCAGAGTCAGACACCAAGCACATGATAATTCAGATATTCTGTCAAACGCATCAACTGGCTCATGAGGTTCTCCAAAGGAGGAGGATAGGCATGGCACTGCATGAGTGGTTGCCAATACACAGTGATTTCTAGGGGTGCTACTGGGGTCCAGGTTAGGGCCTGACGTCCAGTAGCTCTTTGGTCTTGGGTGACTCACTAAGCCTCATTTAGACTCAATTTCCTCTTCTTTACAATACAGTTGATCTACCTTATCCACCGTACAGAGTTGTTCCAACAGTCAATGGAGAATGCATGTTACAAAGGCTTTGAAAACTGTGAGGTGCATGTTGAATCTCCAGGCATAAACTGAAAGACAAGGATGCCCCTCAGTGGAACATCATAGGGGGTCCTTCACTCATTTCTCAGCCCCTTCTCCACAGTCCCTTTACATCCTCTTCCACTTCCAGTCCTCCCCTGCAAATATCTCCCGCGTCTCTTGCCTGTCTTTGCACATCCCTTCCAATTTTCTCACTAGCCTAGAGTGAGTGACTCATTAAGACTATGACTATGACTAAGCATCCAAGCAAGCAGTGGAATAAAATGGGTGCCGCGTGCACTGCTGTCACCCTGAGGACAGTGCTGACCACAGCAGTAGCCTTTCAGGAAGGCAGCTGTGAAGCCAGGGAGGGGAATGCTTCTCCCACCTTCCATCCCAATCCCCTGACCTCCTCTCCCCACCTCACCCCACCCTGTTCATCCCCTCACATTCTGGCCTTGCAAACTGTCATCAGAGGATGGCTGTAGACTTTGGAGGTGGAGGGGGAGATGAAAAGAAATGCATTACATGGGAAGGTGCATGACAGATGAAAAAAAGTACCTTTTTATCATGGAAAGAGTGAGGGCTGCATTACTCACTTTAGTGATGTACAGCACCACAGCGATGAGCCACAAGCAAGAAAATGAAACAAAGAAATAGAAAAAGTGAAGTCAATAGACTTATTCAGATTCAACCTATGATTCAACTTACGTTTATTGAACCTCCATGTGACTGTATTCACAGACGTAAAATAGAGAGCAGTAGAAAAGTGGCTAACAGCTGAGGAGCCAAGATGGCCGAATAGGAACAGCTCCAGTCTACAGCTCCCAGTGTGAGCGACGCAAAAGACAGGTGATTTCTGCATTTCCAACTGAGGTACCGGGTTCATCTCACTGGGGAGTGCCAGACAGTAGGTGCAGGACAGTGGGTGCAGCTCACCGTGTGCGAGCCGAAGCATGGCAAGGCATCGCCTTACCTGGGAAGCACAAGGGGTCAGGGAATTCCCTTTCCTAGTCAAAGAAAGCAGTGACCGTCGGCACCTGGAAAATCGAGTCACTCCCACCCTAATACTGTGCTTTTCCAACGGGCTTAAAAAACGGCACACCAAGAGATTATATCCCACACCTGGCTTGGAGGGTCCTACACCCACGGAGTCTCACTCATTGCTGGCACAGCAGTCCGAAATCAAACTGCAAGGCAGCAGCAAGGCTGGGGGAGGGGCGCCTGCCATTGCCTAGTTAGTTGTTTGATTAGGTAAAGCAGCTGGGAAGCACGAACTGGGTGGAGCCCACCACAGCTCCAGGAGGCCTGCCTGCCTCTGTAGGCTCCACCTCTGGGGGCAGAGCACAGACACAAAAGACAGCAGTAACCTCTGCAGACTTAAATGTCCCTCTCAGACAGCTTTGAAGAGAGCAGTGGTTCTCCCAGCATGCAGCTGGAGATCTGAGAACAGGCAGACTGCCTCCTCCAGTGGGTCCCTGACCCCCGAGTAGCCTAACGGGAGGCACCCCCCAGTAGGGGCAGACTGACACCTCACACAGCCGGGTACTCCTCTGAGACAAACTTCCAGAGGAACAATCAGGCAGCAGCATCAGTGGTTCACCAATATCCCCTGTTCTGCAGCCTCCGCTGCTGATACCCAGGCAAACAGGGTCTGGAGTGGACCTCTAGCAAACTCCAACAGACCTGCAGATGAGGGTCCTGTCTGTTACAAGGAAAACTAACAAACAGAAAGGACATCCACACCAAAAACCAATCAGTACATCACCATCATCAAAGACCAAAGGTAGATAAAACCACAAAGATGGGATAAAAGCCGCAAGATGGCTGAATAGGAACAGCTCTGGTCTACAGCTCCCAGCCTGAGCGACGCAGAAGATGGGTGATTTCTGCATTTCCATCTGAGGTACTGGGTTCATCTCATTAAGGAGTGCCAGACAGTGGGTGCAGGTCAGTGGGTGCACGCACCATGCGCGAGCCAAAGCAGGGCGAGGCATTGCCTCACTCGGGAAGTGCAAGGGATCAGGGAGTTCCCTTTCCTAATCAAAGAAAAGGGTGACGGATGGCACCTGGAAAATCGGGTCACTCCCACCCGAATACTGCGCTTTTCCGACGGGCTTAAAAAACGGCGCACCATGAGATTATATCCCCCAGCTGGCTCGGAGGGTCCTACCCCACGGAGTCTCGCTGATTGCTAGCACAGCAGTCTGACATCAAACTGCAAGGTGGCAGTGAGGCTGGGGGAGGGGTGCCCGCCATTGCCCAGGCTTGCTTAGGTAAACAAAGCAGCCAGAAAGCTCGAACTGGGTGGAGCCCACCACAGCTCAAGGAGGCCTGCCTGCCTCTGTAGGCTCCACCTCTGGGGGCAGGGCACAGACAAACAAAAAGACAGCAGTAACCTCTGCAGACTTAAATGTCCCTGTCTGACAGCTTTGAAGAGAGCAGTGGTTCTCCCAGTACGCAGCTGGAGATCTGAGAACGGGCAGACTGCCTCCTCAAGTGGGTCCCTGACCCCTGACCCCCGAGCAGCCTAACTGGGAGGCACCCCCCAGCAGGGCCACACTGACACCTCACACTGCAGGGTACTCCAACAGACCTGCAGCTGAGGGTCCTGTCTGTTAGAAGGAAAACTAACAAACAGAAAGGACATCCACACCAAAAACCCATCTGTACATCACCATCATCAAAGACCAAAAGTAGATAAAACCACAAAGATGGGGAAAAAACAGAACAGAAAAACTGGAAACTCTAAAAAGCTGAGCGCCTCTCCTCCTCCAAAGGAATGCAGCTCCTCACCAGCAACTGAACAAAGCTGGACAGAGAATGACTTTGACGAGCTGAGAGAAGACAGCTTCAGACAATCAAATTGCTCTGAGCTACGGGAGGACATTTCAAACCAAAGGCAAAGAAGTTGAAAACTTTGAAAAAAATTTAGAAGCATGTATAACTAGAATAACCAATACAGAGAAGTGCTTAAAGGAGCTGATGGAGGTGAAAACCAAGGCTCGAGAACTACGTGAAGAATGCAGAAGCCTCAGGAGCCGATGTGATCAACTGGAAGAAAGGGTATCAGCAATGGAAGATGAAATGAATGAAATGAAGCGAGAAGGAAAGTTTAGAGAAAAAAAGAATAAAAAGAAACCAGCAAAGCCTCCAAGAAATATGGGACTATGTGAAAAGACCAAATCTACCTCTGATTGGTGTACCTGAAAGTGATGGGAAGAATGGAACCAAGTTGGAAAACATTCTGCAGAATATTATCCAGGAGAATTTCCCCAATCTAGCAAGGCAGGCCAACATTCAGATTCAGGAAATACAGAGAATGCCACAAAGATACTCCTCGAGAAGAGCAACTCCAAGACACATAATTGTCAGATTCACCAAAGTTGAAATGAAGGAAAAAATGTTAAGGGCAGCCAGAGAGAAAGGTCGGGTTACCCTCAAAGGGAAGCCCATCAGACTAACAGCGGATCTCTCGGCAGAAACCCTACAAGCCAGAAGAGAGTGGGGGCCAATATTCAACATTCTTAAAGAAAAGAATTTTCAACCCAGAATTTCATATCCAGCCAAACTAAGCTTCATAAGTGAAGGAGAAATAAAATACTTTACAGACAAGCAAATGCTGAGAGATTTTGTCACCACCAGGCCTGCCCTAAAAGAGCTCCTGAAGGAAGTGCTAAACATGGAAAGGAACAACTGGTACCATCCACTGCAAAAACAGGCCAAAATGTAAAGACCATCGAGACTAGGAAGAAACTGCATCAACTAACGAGCAAAATAACCAGCTAACATCATAATGACAGGATCAAATTCACACATAACACTATTAACTTTAAATGTAAATGGACTAAATGCTACAATTAAAAGACACAGACTGACAAATTGGATAAAGAGTCAAGACCCATCAGTGTGCTGTATTCAGGAAACCCATCTCATGTGCAGAGACACACATAGGCTCAAAATAAAAGGATGGAGGAAGATCTACCAAGCAAATGGAAAAGAAAAAAAGGCAGGGGTTGCAATCCTAGTCTCTGATAAAACAGACTTTAAACCAACAAAGATCAAAAGAGACAAAGAAGGCCATTACATAATGGTAAAGGGATCAATTCAACAAGAAGAGCTAACTATCCTAAATATATATGCACCCAATACAGGAGCACCCAGATTCATAAAGCAAGTCCTGAGTGACCTACAAAGAGACTTAGACTCCCACACATTAATAATGGGAGACTTTAACACCCCACTGTCAACATTAGACAGATCAACGAGACAGAAAGTCAACAAGGATACCCAGGAATTGAACTCAGCTCTGCACCAAGCGGACCTAATAGACATCTACAGAACTCTCCACCCCAAATCAACAGAATATACATTCTTTTCAGCACCACACCACACCTATTCCAAAATTGACCACATAGTTGGAAGTAAAGCTCTCCTCAGCAAATGTAAAAGAACAGAAATTATAACAAACTATATCTCAGACCACAGTGCAATCAAACTAGAACTCAGGATTAAGAATCTCACTCAAAACCACTCAACTACATGGAAACTGAACAACCCGCTCCTGAATGACTACTGGGTACATAACGAAATGAAGGCAGAAATAAAGATGTTCTTTGAAACCAATGAGAACAAAGACACAACATACCAGAATCTCTGGGACGCATTCAAAGCAGTGTGTAGAGGGAAATTTATAGCACTAAATGCCCACAAGAGAAAGCAGGAAAGATCCAAAATTGACACCCTAACATCACAATTAAAAGAACTAGAAAAGCAAGAGCAAACACATTCAAAAGCTAGCAGAAGGCAAGAAATAACTAAAATCAGAGCAGAACTGAAGGAAATAGAGACACAAAAAACCCTTCAAAAAATTGATGAATCCAGGAGCTGGTTTTTTGAAAGGATCAACAAAATTGATAGACCGCTAGCAAGACTAATAAAGAAAAAAAGAAGAATCAAATAGACGCAATAAAAAATGATAAAGGGGATATCACCACTGATCCCACAGAAATACAAACTACCATCAGAGAATACTACAAACACCTCTATGCAAATAAACTAGAAAATCTAGAAGAAATGGATAAATTCCTCGACACATACACTCTCCCAAGACTAAACCAGGAAGAAGTTGAATCTCTGAATAGACCAATAACAGGATCTGAAATTGCGGCAATAATCAATAGCTTACCAACCAAAAAGAGTCCAGGACCAGATGGATTCACAGCCGAATTCTACCAGAGGTACAAGGAGGAACTGGTACCATTCCTTCTGAAATTATTCTAATCAATAGAAAAAGAGGGAATCCTCCCTAACTCATTTTATGAGTCCAGCATCATTCTGATACCAAAGCTGGGCAGAGACACAACCAAAAAAGAGAATTTTAGACCAATATCCTTGATGAACATTGATGCAAAATCCTCAATAAAATACTGGCAAACTGAATCCAGCAGCACATCAAAAAGCTTATCCACCATGATCAAGTGGGCTTCATCCCTGGGATGCAAGGCTGGTTCAATATACACAAATCAATAAATGTAATCCAGCATATAAACAGAGCCAAAGACAAAAACCACATGATTATCTCAATAGATGCAGAAAAGGCCTTTGACAAAATTCAACAACCCTTCATGCTAAAAACTCTCAATAAATTAGGTATTGATGGGACATATTTCAAAATAATAAGAGCTATCTATGACAAACCCACAGCCAATATCATACTGAATGGGCAAAAACTGGAAGCATTCCCTTTGAAAACTGGCACAAGACAGGGATGCCCTCTCTCACCACTCCTATTCAACATAGTGTTGGAAGTTCTGGCCAGGGCAATCAGGCAGGAGAAGGAAATAAAGGGTATTCAATTAGGAAAAGAGGAAGTCAAATTGTCCCTGTTTGCAGATGACATGACTGTATATCTAGAAAACCCCATTGTCTCAGCCCAAAATCTCCTTAAGCTGATAAGCAACTTCAGCAAAGTCTCAGGGTACAAAATCAATGTGCAAAAATCACAAGCATTCCTATACACCAACAACAGACAAACAGCCAAATCATGAGTGAACTCCCATTCACAATTGCTTGAAAGAGAATAAAATACCTAGGAATCCAACTTACAAGGGATGTGAAGGACCTCTTCAAGGAGAACTACAAACCACTGCTCAATGAAATCAAAGAGGATACAAACAAATGGAAGAACATTCCATGCTCGTGGGTAGGAAGAATCAATATCGTGAAAATGGCCATACTGCCCAAGGTAATTTACAGATTCAATGCCATCCCCATCAAGCTACCAATGACTTTCTTCACAGAATTGGAAAAAAAACTAAAGTTCATACGGAACCAAAAAAGAGCCTGCATCGCCAAGTCAATCCTAAGCCAAAAGAACAAAGCTGGAGGCATCACACTACCTGACTTCAAACTATACTACAAGGCTACAGTAACCAAAACAGCATGGTACTGGTACCAAAACAGAGATATAGATCAATGGAACAGAACAGAGCCCTGAGAAATAATGCCACATATCTACAACTATCTGATCTTTGACAAACCTGAGAAAAACAAGCAATGGGGAAAGGATTCCCTATTTAATAAATGGTGCTGGGAAAACTGGCTAGCCATAAGTAGAAAGCTGAAACTGGATCCCTTCCTTACACCTTACACAAAAATCAATTCAAGATGGATTAAAGACTTAAACGTTAGACCTAAAACCATAAAAACCCTAGAAGAAAACCTAGGCATTACCATTCAGGACATAGGCGTGGGCAAGGACTTCATGTCTAAAACACCAAAAGCAATGGCAACAAAAGCCAAAACTGACAAATAGGATCTAATTAAACTAAAGAGCTTCTGCACAGCAAAAGAAACTACCATCAGAGTGAACAGGCAACCTACAAAATGGGAGAAAATTTTCGCAACCTACTCATCTGACAAAGGGCTAATATCCAGAATCTACAATGAACTCAAACAAATTTACAAGAAAAAAACAACCCCATCAAAAAGTGGGCAAAGGACATGAACAGACACTTCTCAAAAGAAGAGATTTATGCAGCCAAAAAACACATGAATAAATGCTCACCATCACTGGCCATCAGAGAAATGCAAATCAAAACCACAGTGAGATACCATCTCACACCAGTTAGAATGGCAATCATTAAAATGTCAGGAAACAACAGGTGCTGGAGAGGATGTGGAGAAATAGGAACACTTTTACACTGTTGGTGGGACTGTAAACTAGTTCAACCATTGTGGAAGTCAGTGTGGCGATTCCTCAGGGATCTAGAACTGGAAATACCATTTGACCCAGCCATCCCATTACTGGGTATATACCCAAAGGACTATAAATCATGCTGCTATAAAGACACACGCACACATATGTTTATTGTGGCACTATTCACAATAGCAAAGACTTGGAACCAACCTAAATTTCCAACAACAATAGACTGGATTAAGAAAATGTGGCACATATACACCACGGAATACTATGCAGCCATAAAAAATGATGAGTTCATGTCCTTTGTAGGGACATGGATGAAACTGGAAACCATCATTCTCAGCAAACTATCGCAAGGACAAAAAACCAAACACCGCGTGTTCTCACTCATAGGTGGGAATTGAACAATGAGAACACATGGACACAGGAAGGGGAACATCACACACTGGGGACTGTTGTGGGGTGGGGGGACGGGGGAGGGATAGCATTAGGATATATACCTAATGCTAAATGACGAGTTAATGGGTGCAGCACACCAACATGTCACATGTATACATATGTAACAAACCTGCACATTGTGCACATGTACCCTAAAACTTAAAGTAAAATAATAATAAAATAAAAAATAAAAAAAGTGGCTAACATACAGTATCAGGGAAGTGAGAGAGCCTAGAGCATGGACATGCATTGCTATGGCTATGCTTTCAGAAGGACCGAGCTAGTTCTGACCACTGAGATCTTCATTCTCAGAGGAAATTGGAGCTTTTGAAACTCAGGTAGGGGTTTTTAACAAGAGAGTATTTAACAGAAGGTGTACTCAACTCACAGAGAGAACACCATCCCATAGCAAAGTCAATTGCAGGAAAACCAACCAGAAACACAAATTGAAAGCAAACAGGTTACTTTACCTGGTCACTGAGCAGGGGCAAGGAGCCCCCATCTGCTGAGACAAAGCTGGGCTGCTCACTTCTCTCCTGTGAACTGATGACTCTGGTTGGAAGGCTTTCTGTGCCAACTTGCTACTCTGATTCTTCGGATGTGCTCAGCCCCTCATCTCAGCAACCTTCTTGGGTGTAGGAGAATGGGTCAGCGAAGAAGACTGTGGATATCTAAAACGTTATGACAGTTGGATTAGTACAGTCTTCAGTAGAGCTGCTAGACTCTTGTACAATGAGAAATTATTTAGAGAAAACAGCCCTTGCACCTGGGCTCATTTACTGCACTGATGTGTTCATTCCCCCGCCTCCTTTGCTAGTCTTCGATACAATAGAGAGCTATGTATTTTCTCAGGAAATACGCTCCAAGTTATACTTACCTTACCTCAGAAATACCAGGAAAGATTTATATGAATGCATGGATTTCCACTGACAGAGTACACTTGGCTTTAAGAGAAGTTCAAAGCTATTTTGCTAACCAATATCTGGATGGACTAGAAGTATTTTGATAAGAGAATTTCATTCTTCCTCAGCATTTTCTGCCACCATTGAAGTATTTTACTGCTTCCCTTCTGCAAACAAAACAGATTGCATGTCACCTCTCCTATTAATATTTGGTGGTGCAGGACTCTCACGGTGATAAATAAGGACTCAAGGATGTTCCACCATCCCTCACTGGGCTTCTGCACAGTAAACTGTACTCAGGCCACTGTGCAAACTCAGCGGCTCCGTGGCTGTTCATTTTCCACCCACTGGTCCTTTGTCTTTTATCTCCTGGGCATTAAGTCAGATTTGATGGTATCAGTGGGCTGGTAAAGGTTGACTGATTAATGTCTGTAAACCTCAAAGTGACCATCAAAGCAATTTATTAAAGAATGGGGACTAAAGTAAACTCTGTATATCAGAAGGAAACAATTGCAGCAGAAGAGATTATTAGTTCTTCCCTGCAGAGGATTAAAGACAGTTAATTAGGCCAAGTCATCCAGTGGTTAAGCATTTCTATGGTATATGTGTGTCTAGATAACAGAAAGCACAAAAGAAAGAAAATTCCCTCACCCTCTTGCTAGAAGGTTTGTATATCCGTCTTCACATGAAACCAGCCCTCCTCTGCCCACTAGAGCCAGACAACAGCCCTTTGCTTATCTGGACACTCGGATTCAGCCAAACTGGCTTTGCTGGCAAAAATATAACTTTCTGGATTGAGCAGACATTGAATATTGACTTAGAGATGGGATGGGAGGGTTCTTTTTACTGTTGTTTTCTTCTTGTTGTATTTTCTGTCCCCCTCTCCCCTTTCCTCTCTCCCTTTCTTCCTTCCTGTCTCCCTCCCTCCCTCCCTTCCTTCCTTCCTTCCATCCTTTTTCTTCCTTTCTTTTCAACATATTTTCCCACCCTCCCTGACCTGTTGTTAATATACCATTAACAAAGAGATCAATTAAATTTCAGTTGAAGTCTTGGTGTGGAAAACGCATGCTTGACAAGCTTGAATTTTCAGGGATTGTTTATGTTCCTGATAGTCAAAATGTTACTCAAAGACTGGAGTTTGTGGCCAGGACTAGCTTTGGTGGCTCAAGCAAGGCTCCTGCTTCTGGAAGCAGGACACAACACACACTGGACAGAAGCATGTCAAGCATGGCACAGAGGACAGTGCCAGCATGTGCACCTTCTCCTTAGTACCAAAGCAAGGGGGGTGGACTGGAATGAGCATGATGGGTTTAGAGTATATACGAAAATATCCTGGCATTTCCACCTCATTGTGGCGGGCTAGAAGTGGGATCAAAAGGACCCTCTAGTTGACTGGAAAGGTTGAACAACTGCTACCTGGAAAAGCCCAAGGATGAGTTCTAGCTAAAGTCAAGGATGAGCATCACATTTTCTTTACCTATGTGGACACTAAAAAGAGTTGGCCATCTTTCAAGTAGTGTGTGTTGGAGATTTAGAGGAAGAGAAAAAAACCCCATCTGGATGGAATAATTAAGCTGAGGTTTTTTTGGGGGGGTCTTTGTTTATAGAAAACCTCTTTTATTTTCAGCAGGAATTTGTGCTTTCAATGCATTCTTCTTTCTGATAGTCTCAACTGCCAGGTGAAGGCTCTTCCTGTGTCCTTCCTCCAGCACAGTCTGAACCAGTACGCCCATCACTGTCTGGATGAGCCCCCCAAAACTGCTTGTGGTTTGGGGGTAAAAGTTTTATGATTACTTTATCTCCCCAAGTCTGTCTTTAGTCTGTCCTTCCTCCTTCCAGTTATCTTTTTTTCTTGGCACAGAGAGGATCAAAAATCACCGGTACCTAAATAAGACAATTAATGAAAATAGCCCCTCCCCCTCCTTAGCTTCTGAACTTGTTTCTGGGGCCCAGCAAGCCCTTCAAGGGACCATCCTTGTTAAATGCACAGGCACCATGGCATCATCACCCCTGGCTTTTCCCTACCGTCCTGCAGTACATCAGATATTTTCTCAATCACAAAACTTTTGATCGTCGATAAACCCTTTCCCTCTTTGTACCTTCAGGGTGGCTTCTCAGGGCCGCTAATGCCCACTTAAATCAAGAGGGATATCGTGTGTCAGGTGATTTTAAAGAGTAGATTGAAGGTGTGAATGCACAAGTACGTATTCATCTGACTTTGAGCAAATGTTTTAGTTGCTTTTAGGATGAGTTATATCTAGGTTGTCTTTCTGTATGCGAGGACCTTTGCACAGAGAACACAGACTCCCAAGGCATCACTTTGATGCAAAAAGCTTTAGTGCCATTTTCCGTCCTCTCTGTATCCAGGGTGAACGACAAAGAGGGAAGTAAAAGATTAGAGATCATTCCAAATTCAGGCCAAACAAGGCATCTGCTATCCACAGAAAAGGTGGAGAGACTCCATAGGTTGTTCTGAGAGTTGAAGCTGGTGAAATGGAGACCTTTCACAGCCTAGGCAGCAGAGAGGGGCCAGCCTCCCAGCATTTCTACAGGGAGGTCCCAGCAAGTGCAACTGTAGCAGCACGGGTGTGGGTCAGAGCCGCAGGCTGCCCCAGAGAGATGAAGCCCTGTGGGACCAGCTTGGTATTGTCCAGCTCATCAAGAAAAGTCAAATGTCAATGGTTTGGTCTCCTCTGGTACATGGAAGCTGACTCACCAGTGTTTCTAAATGCATAGCTAAATGCCAGTTAAACTTTTGCATTTCAAATACAGCATGAGCACCTACATTCAAATGCTGTAGTATAAATCCATATGTAGCAATCAACTTTATACGTAAGACCTACAGGCTTCAACTAATTAGAGGATAGCCTGATGACCAAAGAAAGTAAGTTGTTCTACAAAGCCTATTTGGTTTGGTGTCTCAGGCTCCAAAGGTGCAGCTGTGTCACCTGCTAAAATCAGGCGGACATCTTGGCTCTGCTTCCATCTGTGGTCCAATCTGACTGTCGTTCACATCCTTCTCCAGCCATCTGCTCACCTCTTGAGGCAACTGGCTGCCCAAGTAAACCAGAAAACCAGAGGGGGGTCACATAGGAGGGCTGGGCAGTGGTCAGGACAGCAAGGGACATGGGCAAGAGGCGCAGGGACGCTGCTGCGCCAGGAGCGCCAGCTTCTTCCTGAAATCATCTGAGGGCAAAGTGAGCATCTCCGTCTGCTTTCGACCTTAACAGTGGCTTGTTTTTAATTTCTTTTAGAAGTGAAAACTACAGCCCTGACCCCTTGGAAAGGTTTGTATATTTTTCAGACAGCTGCTGCCTTGGTGGGTGTGGGGTATGTAAAACTCTTCACCTTCCTCCCAGATGCCTTCTTTCCTGAGCTAACTCCAGGAAGCAGCGCAGAGGGAACCCTCCCCCAACCTTCAACCATCTCCGTGTCAATTTAGATTAACCCCATCCTCAAGGACATCCAATCCTTCCTAGGTAGATCCCACTTGCAGTAGCCTAACTTCTCTTTGCTGGTGGCACTAATGAGCACCTGTCAGTGCCCAGAATAGCTCCATCTCTGGGCTACTCTGCACCAGGCCTGCCTCTTTCCTCACACACGGATGCTCTAATGCAGCGATCTTCTCAGACCTTGGCCCTGCATGCTGCCCTTGCTTGCACCATTCTTTCTATCTCTCTAACTTGGAGCTGGAAGGGAAGTGGCAAGGGGAGGGGAAGATGGGAGGAAGGGGGAGGTTCTTGGGTGAGTCACTTGGCTACGAATAAAATGCATCTTATTTGAAGCTTTCATTCCTGCCAGATGTTTCCGATGGATAATTGACACTCATCACCGTTCTCTGGGACCCTAACTGTCCTGGTAATTAGTCTCTTTAGGCCTCCGCAGCTCTCTAATGAGATAGAGGCAATAAAGGCATTCACTGTGGAGTGGAGGCGTGGCTGAATGAAGAATGGAGGCCTCATCTGCGTGGCCCATGTCACTAGGCAGATGGGCTGAGCTGTAGCTCTGACCAGCACTGGCTTTGAGAGGGCCTTGATCCCAGGGTGCTGTGGTCCACGCCCACCTGGACCTAAGGTCTTCATCTCATCTCATGGAATCCTTCCACATAGCATTCATTCATTCAGTGTGGGATGGCCTGCGGGAAGCAGCCCAGTGGCACGCCTGCGGTTCTCACCTTTTAACCTGTACCCAGGTGGAGCAGGCCATGCAGCCACACTCTCTTCTCTTTATTCTCTGAAGATGCATCTCTGAGATAGTGGGAAGATAGTTGCATTTGAAGACAGAAGTCAAGAGACTTGGGAAAGTCACTTAAGCTTCCTGAAGTTCAGTTTCCACATGGTAGAAAGGGAGATAATAATTCTCATCTCCTACATGAGTGTCATTAAGGTGTTGTGATAGCTTTCCCAGTGCAAGCGCTCTATCTGAAATCCTAACTGACATGGCTTTGCTTCTATGTAGATAGACACTCAGCCACAGGAATTCTCAGTAAGTTGTATTGGATATAGTTAGAAAAGGGGAGGAAAGGTATTTGGAAGAGGAAATTGAGGTAAGGCAGAGGGCAAGGTATGAAAAAAGTTTTTGTTTTATTTTTTCTTCAAGTACAATTTTAAGCAAAAGTAAAACACAAAGACAAATAAATGTGGATATGTCAGCATGAGTGGCAATGCCCCCTCCTTCTTTCAACAAACATTGGTTGAATACCTGCCACGGGCCAATGAGATACAGACTCTGCTCTTAAGGAACTTACTGCACAGAGGACAGAGGAGGAAATACAAATAAGTTAGGCAAAGAGAATTATGACACAGGGTGGTAAGTATTTTACTAGTGGGATGTGTATGGCACTGAGCAAGGCAGGGAAGGCTGCCTGCAAGAGGTGCTGAAGGCTGGAAGAGGAGCTGGAATGAAGAATAAGAGTGATATGGGTGAGACATATTTCGGACGGAGGGGAGAGTGTGTGAGGGTGGGGAAAAAAGACCCGCCCCTGTGTGCTCACATGTGGTTATGTGGCAAGGGGCAAGGGCACCAAACTAGGTGTGGCAAGAAGAGACACCAAGGCTGCAGACTGCAGGCACATCACGAAATGTAGTGCTCGGTCCACTGAGAAGCTGGACTTGGTGCTAGCCTGTTGGCCTCAAATCAATGAGGATCATGATCGATTTGGGGTAGAAACATCACCTTGGAATTCGCATAAAGAATAAATTCCAGGGGTCAAGGCCACAGGTGGCAAGGTCCAATTGGTGAACATTTTTGGGAATTGAAAGATGAGATGGTGCAGAGTATCTCCTTTGGGAGGATGTCTCATTTGAGAGAATGCCCCTGCCTCGGGGCTACCCCTGTTTCCTTCTCCTTCTGTCCAACTTGGTCCAGGTCTGGTGTCCTGGATGTGCTGCTGAAGAGACAGGTTCCGGGGGTGGTGAGCGCATGTACCTGTGGGGTGGGCTGCGCAGACTGGATATGGTCACATAGTGCCAGCCACTCACCAGCCTGAGATGGAGATGATGATGATGGAGAGCTTCAGAGGGGCTGCTCAGGCTTTTCCCAGATATACTACAAGCAAGAGAATGGCTGGCAGGCACTTGGTGGCCTTTTTCTGTCTTCCATAGGAAGAATTTTCTAACACAACAAACAGGTGAGGACACGACTCGTCTTTACAAGCTCTCTGTGGTGCTTCCCAGCATGGAGCAGATCCACAAAAGAACTCTGAGGGGCGTAGCAAGGAGACCAAACACAGGCACCCAGGGAGAGCGCCTGGCATAGCCACAGGGCCATTGAGATCTGCCACAGGGGGTGTTTGCCCGCTCTCAGTCGTCTCCCGAGCTGCAGAGTCCCCAGCCTGGAAACAAGGTTTCAGCATTCCCTTACATGGTAACTACGCCAGGCCCCTGCTGGGCTGAACACCTGGCTGTGGCATTCTCCTCCCTGGAGGCTTCCACTGGCAGGTCAGGCTGCAAGGAGGGAGTTCAGAAGAGAGGAGAGAACACCTCAGTGCAGGGAAGCGGCACTTGTTTTCCATCTCTTACCCAGGGCATCTTCTTAGTCACAGGGAGGGAGCGGGAGACGGGAGGTGGGAGTGTGCGGGAATTGAACAGGAAATGGGTTTCAAAGATGTGTGTGGATGTTCAGGAGAGCACAAGGGATGAAAGAGGCAGAGCAGTGTGCTGACAGCTGTGTCCCCTGCCGGGAGTTAAGGACTCCAGTGTGCAGGACACGTATGGAATTGTACGGTGTGATTCACGCATATGAAGCTATCTTCATATGAATGTGAACACTCACAGTGTTGAGGCAAAACATTCGACCTGGCTTCCATAAAGGCCTGCTGGGCCATATGGACTCAGAACCACCCTTGTCGTCTCAGAGTCCTCAGCCTCGGGCACAGACAAGGGCCTTGGTTGGAAGAATCTTGGAGTTGCCTAGAGGGGAAGGACTTACGCAGAGCAGAGAAACATAGTCTCTCACCCTTGAAGGCATCCGGCGGAGGCTTCTCTCCTTTGATTCCAAAGAATGTGCTCTGTAGATGACAGAGTGAGCATCTACAAAGGGGGAACGTCTGGTGATGGTTTCTGTGGACACATAGTAGTTAGATTCTAGAAGACACAACCAGTTAGTGACCGATCCTAAATGACAAGCATTTCTGGGTTGAGATTTAAATCCGCAGGAGCTTTACAGGAGTGCTCCTTGGTCACCTGTATCCTAGCACAGATGCCTTTGGTTTTGTGTTTTCTCCTTAATGCAGGGTAGAGAGAATAAGTATCCCCTGGGCTTCTCAGCATGGGGATCTGCACCTCTGAGAAGTTCCGGCCTTAGGGATACTGTGAATCAGACACCAGGGAAACATGAGGTTGATGACCTATTGCATTTCAATCTCATGGCTACCTATTTAGCCACGCCCCCAAATTAGGGATTTATCCCAAAAGGCCAAGACATAAAATCATATGGGCACTGCCTCCTAGCCAGGAGTTCTAGACTTGATGGAATAATCCCACATGGAATTGAGAAGCCTGTTTTGATTTTGATTTGTTTTAGCCAGAAATGTATCCAACGCTGAGCATCCAAGTCAGGCAGGCAGGTTCTGGCTTTGTTCCTTGTTCCCTAATCCAGGAAGACATGGACTTAGTGAGGCCACCAGCTTTAAATACCTCTATTAAATTCAATGCAACAGAGTATGCCAGAGCAGGTCCAGTCTGAGGAGGTGGCCTGGTTCCTTGAGTAGCTAATTCATCTGGGCATCCAAACTTATGTACTCTACAGAAATCAAAGCTCCACTGGTCATGGGGTTTCTTGGCCACAAGGGCCGAGGTAGCCAGAAAACGTATGTTTCAGAACAATAGGGAAGCTGCTGGGGAACTGTACTGCCTTGCAGTTCTCCTGCCTCCTGTGTTTGTCTCCATCTCCATACACTGGGGCAGGTTCTGCATCCCAGTGTCCTCATTGATCTCCAGTTACATCCACATGCACAGGAAGGCTTCCTGTTCCTTTGTTTGACTCACCTCCATCCATGTGGGCTGGCTTCGGCCTTGCAGGCATGTGATCCTTGAGCTGCATCTGCTCTTACCCCATCCAGATGGGGAAGAGGTCAAGTGCTCCAGGTGGAACCCAGGTGCCCTGCCCTGAGATAGAGTGATTGGCAGGATGGCCTCTGTGCCCAAGGAAGCAGAAGCAGCAGGCAGACACATTGTTTTGTCCAACAGGTTCTTTTCTGAGCCACAGGCCAAGCAGCTGGAGGGTGGGTGAGTATTTCAGGCAGGCAGTGCTCAGAAGTGGATGGGTGATGAGGCACTCAGCACAGTAGTCTGACTTTATTAAAGCTCTGTGTAGGATATTAATGAATCTGCCACCTTCTTCTTGAATTTGAGCCTGAGCCATGGCCTTTGCATGTTATGACACAGTAAGGAAGAAGGCCCAGGACACTTTAACCTGAGCCTCATGTTCTCTCCTTGCAGGGGAAGGCTTCCCGTTATCTAGTGTGTGTGTCTTGGGGATGTGGGCCATAGAACGTTCACTTCTAATGCTGGGGCTGGAACACCATGTGTTTCACTTAGAGGGATGACTCACCAGGGGCAAGGCCAAATGACAGCAGACCAGGCAACCACCGGGCTTTCCTTCCATTTTCTCCCAGACCACTCACGGCGAGTGTGTTCTCTCCACAGGTCCAGGCGCCGTCAGCGAGGTGAGCAACGGCACGTCGAGGAGGGCAGGCTGCGTCTGGCTGCTGCCTCTTCTGGTCTTGCACCTGCTTCTCAAATTTTGATGTGAGTGCCACTTCCCCACCCGGGAAAGGCTGCCGCCACCACCACCACCAACACAACAGCAATGGCAACACCGACAGCAACCAATCAGATATATACAAATGAAATTAGAAGAAACACAGCCTCATGGGACAGAAATTTGAGGGAGGGGAACAAAGAATACTTTGGGGGGAAAAAAGTTTTAAAAAAGAAATTGAAAATTGCCTTGCAGATATTTAGGTACAATGGAGTTTTCTTTTCCCAAACGGGAAGAACACAGCACACCCGGCTTGGACCCACTGCAAGCTGCATCGTGCAACCTCTTTGGTGCCAGTGTGGGCAAGGGCTCAGCCTCTCTGCCCACAGAGTGCCCCCACGTGGAACATTCTGGAGCTGGCCATCCCAAATTCAATCAGTCCATAGAGACGAACAGAATGAGACCTTCCGGCCCAAGCGTGGCGCTGCGGGCACTTTGGTAGACTGTGCCACCACGGCGTGTGTTGTGAAACGTGAAATAAAAAGAGCAAGAAAGAAAAAGGAAACAAAATAAGACCGTCTGACAGCAACAACGGTCCCACAAACAAGTCACAAAAGATACCGTTAAACTTTTTTTTTTTTTTATCATTTTACTACATGAACATCATGGATAACAAGGGATTCTGATTCATTATTAATTTCATTAATTATATTTTCTGATATGAGTCTAGAACTTACTGCAAAAACAAGACAAAACTAAAAAAATACAACTGAGAAGGGTGAAGAGAAGTATGTTTGTTAAACAGTAAAAATGAATAGTATACTTCTTAACTAGGTTTACAACTGGTGGACCACACACCAGGCACTAATCACCTGGTGAGGATTTGGCATATCCACCAAAAAATGCATCCGATTTAACCAACATCTCCACCAGCGCTACGGACTCCTCCCAATTCTGACATCTCTTGCAGACAATACTATGCTCTCTACACACTGTTTAGAAATGGAAAGGTGATCTGCACTGTATCTTGGGTTTGTTGGCTATGCTTCCTTTGATGACATATATTATACAGTATATATATACATATATTTTTTTTGTTAGAGTTCTAGCCATTTTATTTCTCCGCAGGGTCCTTTCTCAGACATTACTGCATGCTGTATATGGCGTTAGCTGTGTGTTGATCTTCTAAAAGATGATAGAGTTTACTGGTAATTGTGTAATCAGCTCCTGCCTTTTTATTTTCTTGGGTTATTTACATGTCAGAGACATTTATAAAAAGTGAAAGGATAAAAAAAAAAAAAAACAACTAATACCGGGCGCAGCATCTTTCCAGGTGTGGCTCTGCGCTAGGCCACCCCAGGTGGCCCCGCTTTCTCCATTCTGCCCTGTGGCGTTAACAGACAGCAAGCAGCTGAACAAGCAGTACCGTCAGTACCCACTTGCTTTAGCCCATTATGGGAATCTCTGATGCCTTTGTGACCACTGGAGAGTTTAATCCTCTTGGTTTATTTTATTTCCCACCTTTGTGTGAGTGTGTATGAAAGAGAAGAAAATGCAATTTTTAGGTAATCTTTTTTTTTTTTCCCCTCCCCTGAAAGTCTGGGAACCTGAGAGTCCTCGGGGAGGGGTCCTGGATGTGATGAGGGAAAGGGGGATTGGGGGATCCGGGAGGGTGGGGTTGTCTCTGACTTGACATTAAAAAGTGTTCCATGTCCCTCTTCACCTGGTGTGGTACCTCATTCTACAGCGGGGCGGGGGCACAGCCTGCCTGGCTCAGGTTTGAAGAATGGGGGAGGATGGGCTCTTAAACCCTCCTGGGATGGAGTGGTGGCAAGTGCTGAGATGACAAACAGGAAGGACGTGGGACCTCCTCCATCCCCGCACAGAGGCAAGGTGAGGGTGCGTCTGATAGGGACTGCATTTTCAGTGCCTTCGGGAGGTCCTGGCCAGGGCTGCCAGTGTCCTGCTTGTGCTCAAACATCTTACCACACAAGTGGGCAAAGGTCAAGTCTAGTCAGGGAGAAGACTTTAGGCCCAATTATTTCTGGGAAGCAGCAGAAAGTCACTGTCACGGAAAACAAGAAAACCCCCGAGAGCCAAAAGAAATCTCCCCGCAAAAAAACAAAACAGAAAGCCAGCTTGAAACATTGTGTTTAGTTTTAAATAATCTCCCATCAACCAGTCCTCCAAACCCAACCTCCAAACCTCACCTCTAGCCACATAAGAGGAACTGAGAGACAGAAATGGGTCCGAGCCAAAACACTCAGGAATGACGGCACTTGCATTTCCAAGTCACCTTCACCTGAGAGGAACCAGGAAGGACTGGGATGGAGCTGTGTCATTTCCAGTTGCTTCCGGCAAGACTGAAGAAAGCTATTGACTTCTTCACCTTTCTTTGTGTCCTTCTACCCTTTCACCCCTAGCCCCACCCATGTCCCAGATGCCCCAAGTTTTTCGCAGCAGCAAGGTCTGGAACTACCTGGCCAAGCCTCAGGAATCTTGGCTGCACTGGTGTTTATCCCTGCCTATGTCCAGGAACCATGAAAGAGGAGGGGCTTTGGGTCTCCTTAGAATGAAAGTGGGTGGCTGGGATTGACTAACCCTCCCATGCCCAGCACCTCAGCAGACACTGGCCTGAGGGTTTGGGTGCAAAGCATGGCTTACTGGAATAGAGTGGGGAAAAGATAGGTGAGCTCCATATTCCTAAACTGGAGCCCAGAAACACCTCTGAATACCATGTGCCAAGGCCCCTGCAAAGAGGCAGTTCTGAGGCTTGGCTGAGAGAGAACACAGTGTACACAACCTTTGTCTGAATGGGAGCTTTATCTTTCACATCTACTATGTACTAGTAGGTATCTACCAATATCTACTAGATAACCACCAGTAGACATTAGTAATATCTGCTACTGCTAATCGTGCTTCAAATAACAGTCTTCACCCTCCCAGGAGAGAGAGAGTGCTGAGTCAGAACCAACTTGGTAAGGGGCACTGATGAGGACTTAATTTTACCTATTTGCCAACTCAATAGTTTTCTTGCCTTGTGGATCTTTAGAGCCCTGGTTATGCAAGAGCACATTCTTTGTTGAACCAGCTTGACCGTGATTGATGAGTTCACCAGATAGGAGCCCTCCCTATCCTGCTTCAAGAGGAGCTTACTCTCACCTTCTGCTAAGTGTGCTGTGTGAGCCTCAGTCTGCTGAGTTTCAGTCTTTAGAGGAAACATGTGGGCACCACAGGAAAGGGTATTCTGCCTCCCAGGTCTTCAACCAGATATAGAGTTCCATCTAGGAGGACATGGCTTTGAAAGGAGCTTATAGGAACAAGTCACAGACCTACCTTTTCTGGAAATGGGAGCTTGGTAAGAGAATGTTCATCAGAATGAGCACAGAAAACCACCCCGAATAGAGCCTGTAGTGATTTTTTTTGTCTTGGTACAGGCACTGATGGAGGACAATTGCTACAGATTGGCCTGGATTCCAAGTATACTGGACCCCTTGTGATTCAGAGATAATCACTGCCATACTTTAGGATTCCTCCACTACCCCTAATATTAGGATGTCCCCTGGCATGAGCATCTCATGAATGCAAGGTGGATTGTGAGGGATGGACGGTCCCTAGCCACTCTAGCCAAATACTCCTGTAGAATCACATCTCTCTTCTTTCAGTGGAATATCTACTCCTTTCCAGCCATGCAAATGTGCAGTGGCTCTTCTGCTCCTGTTGTTAAATATTCCCCCATCAAGGCTGGTACACAGTGGGTCCAGATGTCTAACTTGAAGCATTGAGAATACTCATCCAAGGACTGCTCTCTGACCAGTGGGATGTACCAAGCATATTCATGGCTGACAATCCACAAATGTTTGTTTTTGTTGCTGTGGATGGTGATGATGAATGACAGCTATTGTTGTTCAAGCTGGAAATAAGTTAGCAAATGAATTAACACTAAAATTTAATTGAGGTTGAGCACATTTCACTGCACTGACTCCATCTTTATCTTATACCTCCTGAACTGTGAGTTTGGAACCAAAGACAGCAACACTAACCAATTACAGGAATCTAACGGATGGAGTTGTTTAATTAAAACATGCGATATGGGTTCACGACACATTTGTAAGGACTTCCTATTTCCACAATGGTAAAAATTTGAGGTACTTCTCACTAAAGAGAAGAATATATGCTAAAGGACGGATGTGGAACGCTGCATGCCGTTGTGCTACTATTTGGCAAATGCACATCACACACCAGTCGCTTACCCTTCATCAGAGAAGCAGTCAAAAATAATTGAGATTACTGGTATCTGATGCAGCAATGAAGTATTACCTCTTTCCAGCATTTTTTAAAAATTTTAAACCAAATCCCAGAGCTAATTTGTTTCAGAACTTGCTCATTGGGACTTGAGTGCAGAGTATGTCTCCTTTGTCATCCCATAACAACTGCTCAAACAAGCCATTCTAAAGTATCAATTCTTTCCTCTCTCTGTTCTCAATTCAGGCACTATTTCCCTGAGTGTCCAACTTTATCCACCTCCAAGGCTATAAATGCAAATTCATATCCCCATGACTTGTGAATAGCTGAGCTCTCTGAGTCTCTGCCTTCTCATTCAGATATTTCTGTTTTCCATAACGCCATACCTTCGCCATCATGCAGCTATTATGTTGTTAGAAACACACGCTGTTTACAGAAAAGGCTCCCTAATTCCTGAGCTCAAGTTAAGATCCATTCTTACAGTTCATGTCTGAGGCATTTTGGTGCGTTATCCTTTATGGAGGTGACCTGGGTTGACTTTCGTTTTTTGAATGTTGATTTTTACTCCTATGCAAGCCTCCAAATAACTTGTATCCCTTCTCTTGGTATGATGTGAGAGTATATGAGTTTATTTCAATATTTTAGGGATTGTTAACATTATTTGAAAATGAATTATTCCTCTCTCAGTACATTTGTTTGATTAGAACTTCCTGGAGTTTCCATAGCACTTACCTTGTTTCCAGTGAATCTTGAACTGTGGCATTTCTGAATAGCACTGTGATATTTTGGATACAGAACTGAATTGCTAATCAGTAGAATTAGGCTGTAGTCCAGATTTTATCACTAGTTAGTTGAATTTCCCTTTCCTTATCTTTTATATAAGATGTTATGATGGAAGATTGCTAATGTTCCATCTAGCTTTAGAATTCAATAATAAAGTGATTTTAGGTTTTATAAGATTTCTGCAAGGAAAAATTGGGGAAGCAGTATTTT
The DNA here is from genome assembly GCF_000001405.40 of Homo sapiens. Lineage (NCBI taxonomy): Eukaryota > Metazoa > Chordata > Mammalia > Primates > Hominidae > Homo > Homo sapiens. Next base: position 132,340,339 of record NC_000011.10, read on the forward strand.
TGATAAATGAAAATTGAAAGTGTGAATGTGGGCAAGATCCACAGCCAATGCATTGTCTCTGTTTCCAGAATGGTTCATAAGAAGATAAAATGCATGATCCTGTCATTTCTGCAGATATTTGAAGTGGCTCCTCAAGGAAAACTTGAGGGATGGACGCTGCAGCACTTGGAAAGAAGCAATGCTTAATAAAAGACAGTAGCTTTTTCTGGAAAAGGAAATGATGTTAGCCCCAAGCTGCCCTCTGTATGACACAAGTAAAACAAGAGAGAATAAACTGTCACACATCCTAAAGTCTAGAAAAGTAAAAGATGTTGGGAGTAGGCAAAATTCTCCGAATTTTCAGTATGAGTGTGTGTGTATGTGTTTGTGTGTATGCATGTACGTGTGTGTGTAGTATTTACTCTAATTATTTAATTCTTCAAAACAGATGACACTTGTTATTCCTAAGACTCATCTTTAAAATAACAAGAAATAGTGATGAAAAGAGGGGTCTCTAGATATAGTTCACAATGATTTCTCATCATCCTGACCATTACAATCAAGGATCCAGAAGTGCGCATGCAGATTTTATTGGACATATTTGTGTATTTTTGGCTGAATTCCAAGTTAATTGAGTCCTTCTCACTCTCCTCTCTTGCCCCTAGACTCTGGGCTTCATTTCCAACCCCTCTGTGAGAAGCCTGAGGATGTAAGAGGAAGAGGGCAAAGCGTGGGGTTGGAGCAGAAAGAGTATGGGGTTGGAAGATAGGTGAGCCCTGGTCCCTTCCCCCAAGCGCCTGTGCCCAACCACCCTCTTCAGCTTTGATTTCTTCTGAAGGTTCACTTTCAGAGTTGATGGAAGGTCAGACAGAGCCATCAAGCTGTACCTCCTGCACTAGACCAACTGTAAGAGTGAGACAGATGCCAGGAAGAGGAGCCCAGACTGCAGAGTGCACATGTGGATGAGGGGTCCTCATCTTCTTGTGGAAGGATGCCGGAGAAAGAGAAATGAAAATAAAATAAATGATTCTACCCCACACCACATCACTTTCGCCAGTGTCCATAATTCTCATTTGTGTTTGGCTACTCGAAAAGGAGCTAAGATCTGTGGCAACAGATGCTGTCTGTCAAATACAAAATTCCTTTTTCTCTAAGTGTTCGTATTACAATTTAACAGGCAAGAAAAATGAAAATAAAATGAGAAAATTTAAAAGACATCCAGACAGTTAAAACTTGTCAGTGAGTATCTAAGTGCGAGACATCTGCATAGACGTGCATCAGATGTCTTCTGTGATGCTACAAGTAGGATCTCAGAGAGAAGAATTGCGGTTTTGGCTCCCTGCTCACTGGTCACAGGGAGCACCATTCTAGACATGCTCTCAGCAAAACACAGTCAGATTCGAATACTAGAGGTAGCATGTGCTCTCACTGCATACCGATGTCTTCCTATTTTCCTGCTGATCAGAGATAGATAGAGTACAGATAGTATGAAGCAGGCAGCCAAGAGATGCGTTTCCACCCAAACCCAGCTTTGGATTGCTAGGGGACCTGCAGCAGGCTGCTGCACCTCCAAGCCTCAGTTTCCCCATCGATGACATGAATGTTGGACAAGATGATCTCAGAAGGCCTCCCGAGATCTGAAATCTTCTGGGTCTCCACCTGCATGCTTCCATAGTTTGTATCTATTTCCATAACTAATAAAATTATACAATTCAAACCAAGGCCAAACCTTTATGTGGTGTCGGCTTTGTGGAGCTATATAGGAGATATCTCTATTCACACTGGACTTGGCTGGAAAAGCCCTTTGTTTCTGACATGACATGCAGATTGAAAGGCTATGGTCCTGACACCTTGGATGTAAGGCTGTTCCTTCAGAATCTGAAGAAAAAACACAGACACTCCAGTATAAATACACAAAATGTTCTACATAGGTTCCGGTGGTTTGTGAGCTTTTAAAACTCACTATTGAGCCCCAGTGTTAAGAACCCCTGCTGTGAAATTTCACCTTGGATTTGTCTCATAGGCTGCTTACATTTCTCAAATATAATTGGTAAGAATTGTGTTCTACAGGCTTTAATTTTTAACTAAATAAACAACAACTAGGGCATCCTTCTGAATCCCCCAGGGAGTTCCATACGGACTGAATCTAATCCTTTGGGAATCAAACCTGTAATGATCTAACTGCACAAGATCTTTGCCCCAAACTCTTTCTGCTGACAGACTCCTCTTGGCATATGTTTCTACCTCTGACAATTACACCAGCTTAGATAAAACCAAACAAGTTTGTATTTTATTTATAGTAACTAGTGATACCAACTCTTGCTGTCCACCAGAGAGCTCATAGTTACAACGAGTCAAGAAAATCAAATCAGCACTGTTTTCCCATGCCCATTACGCTCAAGGTAGTCAGGACATTTGATCTAATAACACCTAATTCAGGGAACACTCCCTTGTGTCAGGGCTCCAGAATGTTAAGGTGCTCTATCCTTCTCGCCAGCACTTTCTTCTTTGTGTCCTGAGTACAAGTTGCTGCTCCCCACCTCAAGTCTGAAACATTTTTTTCTTTCATCTACTAAGCATTTGATGGAGCCGACATTACCACAGCATGCACACAAGAGGGTCAGGCAAACCATTTGCCCAGCCCTAGTCCTGAGCAAGGAAGTCAGGATTCCACAGTGTAATTCACTACTCAGAAGTGATCGCCCTCCCTCATGGCAGCACAAGGGCAGTAAATTCATTACAACGAGGTTGCTGCCACTTCTCACATGCACCTCAACACTGCTGTTTTACAAAAACTTCAGATACCCTGGCCCTGGATCATTTATGCATTCATGCATGTCTCTTTGCCCAGCCACATATAGAATCACTCCTCTAAATATTGGCACACTAGGAACTTCTATATTAATGTCTCATCATTCCTTGTTTTCAAAAATATGAAAGAATAATCAGTCAAATGGAGTCCACAGCATAGGATAAGCTGAGCTCCCGGAAGACCGAGGATCAAATTGGAATGTGTGAGTAGCAGTATAGCCTATTTCCTAACAAACAGCAGTGTTAAGGCATGCCCCTGAACTATCAATGAGAAAGTCTTTCTGACTAAATAACTCACCAACCTAGTTCACTACATTTCCTTAGTAGCATTTTCTATACATTTCCCATTATCTCCTCTCTTCTCTGTCATTTATTTTCCCCCAGTACAGCCTACCTTTGCAGTAATAACCTAAGAAGCAAGATATCTAAGAACCAACCGGGAAAAAAAGATTCAGTTGCACAGGGCTATTCTATACCCCTCGGTTTACATTAGTCATTCAGAGAGTGACATTATGACTTGGAGGAAAGAAATGTGATATGGTTGGGCTATACTTGGGAATATGCATTACCTGCACCTTGGGTTAAACATACAGTGCCCTGAAATAGACAGGCTATATCACTGGCAGGGGTTTAATGGACATCTGAGGCAATTCTGTGCTAGGAATTGCATCAGTAGATTTGAACCATTTGGAAAACTAGTCAGGAAACTCGGTTGGACTTAGGCCCATGTATTCACCTTTAGCCATTTGATGAATAACCCAGATTAGCCACAAGAAAAGGACATTTGCCATGGAAGCCCCAGGGATGATTACTTCAATAGTTCCTTGAGGAATGGGAGTGGGTCATATTAAGCTCCAGCTTCCCCGTGGCTGGAGGTTTCTGGCACATACCCAACACGGGCTGGAGACAGTTCTCCCTCTAGCACTACTCTCATATCAGGACTGTAAAACTCTATTGGAACATCAGGATTCCACAGAGAGTCAAGAGGAGAATTCAGTAGATTTATGTTGTTGCTGACATTTAAGTCTATGTAAGGACTTTTTTCAGTCCAATTCTATTTCCTTATATTTCTGAATCATTTTATCTTCTTTCTGGTCCATTTGTTCCTAGGGTCCCCAAAGACCCTCCTAAAAATTAGTGAAGCAAAAACTGCCACCATTGAGGAGAAAATTAATTACACATGGAACTGGATTAAAAAACACCCACATGTATTTATTTATTCCCCACTATTTACTGAGGACCTAATATACCCAGGCACTCTTTTCCATGCTGTGGATAAAATGCTGACCAAAATAAAAATGCTTCCTGCTCCCAAGATGTTTTCAATCTAGCAGGGAAGAAAGTTAATAATAAAATTATATCCCACACAAACAATGTGCTATACATGGGGTGTTATGAACACACACAGCACAAGGAGCCTGTCTGAGAGACCAGGAGGGTGTCCGGATGAGGTGAGACTTGCACTAAGCTACAAAGATGGGGAGGAGTTAACTGCAGACTGGGAGAGAGAGGGAGGAAGAACTTAGTAACCACAGGTACAAAGTCCCTAAAAAAGGAGGAAGAATAACATAACAAAAAACCCATCATCCTCAAATGTATTCTCATATATATTATTTCTATGGATTACTACTTTTTTCAGGTATGGGCGCCTTTACTGCATATGCAGCTGAATTCAAACCAGTACAAGAGCGTTTTTTTACACACACATTCACACAAAACAATGCACCAATGAACTTTTAAAATATGAAGGATCCATGTTTTCCAAGACTTAGACTGTTCTCAAAACTTCACGCAGCACATCTGACTCACTGGAGGAGACCCCTGTAGAATTAGGATCTCCATGGGAAGGGCCATGGAATGAGTATTCTAAACAAGCTTCCCTGGTGACCTTTCAAAAGGAGTAAATCCAAAACAGAACATGTAATTCTTCCCAGTTTCTTTCTCTCCATAAATGGCACCATCAAACTGGGATCAAACCAAAAACCTAGAACTTACACTTGACTTCCCTTTCTCTCTCCCCAGTCCCATGCAATCGATCAGAAAACTGTCATTTCCAATCTGTGTCTTGTCTATGTCCTGTTTGCTCATTCAAGCCCCCATTGTTTCTCCAACTGCTCTATAGTAGTTCCCTATCTAGTCCACAACAGCCCCATAGCTAGTCTTCCTGTTGTTGAACTTTCATCACACAGTAATTCTGGAGTGAGACTTTTTAAAAAAGCAATGACCTGTTGTAGATTTTGACTCATTTTAATTTAATTAACAACTCTCTCAAGGAAGCTACTTCTCTGGCCCTAATTTACAGGTGAGGAAAGTCAGACTTAGGGAGCACTCAAGGTCACTAGAGGTCAAACCAGGATTTTAACCCAGTTGTCTGAACTTGCAAGCCTGCTCCCTAAGGTATACTACATTTAAAAAGTATTATTTTTATTATTTTATTTGGTTCTAAGATGCATGTGTTTTTAATTAAAAGTCTTTGAAGTTGGAGCTGTGTGTTGCAATCAATGACATGTCATACTTTAATTGACATCAACTTTTCCTTGTGGTATATACAATAATTGCATATCTTACAACTGACAACTCTTAGAGTTGGTGAAATACAGTATTTGTTGAAGGAATGAGTCAATGAATGAATGAGAGTAGGTCAGGGGAGCTACCCTGAACATCTCTGCTTTATTTAGGCTTTGTCTCCAAGGTATCACCACTTACAGGACACATTGAACACTTCAGAAAAAGATGGTAGTGACCTCTATAACCATTCTTATTACCATCATTATTTATGGTTCCAATTAATCTTATTTTAACTTATGTAAAAAAAGAACTAAAGATAAAGTTACATTAGAGTAACCCACCTTTGTTTAACATTTCCTGGTAACTATTAAAAATTTAGTCACTGAGTTATTTCTTCCAAACTGCTACTGTGAGATGTTTTAAGGCATTAAACAAACCCATTTTCATTACTCTAGGTGGTTTGAACTAGATGTTCCTAATTTTAGGGACCATTATTATTCTTCTTTGTGAATCATACACTTCTAAAAATAGCCCAATGTTTTCTTGTGTTAGAGGAGAAAAAAAATAGAATGCTTGCCCTTCTATTTGCATGTATTTTACTTTATGTGGATGGTTTGGACTGGACATTTGGGGATTTGCAGCATTACAATCAGTAAATGAGGAATATCTGCCTAATCAGTCATGCACTAGTAGTAATATTAAACATAAAAATTTACACTGTGGTTTATAAAATGCTTTCACACACTCCTTCTTACTTAATCTTATTTAAAACACTCCATAACTGTGTAAGGATAGACATGGCCCTTCACACTCCGCATTTTCTTAATTGTATTTCTCTCTAAATACTCTCAGGGCTCTGAAATGACTACTTCAGATAGGCCCAAAGTCATGAATTAGCCAAGGAGATACAGGGTCAAGAGTCTTAGCGAATTCTGGAAGTACTTTTCTGAGTGGTAATGATTCTGCAACTGCAAACCAGAGTTCACTAATGTCTTTTGTGGCACCTAACATGAAAAAATTGGGTTAGAGAAAATCTAGGGAGCAGAACCTGGGCAGCTGGAACCCCTTAGCCTGGGACATCTAACTGTGAACAGCTTTGTCCATTCGCCCCACTGTGCTATGCACATACACATGCTCCATGTGTGTTAAGAAGTGTGAAAGGTTGAGCAATGCTGCACACTTCAGAATAGATTGAACCTTCTGTCTGGGCCCTATCAATCCTGATGTGTGTCACTGAACATATTTAGGTGGTGCCACGACCACTGATCTACTTGCGGAAGGTAACACAGGAGCTGAGGTGTGCACTACACACATGGCTTTGTGCTGGGGCCCTGAATCTCACTGCAACATAGATGCTAAGACTCACTCACCATCCCAGCCTGGATGCTGCCTTTTTCCCGGGGCTAATTCCATGCTAATCCAGGGGCTTTTGAAAAGCTTTAGGGCTTTGGGAAATTTCTAGGAATAACATAATGATCTCTCGGGAAACAAAACTCAGAGTAAGAATATACTGCCTATTCCACACTCTGCCTTTTCTTTATCTCCCAGTGCCTTGAAAACACTTTCACAAACTGCCCCCGCCCCCCCCCCCCCCCGCTAAGATGAACTTCCTAAGTGAGATTTCCTGGTGAGCCAAATAGCACTAGGACTAGATGCGTGCCCAGAACACATCCTGTCTGGTTAACCCAGCACTATTGAGTAAGAGCAGGTAGCTGAACCACATCAATAAAATGGGGGTACCAGTCCTTTATGTTAAAAGAGATTAGCAGCCAAGCCATTATACAGAGCTGTAATGCCAGAGGCTTTATGACCCTCCGGGAACCCACAACCTCTGGGAATTTTTACCTTCTATCCCATTTAAATCCGAGAGGCTTCCCCGCCCTGCTGGCAGCTCCAGAGTTACTGCTGAGACTCAGGGAGAAGCTGTTATGAAAAGCTGAGGTTGTTGCTAAGCAAAGGCAGTCTCAGGGAGGCAACTGATAGCGCAAAAGCAACACCTGGTCGAACTGAAATTGACATGACAGCTTCTCTCGGCTTTAGGCTGCCTTCGCCAGGGTTAGCGTTCCATTCGCCTAATATCGGAAAGGCGATAAGCATAGACAATTGCAGTTCCTTCAACAAGCATCCAGTGGGGGAATAGTGAGGAATATGGCAAACTGCAGGGTGAGCAAAGCTATCTTGAAGGATGAGGTCCTCAGAGTATCCTCAATGCCCAGCACCCTCAATGCACCACGTGTCCTCTGTCGGGGAGGGGTGAGCCGTGTGGAGGAAGCAGCTCCCACACCTGCACGTCCTCCACTGTCCTCATCTAGAGAAAGGAAATTGTGAAGAGAAGCGACTTCTTCCTTTGGGAGCCTTCAGACTCTGGCGAATATGAGTGCAGAGCTCCTGGCATCTGGTGTTTAGGTGGTTTCGAAACAGAGGAGCTCACAACAGTCCATCAGTGGCCTCGTCTTCCTTCAAGAGCCCCACTGTGGACTCAGTACTATGCGTGGTGTGTTGGGAGATGCAGGAGACCTGCTCAGGGTCTCCTCTGCAAGGCATCCTCTGCGCTACAGCACTGATACATACTGATACGTTAAACAGAGATTTCTTAAAAAGACAGCAGAGCCAGAGGACATGGCAAATGGTGTGCACATGTCCTCTGGATAGAGGAAGGTCAAAACAAACAGAGCGACATGGGGACAGCTGGGAGGGCCAGGGAAAGCCAGGACTTGAGGAAGGAGCCGGGAGACAGTAAGATGTGGATGAAAAACGGTCAGGCCTCTCAGCAAGGGAAGCCACATGAGGGAAGCCCTGCAGTGGGAATGAGCAGAGCAATTAGACCTTTCTTTACTGACACGTGGCAGCAAGAGATGGCTGAAACCCCGTGCATTGCTCAATTTTTGCCTGCCTCTAACACATAGTAGCAAAGAGAAGATAAAGGAAATATCATAGGTAAATACACTCAGCTTGTTCCTGTAAAGCTTTGACTGCAAACACCCAGGTAGAACCTCTAGCCCAGGAGCTGGGCTGGATCTCCTGTGAGCCACAGTCCTTTTCCATCTCTCACTTAAGGACTTACTACCCTGGGAGGCTGAGGTGAGTAGATCATTTGAGTCCAGAAGTTTGAAACCAGCGTGGGCAATGTGGCAAAAACCCTGTGCCTATGAAACAAATACAAAGATTAGCTGGGCAAGGTGGCACATGCCTGTAGTCCCAGTTATTTGGGAGGCTGAGGTGGGAGAATCACTTGAGCCCAGGAGTTCGAGCTGCAGTGAGTTGTGACCACGGCACTGCACTCCAGCCTGGACAACAGGGTGAGACCCTGTCTCAAAAAAAAAAAAGAAAAAAAAGAAAAAAAAATGACTTACTGCCTTAAGAGCAGAAGGGGTTGCTTCCTGTTCTCTTCAGGCTAAACTTGACTCTCTAATGCAAAGAAGAAAAGAGGGCATTATATTCTAAGACCAAGCTTTTTAACAGTAAACAAATCCTCTGCAGCTGGTATGCCAAGGTATCAGGGCAGACTCCAGCCCCCAGAAGCAGGCCTGCAGAACCAGCTGTGCTAAGCATTAACTGACTAGAACTGAGCACCTTCTTTGGCCCCTCCAAATCAATTCTTCATCCTCCTCCATCCTGCTCTGCACCCAGAAGGCTGACCTTAACTGCCAGCCTCAAATGGACCCCTTGACTGTCTAGCTCCAGGCTGGATCTTGCTAATGGGAGACACCTGCAGAAGAGTGGAAGGGAGAGAAAAGAGAAGTTGGGCTACTCCTCCCTTGGGCCCCTTCCTACTGGGCAGGAGTCAGCAGAGTCCCTATTTCTCTATAAAATCCTCGGTTCCCATCAGTGGTTTCTCTCCATGGCCACAAATCTAACCAGATTCTCATAAACACTCCGTCACTTTGACCTTTGCTGCCATGGTGTCTGCATGATGTGGATTCCTCTGCCTCAAAGTCTCTCCCAGCACTCCCCAACATTTGCCTGATTAACCCCAACTCTGCTTAAATGTCATTCTCTCCACAACTCCAGAGGGGTATTAACAGCTTCCCGATGTTGCTAGACCTGGGGCATCTCACCATCCCTTGCTTGTTTTCTTTAACCTCAAGCACATCATTGTACCTGAGCTCCCATTAATCTCTCTTCAACCACACTTTTGAGTAGGCCACCTGCATCCTGCAAAACTCCGGAATGATACCTACACAGCTGGATTATGGAGAGGTGGAGGGGGTCCTGGGGGGCATGTCCAGAATGTCCACAGACAATGGAGGCTTTCAGTGGGACAGCCAGTAGGGAAGCATTTCAATCTGTCAGTAGCTGCTGGAATCACACAAAGGGGTGCTGTCTCATCACTCTTGGCCTGATTGCTAACCGCACTCGACTCATTTTTACAAATAAAGAAACCAAGACTCAGGAAGGTCAAATGAAATGGCCCATCATGATTTTCCTGTCTGCAAAGGTTTTTGGGTAACAGCTTATGAATCCTTTTAGGAAAGTGAATGCCACATTCTATATATAAACCATGACATATAAAAGAAATATGTAAGAAATTTTTTCAAAAGGGTCAGAACCCTGACTGCATTTATGTTCTTTACCTGTGATTTTTTTTTTTTTTGGTCACTTACTCAATGAATTTATTTTCTGTGCTCCCTAGGAAGAGCTGTTATCCTAGCAAAGACCTTATCTAATTCTTTGTTTTGGTACAATGTCCAACATGTTTTCTGGCATTTAGCGAATGTCTATTAATAGCCACTTATTCATGGAGGCTCCGTGCTCGATGTGATCACTTGCTGTTTCACATACAGACAGAATAAGGGATCCTCTTCTTTCTATATGAAATCACAGATCAGCACCAAGAGGGCTATCAGAGTCCTGTCACTCATCCCTGTCTCTAGCCAGTGCTGAGTTTGAACTGTGAGGATCACAGCAGCATCTCCCATGGACACCTGTGCTCAGGTCCCCTGGACGGTCCTGGGCTCTGCAGCCCCAACAGTGCGAAGACACTTTCTCTTGTTTGATCCAAATCTCTGCCTGGTGCCACATTGTGCACACAGGGGGCAAAAGAAACCAAATACAGACAAGCCAGGAGAAAACAGATTAAAAATGAAGGCAAACCAAGTGGAGCATTATGGCCAAGAATGGAAAGCCTGTAGGCTCACCTTCCGTTGTTGGAAACAAAAAGAGGGTCTGATTTAATAGATTCCAGCACAGTCATTTATTCACTCAACAGACAGATGTTAAGCATTAGCTATGTTTCAGGCACCATTAGGGACTAAGGACATAGAAATGAATATGGTATCAGCCCTGTCCACCAGGAGTGTTCCACTTAAAAAAGGATAAATATTGGCCAGGTGCTGTGGCTCACACCTGTAATCCCAGCACTTTGGTAGACGGAGATGAGTGGATCAGGAAGTCAGGAGATCTAGACCATCCTGGCCAACATGGTGAAATCCCATCTCTGCTAAAAATACAAAAATTAGCGAGGCCTGGTGGCATCCACCTGTACTCCCAGCTACTCAGGAGACGGAGGCAGGAGAGTCGCTTGAACCCCGGAGGCAGAGGTTGCAGTGAGCCGAGATCGGAGATTGCGCCACTGCACTCCAGCCTGGGTGACAGAGCAAGAGTCCATCTCAAAAAAAAAAAAAAAAAAAAGGATAAATATTGCAAAACATTACTACTGCCTGTGGATGATTTCTTCCCATATTCAGGGAGCACCTACTACATTGCAATAGCTCAGGATATGAACAAGGTAGCTTCTGCTACTCCCTTCATGGTGTTTACACTCCAGTAATGGGGTGGTGTTAACCAATAACATTTCCTAATAATTATGCAAATACTGTAGTACCTATGGCCTAGGGGTTTTGTTAGGAGTAAGTAAGTTACTATATATAAAGCACTTTGAACAGCATCTGACCTAGAATAAGTGATTAATAAGTGTAGAAGGAAAGGTACGTTGTGAATGCAGAGGAAAAACTGGGGACCCAAACTGTTCTTGGGGGTCAAAAAAGACCTCGTGGAGGGAATGACATTTACGCGGAATTGGGGTTAATCAGGCAAAGGTTAGGGAAGGCTGGGAGAGACTTGCAGGCAGAGGATTCCACATCGTGCGGACACCATGGCAGCAAACAGCTTGAAGTACAAAGGGCTGGCTGGAAGGCATGGTGACGGAGGAAACTGGATGTCCTCAGGGAGGGGGTTGTGCAGAGCCCCACAGGCTGGACAGAGGCTGGACTAGAGTCCAGTCCTGACAGCACAAGTTCCAGCTACCTCCCTGGAACATCCCAGGCCCTCCTGCTAGGCATGTGGCCTCCTGTAGTGCTTAGGGCTGCTATTTGGAAGGGGAGTCCAGATTGACTTAGGACTCTCTTGATGTGCTTACCAGGTGTATGGGCCTTGGACACTGAGTAGAACCCGCCTGCAACAAGTCTCGTCTGGAGCACAGAAGCTAGGTATGGCCTCAGTCACAGCTGTGGGGACAAAGGCAGGGCCACTCTCTGTAAAGAGGCATATTTGCATGCTGGTCAGTCCACCCGCCATGCTGTCCTCACTGGGACATACCCCCGTCAAATTGTCCAAGGCCATTCCTACAAAAACTCACCTGGTAAGCTAAGCTTCCTGTCAAGCGAGGCATTGAAAGCACTGGAGTGAAGATGCCAGGCTTTGGCCTTAGAGATGTGAGTTACATGGGCCGAGCTGTGGAGGACCTCTGTGCCTGGCACTGGAACTGTGCCCGGGGAACAAGAAGGAGCTCACGGCCTGATACGAATGGGGCCATTCTGGGGACAGCCTTGAAGTGGCTCAAAAATGGGCAGCAGACGCAGTTTTGGGGGATGCAGCAGCTTTCCCACAACAGCAAAGCCTTCTTAAAGCCAGGACTGGAATTAAGCAGTGGTGGCTGCCACTTGCCTGGCTACCTCGGTTCCCAGATGAGAGGTAACTCACAAGGGTCTTCAAGGAAAAGGCGGTCCCTCCCCGCCATCATCACTCAGGGCCCTGCACCCCCAGGCCTGTGTCCAGTGTGTTCATGTGCTGGGGCTCTACTGTCCAGGTGACACCAGAGGGAACCGGCACTGCAGCACGGCAGCAGCACAGCCTCCAGCCCCCACAGGCTCAGGCCGGGCACCTGCCCTGCTCCTCCCAGACAGCCACATGCCCCAAGCAGGAGCACTGTATTTGTCCTCGCAAAACACCAAAGGTCTTGTCCATCCTTTCTCTAGGACAGGCAGGACTATCGACCATATCTTTACCTTTCTAAAGGAGGCTGCACTCAGAGCTTCCAGAGTGACCTTCTCTCTAAAGGACATCACTCACGCACTTCTTCGGTGTCTAAGAGAGGCCACTCAGTGATTCTCAGGATATTTTTTCTGACTGAGCCAATACCATGAAGCAACTGGCACTACTTCAACAAAGAAAAAGAATTGTGCACATTCGTTTCATCTTAATGGTAAATCCTGATTCAAAGGCTTTGAGGACAATATCCTAGTTAAGGAAACTAGTTTTAGAAGAGTATACAAATAAAAGACTTCCACCTTCAGTGCTGGTAGAGCAACCAGGAGTGGATTGATCCAGCAGCCTCACACAACTGGAGTAGGAGCTATGTATAGGAAAGTGCAGTCTTCCCACATTGGTCAGGGAAGGGTGTGGGTTCTGCCTTCACTCAGATAGGAGCAGAGGCCAGCTGCCCTCTTGCTCACATTCATGGGGCAGGCATTGGCACACATCTCGGGGCATTTGGTTATATTTTGGGTGATCTGATGCAAGATTTGGGAGATCCGGATACAGCGCCCGTGTGTGTCCTGCTGGTTTTAGAATAGAGTCAGAAGCACGTTTCCGCACGGCGGCCCTACCGCCCGGGGGAGCACAGACTTGCCTGCATCTGCGGGGCCCTGGCACATCACAGAAGGAAGACAGGTTGTTGGAACTACATTGATGTAGTTAGTGTCCCCGAGGGATATCCTATTAGAAACCGGCTATATCAAACAGGGAGTAAGACCCACGCAATTTTTTTATGAATTGTCTAAAGCGGTAAAATATTTTAAAATCTCTCCAAAGCATCAGAGGAGAAAGGGCCCTGTAAGATAATATGTATGTCAGTATCTGCGTACACCCAGTTTCTAAAACTATAGAAGACTGCTTGAACTAGAAGGGAGGTCTGTGCCAGATGTACCTAGAGGACGTCAGGCTGTGTCTATACTGTGTGAACACACCTGTGTGGGCGAGTGGCAGGCTGTGAAGTCCAGAGAAATGCCCCAAAATATCTACACTGCAGGCGATTTTATTAAGTGCAGTGACAGAAAAGATTTTAAACTGTGACTCTACCAAGCCATTTAGACATTACTAGGCTGGCGGGTCCCTGAGGCAAGAAAAAAGGATGATAATTTAAAAAGTCTACAAGACCCTGCACAAAAGGTCATCTGTGACCTCAAAAGTGCTAACGCCTCAGTCCCTGTCACCAAGGGCTTAACAACACTTAAACAGTAGCTGGTCATGTGGAGGCTGTAAGAACTTGCATGTCAATTTTTTCTACCATGAAACATGGGGCCAAGGAGGCTCCGCACAGGTGTTGACTTTAGAGGAGCAGCTCCAGGAGGTTGTGCAGGAGGGAGCATGGGATGGAAGCAGACAAAGGATTCCACATGACCTGCAGACTTGAAAGACTCCTTACCCTGGAATGGCATGCTGAGAGTCCACATTTGGACCTGAGTGTTCCACTGGTAGTGAGTAAGGTTAATTCTGGAAAGTGCAGAGAGAGGACCAATAATAAAGGTTCCTGAGTAACAGGAGGTCAGAGGAAGCTGGGCTCTGAAGCCCACCTGAAGTCCCAGCTTCGGCCTCAGGGGCAGGAGTTGACGTGGGTTTCACAGCACCTCGAGATCAGTCCACAGTGCTGAGGGCTTTCTTGAGGGAGGCAGTAGTCAATCTTGTCCTCCAGATTGACTCAGAATTCTTTTACACCCACTATTCTTCTTATTAGAATCCAAGCATAAGCAAGTCTGCTAAGAAAACCATCCTCCAGTGCTCACTGTTTCTCAACGATGGTCTCTGCGGAGGCAAGTCTGAAGAAGAGACACAGTGATTCCAGGGGCCAAGGGTTCAGCCTCGTAGGGGATGTCCTTATAGCTACTTCCATGGCAACCACTTCAAGAAGAGGCTGCACTCAGTTCTCAAAGAGGGAAATGTCTAGAAAGCCTTAAGGCAATGAGTGCAATCACTGCCTGTTTTGAGTAAAGTAGATGTACTCGTTTTCTGTTGCAGCCGTAACAAATCACCAAAGCACATAGTGGCTTAAAACAATCCACATTTATTATCCTACAGTTCTGGAGGTCAGAAGTCCAAAATCAGTCTCACTGGGTTCAATCCAGGTGTAGGCAGGGCTGGCTCCATTCTGGAGGCTCTGAGAGTGAAATCTATTTCCTTGATGTTTTCAGGTTCTGGAAGCCACCTGTCCACCTTGGCTTGTAGAGCCTTCCTCCATCTTCAAAACACAGCGTCTTCTCCCCTCTCTCACTCCGACTCTGCTTCCTCTGTCACATCTCCTTCTCTCACTTTAACCCTCTTGCCTCTGCCTCTCATAAGAACCCTTTATGACTGCATTGTATCCGCCCAAATACTCCAAGGTGACCTCCCTATCTCAAGAGTTTGAACTTTAGTCACGCCAGCAATGTCTCTTTTTTCAAGTAAGGTAACATATTCACAATTTCTGGGGATTAGGATGTGGAGATCTTTAGGGGTGTATGGGAGCATTTTTCAGCCTCCACAGGAGGCTGCATGTGGCTGGACAGCATGAGGCTGAGAATGTACACTTCACAATTTTGAAGCACATGTCCTCCTGGAAGGATGATGGTAAACCCAAAGCCCCCAAGTCCAAAGCCGGTTTGTTACCTTAAAGTGAGGGAATTTAGAAAACAGTTTATTGAAAGGTATCTTTTCCTGAATGAAAGGAGCCCTAGTGAGATTGTGAACGATCTGGGCACACTGGGCAGAAGGAAGTGCTGTTGCTGTCTGCCAGGCATCAGCAGTCAGGGGTAACTCAGCATTGTGTTAGGACAGAGTTGGTGGAGAACTGCACTGCTGTTCTTATTAAGACTCCTAAATTCTAAGAGTGGGTTATGGGGCAGTGAGAGAGAGGTCATAGCATAAAATGCAGAGCTCTTATAAAGAGAACGATAGCTTGAGACTGGGTCTAGAAACCATGCTCATCCATCCAGTCAAAACTCATTTCCAGGATCATTCTCTGTGATTCCAAAACAGCTGCCAGCCTCAAGCGACAGAGGCCTTGGAAAGGACTTCTCCCAGATAAGGACAGGGGGCAATGATTGCGGCATTCACACCAGAAAAGCCAGTGTGGGGGTTGAAGAACCTTGTCTATTCAGGTAGTTCCCTTTGGGAAGGTCAGCTCTATGCTTTATACTCAGCTTGATTTACAGTGATTCTGCCAGTGCTAGATGAGGAGACTCATTGCCCAGGAGCCCTTTGAAACCAGGGTGGCTGGCAAGCAAGTGTGCTCAGCAGGCAGCCTACGGCTGGCAGCTCCTTCCAGGCCTGCCACACCACAAAAAGCCACTCTGCTCAAGGCCACCACCTTCCTGGAACAGCCCCCATGTGGTGACTCAATGATGCAGGGTCTAAGCGCATAGCAAGGTTGGACAGAAGTGCAGGTTGGACAGAAGACTTTCTCCAGAGCTCCCCACCAGGTCGGCCAAGGCTTTCTTGGGCCTGAATCATGGTTCGACCTCTCCTTCTGCTTCCTACCCTTGCCTTCACAGATTTCAATCCCTAATAAATACCTTGTACCCCAAGCAATACATCCTTTGGTGTTATTTTAATGGAAGTCAACATGTTTTAGAGACACATGAGCAGGCTCCGTGAGATCTGAAGTTAGGAGCACACATGGACCTGGCATGGTTCCATGGCAAAGAAGGGTATTAACCTGAAGAAAAATCAAATCTAGACATGAAACACTTGCTCTAAACCAGGGATCCTTGGAAAAAGTGGTTGTGGCAGTGATGCCAAGCTTCTTGGAACCAGCTACCTGGCTTGCAGTATGCTTTGAAGGAAAGTGACTGATTGTCCATGTGAACTAGGAAGCCATAAATTTGGCAACCAAGCATGCGGTCCTATGCAGAGCTAGCAGGGATTTTGACAGGCAAAGCCTCTCAGCAGCACGGGCAAGCACTGTCGTTCTTAGCAGTGACAACATACAGCTACCAGAAGGAGTGGCAGAAGACCAGTAGGGTACTCCATTCGTTCTCTGTCTGGCATTTGTGAGAGAGAGAGCTCCCTCCCCTCCTTCCTTTTGTGGACTGAGTGATTTCCTTGGGGCTTGGATAATTGAGGAGGGGTTGACCTTAAGAAAGTGAGACACTACTTTCTATTAATGTGGGCATGAGGATCTTTGGATAACGAATTAAAAATATAAAAGAGACATGAATGCATTTGCAACCAAAACTGATGGGATGAGTCCTAAAGATGACATTTAGATATTCAAATGGACATCATCACTAATGCCTAATACCAAATTAATATTAATACTACTCTTCATTTCATAAGCGTGGAAGAGAAGTTATTTAATTTTCTTTCAATAGAAGAGGTTCAAAGAATATAGGTTATGAGTATGCAGAGTGGGGAGGTGGGAAGAATGAACTTCTCCAGAAAAGAGAATACTGAAGGAGGGCAGTTCTGGTTTCAGGGGCATGATCCCTTGATGCCCTACTCTTGCCCATGAGTATGTCCAGACAGCAGGTTGACTACAGCAGACACATGTCACCGTTCTCCCTGCAATAACTACAGGGGCTCAGAGATATATGTGGCTTGCTACTCTTGCTCCTAAGTTCACATTAATTAATCTCACAAAGAAGTTTGTGTGTCATTAGCTAGGATCACTGTGCACTGAACTCAACAATATCAAAACCATGGTGACAACTTTTAATATTATCCCACTAAGGCAAGGTCTCAAGAAGTGTGTTTTGCCACAAAACAGGGGATTGGGAGTGTTTCAGGGGAGTGTTTGGGGCTATGGAATGAACACAGAAGTTAAGAGTTTCTGCAGGAGAGTCCAGGCCAAGGCATGTCATCAGGGGACTGAATCAGACCGAGGCCCAAACTGAAACAGTGAACTGATCACAAATAGATAAGTAGAAGGCCCAAGCAAAAGGGACTCAGACAACAGGATTGTTGGGAACCCAGCATGGCTTGAAGAAGGTAAAAAGAGAAAAGGCATAACCTTTCGGCTCTCTGGGGTCGTGGCTGGAGTCCCCACTTTTGTGAGGCAAGTTGCTCTCAACTGTCTGTCCTAATTAGCAGTGTCACATTCAGTTTCGAGATGAGTCACAAGCGATTTCTTGGTAATGATACAGCAGCAAATTTTGCTGATGTTTTCTTTCTTTTTAAATTAGATTCATGCATTAAGACTTCTTTGGTGGTAACTGAGAGTTAGCCACATTGAAATTGTTTCGGTAGGAAGAGGAACGCATTGCAAGTGCTATGTAACTACAAGAGCAGGGACACAGCTCAGTGGGAACCTAGAACCAGGACCCTGACATCCGCAGGGCATGCCCACTCCCCTTTCCAAATCTACTTTTCTCTGCCTGTGGGATTCTTTCCTGCTGCAGGATAGGCTCCTCCACATGGCAGGAGACACAGCTGGAAACAGTTCATGAGCCTCATACCTCACACATTTTGACACTAGAACATCCTGAATCTCTGTTCCAAGTTTCAGTCTGAACATTTCTAACGTTCAGCAGGTGTGTCTTCGGTCGTGCAGCCACCACTGAAACAACCAACCAACTGTGGCCAACCAAATTGTGTCACATTCTTACTCATCTCATTGTAACAGAAATCCATGCCTCCCAGATAAGCCTGTGTCACCCAGACCGGATAGCCAGATGCCATTGCGGAGTGAACATATCCCATATCACATTCCAGTCACACAGCCACGACTCTGGTCCAGTCTTCCACCCTTCTGGATTCTGGTCCAATCTTCAGTGCATCCTGAATTCCTGCCCTAAGTGCTGTTTTGATGCTGTTCTCCTAACTGCCCTTGAAGATATTACTTCTCCAGTTCCTCTCTCACATGGATGCTGTTTTTCTCTCTCACTTCCCCTACAAACACCTGTAGGTTTGAAACTGTACTCGTGGTCCTCCATTGCTGCTTGCAAACCACTTCGTTTTTACTTAAAATCTCCAAGCCTCTGGAATCAGGCCATTAGACCATGTCCACCCCCGTCCCTCTCTCTTCTCTTCACCCATTGACCTACTGATCATTTCCCCTTGTTCTTTAAAGGTTCCAGTACTTGCTTCACTGTGATTCTCTCTATTTCATATTCCATAGCCACGAGGACAATTCATTCAACATCCTGCAGTCTCAGGTTGTAATTTAGGCTAGTGGGGATGGGATGGGGTGCAGAGGACAAAAGAGAAGGGAATTAAAGTTTAAAAAAATGAGGACTCAGCTTGGACTTAAATGATGAATGGTTATTCTATAGGTAAAGCAGGAAAGGACATGCCAGGGAAGAAGAACACGATAGACAAACTCACAGGGACTAGACACAGCCATATCCAGTTGAAACACTGTAAGTCACTTTGGTTGGCCAAGACATAGCAGAAGTAAAAGTACAAGGGGGTGAGAGCAAACAGTAGAGATTCAAATTTCGGAAGGCTTTCTATGCCATATTTAATGAGATTCATCTTTTTCTTGTTTTTGCAATAAAGGGCAGTAGAATAGCTTAGCACATGTGTATGTCTTGATAATGGTACTTTGCACATTATATGATAAGTTACTTCTCAAGCTCTCCCCTTTATCTGTGGATCCATGAGGGTGGAGACTGACTTATACATCTTTATTATCTCCTATATCTAACACAGTGCA
This sequence comes from Homo sapiens, assembly GCF_000001405.40. Taxonomy (NCBI): domain Eukaryota; kingdom Metazoa; phylum Chordata; class Mammalia; order Primates; family Hominidae; genus Homo; species Homo sapiens. The sequence goes on from NC_000011.10 coordinate 132,359,483, forward strand.
CATGCAGTAGGCACTCAAATGAAATAGACTTTTGTGAGATGCCTTAAGATCATACTGTTGATAGAATTATTTATAAAGAAAACTATTTAAAAATTTCATTATAAATAATAGCTTATTTTTAAACTAACCCACTCAACTCACAACCCCGGGATAAAGATTGCGTGATTTTGAACATTGTTTAAAATTTCCTGTAAAGAACCATGATGCAGCTGCCCTTTGCCTAGAAGTTTGTGAACAGGGCTAATGCTTTACATGGCTTTATTGGTTTACAGTTTGCAAGGTCCTTTTCTGGTCCATTATTTTATTAAATCTTCTCCATCAAGTTTGAGAGAGGAGAGAGGTGGATCTTATTATCCTTACAGTGAAGAGTGTCAGACACAGACTTAAGCCACTTGGCCAAGGTCATACAAAAAAATAAGTGGTAGAACCTGAACTTAAACTGGGATCCCTGCTCTGAGCACAGTGATCCCTACCTTCTCTGCACACTGCCTCTAGATTACAGTGAGAACATTTGACATTGAAGAGACTGTAGGTAACAAGTGAGGTTTTTATATCCCAGGGCTATAAAGAAAGCCCAAGGTAAAGGCCACTTGTGCTAATAAGTGTGTGAATTGCCTACAAAAACTGGCTACACTTTTCCTTTTTTACTGCTTTGTGCTATTGGTCAGGCCCTTATGTCTAGTCTGAATCTTAGTCTTTTAAGAGAAATCTACAGAAATGTGAAAGGGACTCAGCCTATTATATCTGATCTATGAAAGAATATTATAGGGAGGGTTATATTCACCATCTCCACCGAGGTCATAGCCTCACAGGAAATTAGCGTGTTGCAGCAACGCAAATATAGGCTAGACCACAGAAAAAGCTTCCTGATTGTGAGCACGGTGAGATGCAGGGAATGTGTTTTCAAAGCAGGATATGAAATCTCTATCATTACAGATTTTAAGAATAGGAGAAATTCTGTTCAGAGTAAATTAAAAGCCTGGATGCTGAAGGATGTATAAAATTGTTTTGCTTCCATCTCATCCAGGGTGAGCTGTGCCATTGGGAACTTTGAGCCTTACCCTGTCCTCATTCTTTTCATTCATCTACCCTTCCCACCTGCATTGCTTGTTTGCTTACTACAAGTTAATTTGTTTAACTCTCATTATTTTTTTAAAATGTAAAATGCCTTCTAGTTTTCCATTCTTGGAGAAAATCTGCTGTCTGGAAGGTACCACCTTCTGGTGATACCAAGATGAAAACAGAAAACAAGAAGAAATTAAGCCATCTGTCTCTTTCCTTTCTTGGTTCCTCACCAAACCCTTAACCATGTTAGAAACACCACATGACACTTTTCTAAAAGGTATTAGTTATTTTTTATGCTCTTTACCAATTGCTTTAGTTTTCCCTCTTCCCCAGGTTTAAGTGATCTTAGATTTTTGTCTTTCTTGTTATTTAAAACATATGTGTCTGTGTGTGTATTTTTGTATTTCTTTAATGAGTTCCATCTTACATAATTATACACTGTTGTTTGGGTTATTTCAAAATCATAAATATCCCTCTTTCTTGCATCCATGCTCCCTTCAGGTGTATAACTCTGAGAGCCCTCTCATTCTGAATCTGTGCTCAGCTGGGACTGGCTCTAACTTATCGGATGTCAGCAAATGTGACAAAGCAGAGGCTTTAGAAGTGTTTGTGCCCCGGAGCTTGTTTCCTCTTTAAATCCTATGAGCACCATGGGAAGCAGCTCAGGCTAGCCTGGGGAAGAATGACAGGCCTCATGCAGAGATAAGCAGGAAGAGCCATTCCACTCAAGGCACTCGTTACTCAACTAGCTCACCAACTGCCCGACATGGACCTGAGTGCAGCCTATATCATCCACACCATAGCTAACTCACCCGCTGACCTGTTATGAGAGTCCAACCGAGGTGAACCGAAACCAAGTTAGCCTGGATCAACCACCTACTGATACACAGAATTATGAACAAAATACATGGTTGTTTTAAGCTACTCGGCTTTTGGATGTTTTGTTATACAGCTGTATAGATAACTTATACAGTCTACAAACTCAGAAATGTCAGAATTTGTTTTTAATCTCTTTCCATTTTACTTTGTCTTAGCTTTTCCTACCATGAATTTGGTATGTGCTTCCCTTATCCAAGTTATGTACTCTTATTATGATAAAAATCTTTGTACATGTATGATTAGATAGAAAATTATTTTTTATTTATTTAGTAAAACTAATACATATTAAATTACACATAAATTTTCCTGATGTATGTAAACCTGAATTTATTTTTTCATTTCCCATCAGTAGATTTTTGGAGTTGCTTCCAATATTAAAATCTATGTATCTATAAAGATTCTTGTATATGACTCCTTATGCACATATGAGAGAATTACCTAGAAATAGTTATTAACTCATTTAGTATACATTTTCTCAATTTCACTAGAAATTGCCAATTCTCTAAAGTATTTAATATGTAAACTTTTTGGCTTCACCCATCAATTAGGAAATTATTTTCTATACCAACTTTGTAAGATATATACCTACTTGTTCTTTTAATAACTTTATGGTTTTTCATTAAATCCATGTAGAGTTGAGTTTCAGATAAGGTGGGGAAGGTATAATACATATGATAAGTTTTTTTTTTTTTTTTTTTTTTTTTGAGACAGGATTTCACTCTGTGGCCCAGGCTGGAGTTCAGTGGCACGATCTCTGGTCACTGCAGCCTTGATTTCCTGGGCTCAAGCCATCCTTCTGTCTCAGCCCTCCAAGTAGCTGGGACTACAGGTGCACACCACCATGCCTGGCTAATTTTTTGACTTTTAGTAGAAACAAGGTCTCACTGTGTTACCCAGAATGGTCTCAAATTTCTGAGCTCGAGCAATCCTCCTGGCTCAGCCTCCCAAAGTGCTGGAATTACAGACTTGAGCCACTGCACCTGGACTAGAAAGAAAGTTATTTTTGTGCCATTTTTAACCACTTATGTTTTCCACACTGACTTTAAAAAACTATCTCTTTTAAATAATAAGGCTTAAAATGTTTGGATCTGTGTTTAGGTCTTCTAGTCAGTTGATTAGTTTTGTCTGTTCTTGCACCAATACCATACTTTTAAAATCACTATAAATTTAATATCTTTTTGATAAAGAGGGCTCTCCTCTTCATTTAGATGTTTGAAATACATAGTATACAAAAAGGATAAGCTTTACTTCTCTTATGTACCTCACATTCTACCAAAAGGAGACAAAGGAAACAAAAATAAATAAATAAATAACATATGGCATTGTAGGGGAAACAAATGATTCTTTTTCTCACCCATCATAGGGTTCATGGCTGAGACCCTTATGACAAAATACTGATTAACAAGAGAGAAGCATACAAGTTTATTTAAATTTTATGTGACACAGGAGCCTTCAGAAATGAAGACCCATGGGAACAGGGAGAACTACTTTTGTGGATAGTCATGCAGAATTATGATTGGAGGACAAAAGGGTAGGATCTGATGATAATAAACCTGGGGGAACTGAGCAAGGCGTGTTTGTTCAAATTGGTCTCTATGTCCTTCGGTGACATTTCTGGAACAGCCTACGTCAGCAGAAGGTCAGTTCAGTTTAAGGCCTGCTTCAGGGGAAAAGGGGCAAGGGTAATTCTAATTTCTATGACCTACTTCTGCAGTTTCCTCAATTCCCTTCAGCTTAAAATACTCAGTATACCAAAGCGCCTGATTTTGGATAGCACATCCTGAACCCCATCATTATGTTACATAATCATAAATACTATGAGAGAAGTATGAAGAAGAACTGGTGGGCTTAGGTCACAGAGAGCATGGGCTGTGCCTTTAAGTGGAATTATCAGGACAGGCAGGTGAGATTTGAGGAAAGACTTGGAAGACAGAGTTTGCCTTGCGGATATCTGGGGAAGAACGTTCCAGGAAGAGGGAAATTCTCAGACAAGATTCAAGGCAGTGGAGAAAGTGAGAAATAAGTGATCAGATTTTGAGTTTTCTGTTGGATTGGGTGTGTTTTTTGAGAAAAAGCAAACTATTAAAAAGAATTCTAAAACTTTTGGGCTAAACAACTAGACAGATAAATCTTCTCTCAACTGGGCAGAAAAAGACCAAAGGTAAACAGGTTAAGGTGGAGAAGTTCTAGAGTCCAGCTCTGGACATGGAAGGCTTGGGATGTCGATTAGACATCCACATAAAGATGTTGATATGGCATTTCGATATTCAATTTAACATTTATAAGAGAAATCTGACGAGAGATATAAATTTGAGAGTCACTGGCAAATAGACTGTAATAGTCCTAAGACTAGGTGAACTCAATAGTACTGAGTACTGAGCCCTGGGACACTCCAAGGCTGAGATATTGTAGAGAAGATGAGGAACCAGCAAAGGTGAGAATGAACAGCCAGTTAAGAGGAAAGTTGAGAGATTGTGACATTCTAAAAACCAAATGAACAATATATAAAGAGGAGGAAAGGGTGATTAATGGTATCGAATGCTATGGACAGGCCAAGGACAATTTATCTAAGAATTAACCATTGACTGCAATGACGTTGATGTCATCTGTGACCTTGAGGGGATCACCTTAAATAAAATGAGGGGGCCAAAACCCTCTTTGAAAGATTTGAAGAGAAAATGGAAAGAGAAATCTACACAGTGAATATAAATAACTCTATATATTCAAGGCTGTAGCTATAATGAGGAGAGAGAGAGTGGGAGAGGAGAAATACATGTTTGTATGCCGATGAAAAAATATCCAATAGACAAAGAAAAAAACAGTGATACAGGAGACAAAAAGGAGAATTGCAGAGGGAATGGCTTCAAGTAAGTGAGAGAGAATGAGATCTAGCACGCAGCTGGAGAGATGGGTTTAGATATCGCTAATAAGGAATTTCTAATCAAGTCATGGAAATTTCCTTCTATTCTACTCTGCTAAGAGTTTATTTTAATCATAACTGAGCATTATATTACATCGTATTATTCTCTCACACCTATTTAGATTATCACAGTATTTTTCTTTTTTATTAATGTGGTAAATTACTAGCTTATCTCATGTTGAACATCTTTGCATACATGGGATAAATACTACTTAGTCTTGATGGATTTTTAATGTACTATTATTTTTAATATTTTAAGAGTATTGCTTCTATGTTTCTAAATTAGATCAGCTTATATTTTTATGATTATTGTCTAGTTTTTGGTCAAATATTGTATTACTACTTAAAATTATTTGAATAGTTTTGCCTTAAACAAAAATCTGTACTTTAAAACAGTTTGTATAAAACAGAAATTATCCCTTTATTGAGGATTTGGTGAAACCTGTAAAACCATTCAGGATTGATGCCTTTCTAGGTAGAAGTTTCTAGACTAATGATTTAATCGTTTCATGATTATTAGTAAATTTAGATTTTGTACTTCTTTTGGAGTCAGTATTGTTTTACATATATATAAAAATATATATATGTATATATATACACATATATACACAAACACAATATGCATATGATACAATAATATACTATATTATTTTTAATATATATTGTTTTATGAAAAATAATATCACATTATTTTTAAAATGGTGATAGGAAAGTTGTTTATAGTCTTGTCTTAACTCTATCTGAGATTATATCATCCATTTCCATCATCATTGTCCTAGAAAATATATATTTGCATATAATGTTTTATGTATCAATTTTATCCCCATTTATGTTTTACTTACATAGACAAAGGCAAGAAGAAATAGCTCACAGATGACTACTCTAATTCCAAGATAACTTATAAGCTTGAGTTTAAATCTAATAATATATTTGAAGACTTAATCAGTGGACATATATTACAAGGTTTATCAGTAAATATAAGCTTCTTTAACAAATATCAAATGAGTAAATACAATTTCTCATAACAAACAACAAAAACAAATATTACAGTAATCACAGCCTTGAAACTGAGTTTGATTTTATAGCATAATATACATCATTTTGTTTAGAACCCCTTAGGATAATTTCTTCTCAATAAACTTGCCAGGAAAGCAGTTTTATGACAAAATAGAAGTTAAAAAACAGATAAATTTTTTAAAAAAAGTTTACACCACCTGGCTAAAAAGCACTGATATCTTCAAAACTTCTTGAAATTTCTTATTACTTAACATTGAAACTAGTAGCCTTTGATTTCTTCTAATTTTAACCAAGACTGACTCAAAGTATTTGGGGCTTATAATTGTCAATAGTAGTTCCCCTTTATCCGCTGTTTTGCTTTCTGATGAAACAGATAATTTATGAGTTATCAGTTATAAATTGTGCACAGGTACTTTAATAAAATGCGCTGAGTGGTGTGGTGGAATCTCATGCTGCCTGGCTGTGTCACACCTGGGATGTGATTCATGCCTTAGTCTGGGGTCTCCATGCTGCAGACTCAGCATGCTTATTAGTCACATAGTAGCCATCTTGGTTATCAGATCAACTGTCACAGTATTGCAGTTTAAGTAACCCTTATTTCACTTAACAATGGTCCCAAGGCACAGGAGTAGCGATGCTAGCATTATTATAATGTTAAATTGTATTATTAGCTACTGTTATTAATCTCTTACTGTGTCTAATTTATAAATTAAACTTTACCATAGGCATGTATGCAGAGGAAAAAATGTAGTGTATGTAGAGTTTCAGACTACTATCTGAGATTTCAGTCATCCACTGGGAGTCGCGGAACATGTTCTCTGTGAATAAGTGGGGACTACTGTGCTTGTATTTCCTTCTCTCCTTTTTTTTTCTTGATGTTTTGCCATACGTTTTCAATTCTGTTGTTATAATTTACAGAATCAGCTTTTGGTTTTCCTGAATATTTCTATAGATCAATTTAGATTTTCTTTTGTATAACTTTTTTGCTTTTATTTTTATCATTGTCTTCATTCGTGTTTTCATTGTTTTGGTCTAGATTTGTGATTAAATGCACAACTCATTAATGAGTAACTCAAGTTTCAGCTTTTTGTTTTGAAATGTGCATTTAATTTTTAAAAATGCACACAATTTCCTTTAAATGTGTGATTTTAAAGCTACAAAGTTGAATTTAAAGCTATAAAATTTCCTCCAACTACTACTTTAGCTGCAACCTGCAATTTGGTTATATTGAGTTTCTTTGTTATTCTTGTCAAGATATTTTGTAAATCTATTATGATTACTTCTTTAATTCATGAGTGACTTAGAAGTATGTTTTAAAGGTCCCAAATACCTCAGGAGTGTTGGAATTGTATTTTTATTGATAATATTGCATTGTGGTCAAGAAACTCAGTCTGCCTGATATTTTTTTCCTTAGAATTTGTGATAAATGTACAAATATACATATAAACCTTCATGGTAATGGTTGCTGCAACATGAGTCTGTCTCTAAAACATGACCTATTCATGTGTGTCCTCTGCCTAGGTCTTTTTCTACTAAGGGTCTTGTATTCGGGTTGTATGGGGGAAAAGAAGGACAACGTGAAGCTCACTGAGGGAACACGGGGAACACAGGGGTGTGGTGGGTGATTGCAGATCCCAGAATTTTCCTGAACCAATCACTCCAGATCAGACCCATAGAATGGGAGATAACACACATGGAGCACCTTGGGATTACTGTTTCTGTCCTGGACATCCCTGCTAGGCACAGCACCCAGGGTTGTCCCCATGGATATTTTAGTCAGAACTGACAACTGCTATTAGGTGACTCCAATATGAAACTGGGACTGAGATGGCTGGATTTGGATTGTGTAGCAGAGATCTGGGGCTCCAAACAAGCCCCATGTTTACAGCTCCTTTCTTCTGGTGTCTCCCACTAACAATAGGCACTCGCTACACATAGCCAAACCTCTTTCACTCTCCATGAACTCACCCATGTCCTCATGTAATCATTCTGACACCCCTTCCTCATTGCTTTCCTTTCCTTTTCCTCCTTCATGCTTACTTGAAAAAATCCCAACCCTGATATAATCCAAAACTGCATTTTCTGTACCTTCTCCTGAACAGTAGAAAGCTACCGGAGAAATGGACACAATTTGCTGACTGGTCTTGTTTTATATTCATTATCGTAAACCTCAGGGAACCTTCAGCACTACCTAGAACTCTTTCTCTGTTTCTCAAATGGATTTTTAAATTGTGCTAAAATATACATAACATGAAATGTACTGTTTTAAGCCATTTAAGTGTAAAGTTCGGTGGCATTAATTAAATTTACATCATAGTGCAACCATCATCATCACTCATCTCTGAAATATTTTCACTATTTCATACAGAAGTTCTGTACTCATTAAATAATAACTCTCCATTTTCCCTCTACTAGCCCCTGTCAATCACCATTCTACTTTCTGTCTCTATGAATTTGACAATTCTAAGTACCCCATATGAGGTCCCCAACATTGGTCCTTTTGTGACTGGCTTATTTCAAATCTCTGGGCACAGCTAAAGCAGCGTTTAGAGAGAAACTTACAGCACTAAAAGCCCACAACAGAAAGCAGGAAAGATGTAAAATCGACACACTAACATTCACAATTAAAAGAACTACAGAAGTAAGAGCAAACAAATGTAAAAGCTAGCAGAAGACAAGAAATAATTAAGATCAGAGCAGAACTGAAGAAGATAGAACACAAAAAACCCTTCAAAAATTAATAAATCAAGGAGCTGGATTTTGAAAAGATCAACAAAATAGATAGACCACTAGACAGACTAATAAAGAAGAAAAGAGAGAAAGATCAAATAAACACAATAAAAAATGATAAATGGGATAGCTGATACTGATCCCACAGAAATACTAACTACCATCAAAGAATACTATAAACAACTCCACACAAATAAACCAGAAAATCTAGAAGAAATGAATACATTCCTGGACACATACACCCTCCCAAGACTAAACCAGGAAGAAGTCAAATCCCTGAATAGACTAATAACAAGTTCTGAAATTGTGGCAGTAATTAATAGCCTACCAACCAAAAAAAGCCCAGGGCCAGAATGGATTCACAGCCGAGTGCTACCAGAAGTATAAAAAGGAGCTGGTACCATTCCTTCTGAAACTATTCCAAACAATAGAAAAAGAGGGACTCCTCCTTAACTCATTTTATGAGGCCACCATCATCCTGATACCAAAACCTGGCAAAGACACAACAAAAAAAGAAAATTTCAGGCCAACATCCCTGAAGAACATCGTTGTGAAAATCCTCAATAAAATACTGGCAAACCTAATCCAGCAGCACATCAAAAAGCTTATTCAGTATGATCAAGTTGGCTTCATCCCTGGGATGCAAGTCTGGTTCAACATACACAAATCAATAAATGTAATACATCACCAATGGCAAAAACCACATGATTATCTCAATAGATGCAGAAAAGGCCTTTGATAAAATTCAACACTTCTTCATGCTAAAAACTCTCAATAAACTAGGTATTGCTGGAACATATCTCAAATTAATAAAAGCTATTGATGACAAACCCACAGCCAATATCATACTGAATGGGCAGAAGCTGGTAGCATTCCATTTGAAAATGGGCTCAAGACAAGGATGCCCTCTCTCACCACTCCTATTCAACATAGTATTGGAAGTTCTGGCCAGTGCAATCAGGCAAGAGAAAGAAATAAGGGGTATTCAAACAGGAAGAGAGGAAGTCAAATTGTTCCTGTTTGCAGATGACATGATTGTATATCTAGAAAACCCCATTGTCTCAGCCCAAAAATCTCCTGAAGCTGATAAGCAACTTCAGCAAAGTCTCAGGATACAAAATCAATGTGCAAAAATCACAAGAATTCCTATACACCAATAATAGACAAACAGAAAGTCAAATCATGAGTGAACTCCCATTCACAATTGCTACAAAGAGAATAAAATACCTAGGAGTCCAACTTACAAGGGATGTGAAGGACCTCTTTAAGGAGAACTACAAACCACTGCTCAAGGAAATAAGAAAGGACACAAACAAATGGAAAACCATTCCATGCTCATGGATAGGAAGAGTCAATATCATTAAAATGGCCCTACTAACAAAGAAATTTATAGATTCATTGCTATCTCCACCAAGCTGACATTGACTTTCTTCACAGAATTAGAAAAAACACCTTTAAATTTCATATGGAACCTAAAAACCCATATAGCCAAGACAATCCTAAGCAAAAAGAACAAAGCTGGAGGCATCACACTACCTGACATCAAACTATACTACAAGGTTACAGCAACCAAAACAGCATGGTACTGGTACCAAAACAGATATATAGACCAATGGAACAGAACAGAGACCTCAGAAATAACACCACACATCTACAACTATCTGATCTTTGACAAACCTGACAAAAACAAGAATGGGGAAAAGATTCCCTATTTAATCAGCGGTATTGGGAAAACTGAGTAGCCATATGCAGAAAACTGAAACTGGACCCCTTCCTTACACCTTATACAAAAATTAACTCAAGGTAGATTAAAGACATAAACGTAAGACCTAAAACCATAAAAACCCTAGAAGAAAACCTAGGCAATACCATTCAGGACATAGGCGTGGGCAAGGACTTCATGACTAAAACACCAAAAGCAATGGCAACAAAAGCCAAAATTGGCAAATGGGATCTAATTAAACTAAACAGCTTCTGCACAGCAAAAGAAACTATCATCAGAGTGAACAGGCAACCTACAGAATGGAAGAAAATTTTCACAATCTATCAATCTGACAAAAGGCTAATATCCAAGAAAAAAATAAAAAAACCCATCAAAAAGTGGGCAAAGGATATGAACAAACACTTTTCAAAAGGAGATATTTATGTGGCCAAAAAACATGAGAAAAAGCTCATCATCACTGCTCATTAGAGAAATGCAAATCAAAACCACAATGAGATACCATCTCACACCAGTCAGAATGGTGATCATTAAAAAGTCAGGAAATGACAGATGCTAGAGATGATGTGGAGAAATAGGATCACTTTTACACTTTTGGTGGGAGTATAAATTAGTTCAACCATTGTGGAAGACAGTGTGGTGATTCCTCAAAGATCTAGAACCAGAAATACCATTTGACCCAACAATCCCATTTCTAGGTATATACCCAAAGGATTATAAATCATTCTACTATAAAGACACATGCACACGTATGTATATTTCAGCACTATTCACAATAGCAAAGACTTGGAACCAATCCAAATGCCCATCAATGACAGAGTGGATAAAGAAAATGTGGCATATATGCACCATGGTATACTATGCAGCCATAAAAGAGGATGAGTTCATGTCTTTTGCAGGGATGTAAATGAATCTGGAAACCATCATTCTCAGCAAACTAACACAGGAACAGAAAACCAAACACCACATGTTCTCACTTATAAGTGGGAGCTGAACAACGAGAACACATGGACACCGGCAGGGAAACATTACACACCAGGGCCTGTCATGGGGTGGAGGGCTAGGGGAGGGACAGCATTAGGAGAAATGTCTAATGTAGATGATGGGTTGATGGGTGCAGCAAACCACCATGGAACATGTATACCTATGTAACAAACCTGCACATTCTGCATATGTATCCCAGAACTTAAAGTATAATAAAAAATTTTTAAAAAGTGAAAAGAAAAAAACTGAAATGCTTTTTATGCATCAATTGAAATAATTTTTTCCTTTTTTCTGTTAATGTGATGTACTTGATTGACTTCTGTATATTAAATCAAGAAATACATTCTTGTATGTAATATAATATAAATTTTCTTTCTATGAGCACTATGTTCTCTTTACGTGATAAACATATTTCTTATACAAAAATATAAGAATATATATTTCTTTTATATATTCTGGAATTCTGGAAAAATTCCACTTGGTCACACTGTATAATCCTTTATATATGCTATTGAATTTGGGTTGCTGGTGTTTTCTTAAGAAATTTTACATCAGTATTCATAATAGATATTACTCTGTAGTTTCTCTGTAGTAGTGTCTTTGTCTCTTTGATACCAGGAAAATGCTGGCCTCACAGTGAATTCGGAATTGTTTCCTCTTCTTTAATTTTTTGGAAGAGTTTGATAAATACTGGTTAATTATTCTTTAAGTATCTGGTAAAATTTAATGAAGCTATTAAGTACGGGTCTTTGCTAGAAAATTGTTAATTATTGATTCTATCCTCTTACTTGTCACAGGTATTTTTCTGATTTTTTATTGCTTCATGATTCATTTTTGGTAGTTTATGTTTTTGGATTTTTTTCATTTAATTTGAATTATCCAATGTGTTGGTGTATACTTGTTCATAATATGATCCTATAATTTTATTTCTCTTAAATCATTAATGCCCCAGTTTTATTTCTAAATTTAGTTACTTGAGTCATCTTTTTTCTTAGTCATTTTACTTAAAGATTAGTCAATTTTATTGATCTTTTCAAAAAAATAATTATTGGTTTTATTAATTTTCTTGTTTTTCTGTTTTCTATTTTATTTGTTAATGCTCTAATCTTTATTATTTCCTCCCATCTGGTAGTTTTGTGTTTGTTTTGCTCTTTTTAATTCCTTATAATATAAAGTGAAGTTGTTGATTTGAGATCTTCTTTTGCATGTAAGCAATTATGATTATAAATCTCCCTCTTATATTAGCACTACTTTTTCTGCATTTGTTAAGTTTTGGAATATTGTGCTTTCATTTTCATTTGTCTAAAAATATTTCTTAATATCCTTTGTGATTTCTTACTTGGACCTTTGGTTGTTTAAGAGTGTGTTGTCTTATTTCTACATATTTGTGAATTTGTGTTTTCCTTTTACTGTTGATTTTCTGGTTTCATTCCACTGTGACAAGAAAATATTGTTTGTATGACTTCAGTATTTTTTAATTCGTTAAGACTTGTTTTGTGGTCTCACCTATGGTCTATCCTAGGGAATTTAACATGCGTACTTGAGAAAAATGTGTTTTTATGGGACTGTTTGTATAGGTCTTTTAGGTGCAATTGATCTATAATACTGTTCAAGTACTCTATTTCCTTACTGAACTCTTGTCTGTTTTATACATTAATAAAAGTGGAATATTTGAGGCTTCTGCTAGTATTTTACTGCTATCTACTTCTGCCTTCAATTTCTTCAATGTTTGCTTCATACATATTGAACCTCTAATGTTTAGCGCGTACATGTTTATAATTGTTACATGCTCTTGGTGAATTGACCTTTTTGTCATCTTTAAATTTTCTTCTCTGTCTCTTGTAAAAGTTATTTGACTAAAGTCTATTTTGTCTGACATTAGTATAGTCATCCCTTCTGTCTTTTAGATGCTATTTCCATGGATTATCTTTTTCATCTTTTCACTTTTAACCTATGCAGATACTTGGATGTAAAGTTTCTAATAAACAGTATTTCTTTGGAACCTGTTTTTGATGTTTTTAAAATTATTTTTTCTTTCTGACAATCTATGTCTCTCTATGGGTAGTTTAATCCATTGAATTCAAAGTAATTTTCTGATAAAATATTTATTATTGCAATTTTATATTTGTTTTGTGTGTATTTTATAACTTCTTTCCCCTCATTTAACTTATTACTTCCCTTTTTTGTGTTTATTTGATTTTCTTGTCATAACATATTTTGATTCTCTTCTAACTTCTTTTAGTGTATATTCTATAGATATTTCCTTTGTGATTACCATGGAAATGAAATATAATATTAAAGTTTTAATAATCTATTTCAAACTGATAACAACATAACTCAAATTCCATATAAAAACTCAGCTCCCTAGAGCCCAACCCACCCTACTTCATGTTATTTATCTTGCAAATTAAATATTTATATGTTGTGTACTTATTAATATGCTTTTGTTTTATTCTGCTTGTAGAATAAGAGAAGTTACAAATCAAATTACAATAATACTTGTTTTTACAGTTAATTTTACTTTTACTCTTATTAAAGAACCTTTAGGGGAGGTGTAGCAAGATGGCTGAATAGAAGCATTCACTGACTGCCATTTCTGCAGGGACACCAAATGAAACAAATATCCACACAAGAAAGCACCTTCGTAAGAACCAAATATCAGGTGAGTGATCAGAGTACCTAATTTTAACTTCATATCATAGAAAAAGGCACCGAAGAGAGTAGAATACAAACAGTTTTGAATTGCCAACTCCTCCCCTCCCCCATCTCCTGGCAGTGGCCATGTGGTGTGGAGAAATAACCTGTGCTCTTGGAAGAGAGAAAGCATAGTGACTGTGGTACTAGACACTGAATTCAGTGTTTCACCGCAGAGAGCAACACCAGAAAGAACTCAGCTGGCATCCATAGAAGGAGAATTGAGACCAGCCCTGGCCAGGCAGGAACTGGCCATCCCAGCAGTTGCAACCTGAGTTCTGGCAAGCCTCGCCATCACAGGCTAAAGTATTCTGGGGTTCTAAATAAACTTGAAAGGCAGTCTAGGACACAAGGATTACACTTCATGGGCAAGTTGTGGTGGTGTGCTGGACTCAGAACCAGTGGACTTGGGGGACATGTGATCAAGTGAGACACCATCTGGGGAGATCAAGAAAGTGCTTACATCACCACACCCTAACCCCAGGCAGTCCAGCTAACAGCTCTGGTAGAGATGCTTTCCCTCCACTTGAGGAGATGGAAGAGTAAAAATAAACTTCATCTTGCAACTTGGATACCAGTTCAGCCAGGGTAGGTTAGGGCACCAGGAAGAGTTCTGAGGCCCCCATTCCAGGCCCTAACTCCCAGATGACATTTCTAAACACATCCTGGGCCAGAAGACAACCCAGTTCCTTGAAGAGAAGGATCTAGATCTGACAGAATTAATTGCCTGCTGACTAAAGAGCCTTTGGCACCTGAATAATTACCTGCAATACCCAGGCAGTACTCATTGCGGGCCTTGGGTGAGGCTCAGAGACATGCTGACTTCAGGTGCGACCCAGGACATTCCCAACTGTGGTGGCTGTTAAGAGGGTTTCTTCTGCTTGTAAAAAGCAGAAGGAAGAGTAAAGGGGACTTTGTCTTGTAGCTTAGGTACTAGCTTAGTCACGGTAGGGTAAAGCACTAAAAACACCAAAGTAGGCTGTTCTGCAACAGACTTTTCATTGGAAACTCCACAAGCCAGGAGAGAGTGGTGTGTCATATTTAAAGTGCTGAAGGAAAAAAACTTTTATCCTAGGATAGTATAACCAGTGAAAATATCCTTCGACATGAAAGAGAAATATCTTCCCAAACAAAAGCTGAGGGATTTCATCAAAACTAGACCTTCCCTACAAGAAATGCTAAAGGGAATTCTTCAATCTGAAAACAAAGGTCATTAATGAGCTATGAGAAATCATTCAAAGGTGTAAACCTCACTAATAATAGCAAGTACATAGAAAAGCACAGAATATTATAACATGACAATTGTGGTATGTAAACTACTCACGTCTTGAGTAGAAAGACTAAAAGATGAACCAATCAAAAATGAAAACTACAATAACTTTTCAAAACAGACTGTACAATAAGGTATAAATAGAAACAGCAGAAAGTGGAAAAGCAGGGAAATGAAGTTAAAGCATGGAGTTTTTATTAGTTTTCTCTTTCCTTGTTAGTTTGTTAGTTGGTACAATTAGCATTGTTATCAGTTTAAAATAATGTGTTATAAAGTGTTGTGATGGTTAATACTGAGTGTCAGCTTGATTAGGTTGAAGGATACAAAGTATTGATCCTGGGTGTGTCTGTGAGGGCGTTTCCAAAGCAGGTTTACATTTGCATCAGTTGGCTGGGAAAGGCAGACCACACCTTATTCTGGGTGGGCACCATCTAATCAGCTGCCAGTGTGGCTGCAATATAAGCAGGCAGGAAAATGTGAAAGAAGATACTGACCTAGCTTCCCAGCCTACGTCTTTCTCCCCTGCTGGATGCTTCCTGTCCTTGAACATCAGACTCCAAGTTATTCAGTTTTGGAACTCACACTGGCTCTTCTTGCTCCTAAGCCTGCTGATGGCCTATTGTGGGACCTTTGGATCATGTCAGTTAATACTTAATAAACTCGCCTTTCCATATATATTCCGTTAGTTCTATCCCTCTAAAGAACCCTGACTAATGCAGATTTTGGTACCAGGAGTGATTCTAGAGGAACAGAATATTAAGGTTGGAGTTCTTTCATTAATTTTGGGGTTTCTGGAGTTGGCTGCTTAATGTGACTAGACCCCCAAATTCTAAGGACTCTACTTCTAATAGTATGGAGAACAATGATAGTCCTTGGCATGAACTGTTTGCAGAGTTATGCAAAATAAATGCATTTGATACTCCAGATTCATCGCTCATGAGAGGCAAGGAGTTTAGTGACTCTGTACATAATACTTTGACCATATGTGGAGAACCACAGAACATAATGAAGCTGGTTGGTTGCTCCTGATTTGAGTGGACAAAGTGATGAAAAAAAAATGATAAACTCAGGGATTCTACCTCCTGCCTTCAGAAGCAGATACTGAGCCTCAAATCTGCTAAGATTGCCTTGAGCGAGAGTCTTATACCCTGTAGAAAAAGAGCTGAATTTGTGGAAAAACAGACACAAGCTTTTATCATGCAAGTGTCTGACCTGCAACAAAAGGTGCATGCACAGCCTAGCCAGGTGTCTACTGTTAAAGTGAAGGCATTGATTGGAAAAGAATGGGACCCTGCCACTTGGAATGGGGATGTGTGGGAGGGTCCTGATGAAGCTGGGGACACTGAGTTTGTAAATTCTGATGAAGCTTTTTTGCCAGAAGCAACAGCTTTCCCATCCCCAGAAGTGGTAAAATCCCTCCCTGACCCATGCTGCCATCAGCCTTTCCACCTTTGTCTGAGGACATAAACCCTACGCTGCCTGAGACAACAGTAATGGACCCTCCTGAGGCAGTTGCCAGACAAGATAATGTTGATTCTCCTCAGAAGCCACCCCCAACACCCTGTTTGCTTCTAGACCTATAACTAAAGTCCCACAGGCCCCTAGGGGTAAGGTTGGCAGTGTGACCCATGAGAAAGTGTGCTACACTCAAATAGAACTGCTTGAGTCCTCTAATTTATATAAGCAGAAATCTGGAGAACAGTCATGGGAATGGATATTAAGGGTATGGGAAAATGGTGGAAGGAACTTATATTTGGATCAGACTGAATTTATTGATTTGAGCCCACTAAGTAGAAACTCTGCATTTAACGTTGCAGATCAGGGAGTTAAAAAAGGTTCTAATAGTTTATTTGCTTGGTTAGCTGAAATATGGATTAAAAGATGGCCCACTCTGAGCGAGCTGGAAATGCCTGATCTCCCTTGGTTTAATGTAGAAGAAGGGATCCAAAGGCTTAGGGAGACTGGGATGGTGGATTGGATTAGTCACTTTAGACCTACTCATCCCAGCTAGAAGGGTCCAGAAGATACATCCTTGACCAATGCCTTGCAAGACAATTTGTGAGGGCAGCACCTGCATCTTTGAAGAGCCCTGTAATTGCTCTTCTCTGTACATCAGATCTAACAGTAGGAACCACAGTCTCTCAACTACAAAATTTAAATACAATGGGAACAATTGGATCCTGAGGGGGCCAGGGCCAAGCGGCCACACTAAACCGTCAAAGACAAGGTGGGTGTAGCTACTGCAGTGGACAACAGAGGCAAAGCGGCAATCAGAATAGTCAGACTCATATAGAGCTCTGGCATTGGCTAATTAATCATAGGGTTCCTAGAAGTGAAATTGATAGGAAGCCTGTGGCATTCCTACTTAATTTATATAAGCAGAAAACTTCTAGGTCAAATGGACAAAAGACTAATTTGAATTATAAAAACAAAATCATGGCCACTCAATCAATTTCCAGACTTGAACAAGTTTACAGACCCAGAACCCTTGAATGAAGGGGAGGCCGTGTCTCCTTGAGGAAGGACCCTGCTACGTTACTGACAATTTATGCAGTGAATCTTTCTCCCATCCTTTTCCAAGGAGACCTCCAGCCTTTTACCAGGTAACTGTGCATTGGGGAAAGGGAAATGATCAGACAGTTTGGGGACTACTGGACACTGGCTCTGAGCTGATGTTGATTCCAGGGGACCCAAAATATTACCGTGGTCCTCCAGTTAAAGTAGGGGCTTATGGAGGTCAGGTAATTAATAGAGGTTTAGCTCAAATCCAACTTTCAATGGATCCAGTGGGTCACCGGACTCATCCTGTGGTCAGTTCCCCACTGCCAGAATGCATAATTGGCACAGACATACTTAGCAGCAGGCAGAACCCCCACATTGGCTCCCTGACTGGTAGGGAGAGGGCTATTATGGTGGGAAAGGCCAAATGGAAGCTATTAAAGCTGCCTCTCCATAGAAAATAGTAAATCAAAAACCATATTGCATCCCTGGAGGGACTGAAGACATTAGTGCCACCATCAAGGACTTGAAAGACGCAGGAGTGGAGATCTACCCATCACAACCCCGTTCAACTCTCTCATTTGGCCTGTGCGGAAGACAGATGGATCTTGGAGAATGACAGTGGATTATCATAAGCTTAACCAAGTGGCGATTCCAATTGCAGCTGCTGTACCAGATGTGTTTTCATTGCTTGAGCTAAGTAACACATCACCTGGTAGCTTGTATGCAGCCATTGATTTGGCAAATGATTTTTTTCTCCATTCCTGTTCATAAGGCCCAGTAGAAGCAATTTGCCTTCAGCAGGCAAGGCCAGCAATTTACCTTTACTGTCTTACCTGAGGGATGTAACTATTCTCCAGCTTTGTGTCATAATCTTATTCAAAGAGAACCTGATCGCTTTTTGCTTTTGTAAGATATCACACTGGTCCACTACATTGATGACATTATGCTGATTGGATCCAGTGAGCAAGAAGTAACAATCACACTGGACTTATTGGTGAGATATTTGCATGCCAGAGGATGGGAAATAAATCCTAATCAAATTCAAGACCTTCTACCTCAGTGAAATTTCTATGGCTCCAGTGGGGTGGGGCCTATTGAGATATTCCTTCTAAAGGTGAAGGATAAGTTGCTGCATTTGTCCCCTCCTACAACCTAGAGAGAGGCACAATGCCTAGTGGGCCTATTTGGATTTTTGAGGCAACACATTCTTAATTTGGGTGTGTTACTCTGGCCCATTTATCAAGTGACCCCAAAAACTGCCAGTTTTGAGTGGGGTCCAGAACAGGAGAAGGCTCTGTAACAGGTCCAGGCTGTTGCACAAGCTGCTCTGCCAGTTGGGCCATATGACCCAGCAGATCCAATGGAGCTTAAGGTGTCAGTGGCAGATAGGGATGCTGTTTGGAGCCTTTGGCAGGCCCCCATAGGTGAATCACAGTGAAGTCCTCTAGGGTTTTGGAGCAAAGTCCTGCCATCTTCTACAAATAATTACTCTCCTTTTGAGAGGCAGCTTTTGGCCTGTTACTGAGCTTTGGTGGAACCTGAACGTTTGACTATGGGTCATCAAGTTACCATGAGACCTGAACGACCTATCATGAACTGGGTGCTTTCTGACCCATCTAGCCATAAAGTGGGTTGTGCACAGCAGCATTCCATCATCAAATGGAAGTGGTATATACGTGACTGGGCTCGATCGGGTCCTGAAGGCACAAGTAAGTTACAGGAGGAAGTGGCTCAAATGCCCGTAGGCTCCACTCCTGCCACCCTGACTTCTCTCCCCCAGCATGCACTGATGGCCTCATGAGGAGTTCCCTATAATCAATTGACAGAGGAAGGGAAGACTAGGGCCTGGTTCACAGATGTCTCTGCACAATATCCAGGCACCACCCAAAAGTAGACAGCTGTAGCACTACAGCCCCTTTCTAGGACATCTCTGAAGGACAGTGGTGAAGGGAAATCTTCCCAGTGGGCAGAACTTTGAGCAGTGCACCTGGTTGTGCACTTTGCATGAAAGGAGAAATGGCCAGATGTGTGATTATATACTAATTCGTGGGCTGTAGCCAATGGTTTGGCTGGATGGTCAGGGACTTGGAAGAAGCATGATTGAAAAATTGATGACAAAGAAATTTGGGGAAAAGGTATGTGGAAGGACCTCTCTGAGTGGTCAAAAACTGAAGATATTTGTATCCCATGTGAGTGCTCACCAGTGGGTGGCCTCAGAAGAGGAGGATTTTAATAGTCAAGAGGATAGGATGACCCGTTCTGTGGACCCACTCAGCCTTTTTCCCCAGCCACCCCTGTCATCTCCCAGTGGGCCCATGAACAAAGTGGCCATGGTAGCAGAGATGGAGGTTTACTCATGGGCTCAGCAACATGGACTTTCACTCACCAAGGCTGACCTGACTATGGTCACTGCTGAGTGCCCAATTTGCCAGCAGGAGAAACCAACACTAAGTCCTCGATATGGCACCATTCTTCAGGGCGATCAGCCAACTACCTGGTGGCAGGTTGTTTATATGGGACCTCTTCCATCATGGAAAGGGCAGAGGTTTGTTCTCACTGGAATAGACACTCTGGATATGGGTTTGCCTATCCTGCATGAAATGCTTCTGCCAAGACTACTATTTGTGGACTCACAGAATGCCTTATCCACCATCACGGTATTCCACACAGCACTGTCTCTGATGAAGGCACTCACTTTATGGCTAAAGTGCGGCAGTGGGCTCATGCTCATGGAATTCACTGTTCTTACCAGGCTTCCTATCATCCTGAAGCAGCTGGATTGATGGAATGGTGGAATGGCCTTTTGAAGTCACAATTGCAACTCCAACTAGATGACAATACTTTGCAGTACTGTGGCAATGTTCTCCAGAAGGCCATGTATGTTCTGCATCAGTGTCCAATATATGGTACTGTTTCTCCCATAGTCAGGATTCATGGGTCCAGGAATCAAGGGATGGAAGTGGAAGTGGCACCACTCACCATTACCCCCAGTGATCCACTAGCAAAATTTTTGCTTCCTGTTCCCATGACATTATGTTCTGCTGGTCAGTCAAGAGGGAGGAATGCTGCCACCAGGAGGCACAACAACAATTCCATTAAACTGGAAGTTAAGATTGCCACCTGGACACTTTGGGCTCCTCCTACCACTGGGCCAACAGGCTAAGAAGGGAGTTACAGTGTTGGCTGCGGTGATTGACCTGGACTTTCAGGATGAAATCAGTCTATTGCTCCACAATGGAGGTAAGGAAGAGTATGCATGGAATACAGGAGATCCATTAGGGTGTCTCTTAGTATTACCATGCCTTGTGATTAAGGTCAATGGGAAACTACAACAGCCCAATCCAGCCAGGACTACAAATGACCCAGACCCTTCAGGAATGAAGGCTTGGGTCACTCCACCAGGAAATAAACCATGACTTGCTGAGGTGCTTGCTGAAGAGAAAGGGAATACAGAATGGGTAGAAGAAGAAGGTAGTCATCAATACCAGCTATGACCATGTGACCAGCTACAGAATTGAGGATTGTAATTGTCATGAGTATTTCCTCCTTCTTTTGTTAAAAACATGGTTGTACATGTTTACACTTGTAAAATATCTTCATTTTATTTCCTTTCTCCTTTATCATGTGACATAATACTTATTGACTTCACATCAGCATTTAAGTATTGTTAACTTTATGTAATAGTATTTGCATTGGGGATTGGTGTGTTTCTGGTTGTATGAAAGATAGTTTTATTATGTTCAGACCTTATTATTGTCTTTATTTGAAGATTAGGTATGATCTCAGGAGATGTGGGTTCAAGTTGACAAGGGATAGATTTGTGATGGTTAATACTGAGTGTCAACTTGATTGGATAGAATAATATAAAGTATTGCTCCTGGGTGTGTCTGTGAGGGTGTTGCCAAAGGAGATTAACATTTGAGTCAGTGGGCTGGGGAAAGCAGATCCGCCCTTAATCTGGGTGGGCACCATCTAATCAGCTGCCAGTGTGGCTAGAATATAAGCATGCAGAAAAATGTGAATAGAGAGACTGGCCTAGCCTCCAAGCCTACATCTTTCTCTCATGCTGGATGCTTCCTGCCCTCGAACATTGGGTTCCAAGTTCTTCAATTTTGAGACTTGGACTGACTCTCCTTGTTCCTCAGCCTGCAGATGGTCTATTGTGGGACCTTTTGATCATGTAAGTTAATACTTAATAAACTCCCCTTTATATATACATCTATTCCTTTAGTTCTGTCCCTCTAGAGAACCCTAACTAGTATAAGTGTTATTTGCAAGCCTCGTGGTAACTTCAAATCAAAAAACACAAGACAAATACACAAAAAATTAAAAAGCAAGAAATTAAAACATATGACCAGAGAAAATCTTCTTCACTAAAAGGAAGACAGGAAGGAAGGAAAGAAGAAAGAAAAGACTACAACACAATCAGAAAACAAATAACAACATGGGAAGAGTAATTCCTTACTTATCAATAATAAACTTGAATGTAAATGGACTGAACTATTTAATCAAATGACAGAGTGGCTGAATGGATTTAGAAAACAAGACCCAATGATATGCTGCCTATAAGAAACACACTTCGGCTATAAAGACATAGATAGACTGATAATAAAGGGATGGAAGAAGATATTCCATGCAAATGGAAACCAAAAAAGGGGAGGAGTAGCTAAGCTTATATCAGACAAATTAGATTTCAAGACAAAACCTAATAAGAGACAAAGACAAATAATTGTAAAGGGGTAAACTCAGCAAGGGGATGTAACAATTTAAATATACATGTACCCAACACTATTGCACCCAGATATATAGAGTAAATGTTATTAGAGCTAAAGAGAGAGAGACCCCAATAAATTACTAGACGTAGTCTTCAGTACCCCACTTGCAACATTGCACAGATCATCCAGACAGAAAATCAACAAAGAAACATTAGACTTAATATGCACTACAGACCAAATGGATCTAATAAATACTTGCAGAACATTTCATCCAACGACTGTAGAATACACTTTTTTTTTCTGTAGTACATGGATCATTCTTAAGGATAGACCATATTTTAGGCCACAAAATGAGTGTTAAAATATTCAAAAATTGAAATCATACCAAATATATTCTCTGACTATAATGGAATACAAATTGGAAATCAATAACAACACCGGGCATGGTGGCTCACACCTGTAACCCCAACACTGTGGAAGGAAGAGGTGCATGGATCACCTGAGGTCAGGAGTTCAAGACCAGCCTGGCCAACATGGCAAAACCCTGTCTCTACTAAAAATACAAAAATTAGCTGGGAGTGGTGGCAGGTGCCAGTAGTCTCACCTACTTAGGAGACTGAGGCAGGAGAATCACTTGAACCGGAGAAGCAGAGGTGGCAGTGAGCTGGGATCATGCCACTGCACTGCAACCTGGAAAACAGAGGGAGACTTTATAAAAAAAAAAAAAATCAATAACAAGAATTTTGGAAATGTTCAAACACAGGAAAATTAAACATTATGCTCCTGAATGATCAGTTGGTCAATGAAGAAATTAAGAAGGAAATATAAACAAATTCTCAAAGCAATAATAGTGGAAATATAACATACCAAAACCTATGGGATACAGTGAAAGCAGTACTAAGAGGAAAGTTTATATCTATAAGCGACTACATCAAAAAAGTAGAAAACCTTTAAATAAACAACCTCATAACACATCTTAAAGAATGTGAAAAGCAAGCACAAAACAAACCCCAAATTAGTGTAAGAAAATAAATAATAAAGATTGGGGCAGAAATAAATATAATTGAAAGGAAGAAAACAATACAAAAGGTTAATGAAACAAACACATTGTTTTTTGAAAACATAAATAAAATTTAAAAATTTTTAGCTAGAATAACTAAGGAATAAAGAGACATCACTCAAATAAATAAATCAGAGATGAATAAGGAGACACCACAACAAATACCACAGAAATTCAAACGATCATTAGAAGCTACTATGAGTAACTATGTTTCAATAAGTTGGAAAATCTTGAAGAAATGGATGAACTCCTAGACAAAAACAACTCTATCAAGACTGAACCATGAAGAAACCCAAAACCTGAACAGACCAATGACAAGGAAAGAGCTTGAATTCATAATAAAGATCTCTTAGCAAAAAAAAAAAAAAAAAAAAAAAAAGGGGAGGTGGAGCCAAGATGGCCAAATAGGAACAGCTCCAGTCTATAGCTCCCAGTGTGAGCAATGCAGAAGACGGGTGATTTCTGCATTTCCAACTGAGGTACCAGGTTCATCTCACTGGGGAGTGTTGGACAGTGGGTGCAGGACAGTAGGTGCAGTGCACTGAGCATGAGCCGAAGCAGGGCGAGGCATCACCTCACCTGGGAAGTGCAAGGGGTCAGGGAATTCCCTTTCCTACTCAAAGAAAGGGGTGACAGATGGCACCTGGAAAATTGGGTGACTCCCAACCTAATACTGCGCTTTTCCAACGGTCTTAGCAAATGGCACACCAGGAGATTATATCCCGTGCATGGCTCCGAGGGTCCTACGCCCACGGAGCCTCGCTCATTGCTAGCACAGCAGTCTGAGATCAAACTGCAAGGCGGCAGTGAGGCTGGGGGATGGGCGCCCGCCATTGCTGAGGCTTGAGTAGGTAAACAAAGCAGCCAGGAAGCTCAAACTGGGTGGAGCCCACCACAGCTCAAGGAGGCCTGCCTGCCTCTGTAGATGCCACCTCTGGGGGCAGGGCATAGCCAAACAAAAGGCAGCAGAAACCTCTGCAGACTTAAATGTCCCTGTCTGACAACTTTGAAGAGAGTAGTGGTTCTCCCAGCATGCAGCTTGAGATCTGAGAACGGACAGACTGCCTCCTCAAGTGGGTCCTTGACCCCCCGAGTAGCCTAACTGAGAGGCACCCCCCAGTAGGGGTAGACTGACACCTCACACGGCTGGGTACTCCTCTGAGACAAAACTTCCAGAGGAACAATCAGGCAGGAACATTTGCTGTTCACCAATATCTGCTGTTCTGCAGCCTCTGCTGCTGATACCCAGGCAAACAGTGTCTGGAGTGGACCTCCAGCAAACTCCAACAGACCTGCAACTGAGGGTCCTGACTGTTAGAAGGAAAACTAACAAACAGATAGGACATCCACACCAAAACCCCATCAGTACATCACCATCATCAAAGACGAAAGGTGGATAAAACCACAAAGATGGGAAAATAAAGAGCAGAAAAACTGGAAATTCTAAAAATTAGGGTGCCTCTCCTCCTCCAAAGGAATGCAGCTCCTCACCAGCAATGGAACAAAGCTGGACAGAGAATGACTTTGATGAGTTGAGAGAAGAAGGCTTCAGACGATCAAACTACTCCAAGCTAAAGGAGGAAGTTAGAACCCATGGCAAAGAAGTTATAAACCTTGAAGAAAATTAGACGAATGGCTAACTAGAATAAGCAATGCAGAGAAGTCCTTAAAGGACCTGATGGAGCTGAAAACCACAGCATGAGGACTATGTGACGAATGCACAAGTCTCAGTAGCTGATTCGATCAACTGGAAGAAAAGGTATCATTGATGGAAGATCAAATGAATGAAATGAAGTGAGAAGGGAAGTTTAGAGAAAAAAGAATAAAAAGAAATGAACAAAGCCTCCACGAAATATGGGACTATGAAACGACCAAATGTACGTCTGATGGTGTACCTGAAAGTGACGGGGAGAATGGAACCAAGTTGGAAAACACTCTGCAGGATATTATCCAGGAGAAATTCCCCAATCTAGCAAGGCAGGCCAACATTCAAATTCAGGAAATACAGAGAATGCCACAAAGATACTCCTCGAGAAGAGCAACTCCAAGACACATAATTGTCAGATTCACCAAAGTTGAAATGGAGGAAAAAATGTTAAGGGCAGCCAGAGAGAAAGGTCGGGTTACCCACAAAAGGAAGCCCAGCAGACTAACAGCTGATCTCTCGGCAGAAACTCTACAAGCCAGAAGAGAGTGGGGACCAATATTCAACTTTCTTAAAGAAAAGAATTTTCAACCCAGAATTTCATATCCAGCCAAACTAAGCTTCATAAGTGAAGGTGAAATAAAATACTTTACAGACAAGCAAATGCTGAGAGATTCTGTCACCACCAGCCCTGCCCTAAAAGAGCTCCTGAAGGAAGCACTAAACATGGAAAGGAACAACCGGTACCAGCCACTGCAAAAACATGCCGAATTATAAAGATCATCGAGCCTAGGAAGAAACTGCATCAACTAATGAACGAAATAACCAGCTAGCATCATAATGACAGGATCAAATTCACACGTAACAATATTAACCTTAAAGATAAATGAGCTAAATCCTCCAATTAAAAGACACAGACTGGCAAACTGGATAAAGAGTCAAGACCCATCAGTGTGCTGTATTCAGGAAACCCGTCTCACGTGCGGAGACACACATAGGCTCAAAATAAAGGGATGGAGAAAGATCTACCAAGCAAATGGAAAACAAAAAAAGGCAGGGGTTGCAATCCTAGTCTCTGATAAAACAGACTTTAAACCAACAAAGATCAAAAGAGACAAAGAAGGCCATTACATAATGGTAAAGGGATCAATTCAACAAGAAGAGCTAACTATCCTAAATATATATGCACCCAATACAGGAGCACCCAGATTCATAAAGCAAGTCCTTAGAGACCTACAAAGAGACTTAGACTCCCACACAATAATAATGGGAGACTTTAACACCCCACTGTCAACATCAGACAGATCAACGAGACAGAAAGTTAACAAGGATATCCAGGAATTGAACTCAGCTCTGCACCAAGTGGACCTAATAGACATCTACAGAACTCTCCACCCCAAATCAACAGAATATACATTCTTTTCAGCACCACACCACACCTATTCCAAAACTGACCACATCATTGGAAGTAAAGCACTCCTCAGCAAATGTAAAAGAACAGAAATTATAACAAACTGTCTCTCAGACCACAGTGCAATCAAACTAGGACTCAGGGTTAAGAAACTCACTCAAAACTGCTCAACTACATGGAAACTGAACAACCTGCTCCTGAATCACTACTGGGTGCATAACAAAATGAAGGCAGAAATAAAGATGTTATTTGAAACCAACGAGAACAAAGACACAACATACCAGAATCTCTGGGACACATTCAAAGCAGTGTGTAGAAGGAAATTTATAGCACTAAATGCCCACAAGAGAAAGCAGAAAAGATCTAAAATTGACACCCTAACACCATAATTAAAAGAACTAGAGAAGCAAGAGCAAACACATTCAAAAGCTAGCAGAAGGCAAGAAATAACTAAGATCAGAGCAGAACTGAAGGAAATAGAGACACAAAAAACCCTTCAAAAAATCAATGAATCCAGGAGCTGGTTTTTTTGAAAAGATCAACAAAATTGATAGACTGCTAGCAAGACTAATAAAGAAGAAAAGAGAGAAGAATCAAATAGACGCAATAAAAAATGGTAAAGGGGATATCACCACCTATCCCACAGAAATACAAACTACCATCAGAGAGTACTATAAACACCTCTACGCAAATACACTAGAAAATCTAGAAGAAATGGATAAATTCCTCGACACATACACCTTCCCAGGACTAAACCAGGAAGAAGTTGAATCTCTGAATAGACCAATATCAGGCTCTGAAATTGAGGCAATAATTAATAGCTTACCAACCAAAAAAAGTCCAGGACCAGATGGAGTCACAGCCGAATTCTACCAGAGGTACAAGGAGGAGCTGGTACCATTACTTCTGAAACTATTCCAATCAACAGAAAAAGAGGGAATCCTCCCTAACTCATTTTATGAGGCCAGCATCATCCTGATACCAACGCCTGGCAGAGACACAACAAAAAAAGAGAATTTTAGACCAATATCCCTGATGAACATCAATGCAAAGATTCTCAATAAAATACTGGCAAACCAAATCCAGCAGCATATCAAAAAGCTTATCCACCATGATCAGGTGGGCTTCATCCCTGGGATGCAAGGCTGGTTCAACATTCGCAAATCAATAAATGTAATCCAGCATATAAACAGAACCAATGACAAAAAACACGTGATTATCTCAATAGATACAGAAAAGGCCTTTGACAAAATTCAACAACTCTTCATGCTAAAAACTCTCAATCAATTAGGTATTGATGGGACATATCTTGAAATAATAAGAGCTATCTATGAGAAACCCACAGCCAATATCATACTGAATGGGCAAAAACTGGAAGCATTCCCTTTGAAACCTGGCACAAGACAGGGATGCCCTCTCTCACCACTCCTATTCAACATAGTGTTGGAAGTTCTGGCCAGGGCAATCATGCAGGAGAAGGAAATAAAGGGTATTCAGTTAGGAAAAGAGGAAGTCAAATTGTCCCTGTTTTCAGATGACATGATTGTATATCTAGAAAACTCCATCATCTCAGCCCAAAATCTCCTTAAGCTGATAAGCAACTTCAGCAAAGTCTCAGGATACAAAATCAATGTGCAAAAATCACAAGCATTCTTATACACCAATGACAGACAAACAGAGAGCCAAATAATGAGTGAACTCCCATTCACAATTGCTTCAAAGAGAATAAAATACCTAGGACTCCAACTTACAAGGGATGTGAAAGACCTCTCCAAGGAGAACTACAAACCACTGTTCAAGGAAATAAAAGAGGATACAAGCAAATGGAAGAACATTCCATGCTCATGGGTAGGAAGAATCAATATTGTGAAAATGGCCATACTGCCCAAGGTAATTTATAGATTCAATGCCATCACCATCAAGCTACCAATGACTTTCTTCACAGAATTGGAAAAAACAACTTTAAATTTCATATGGAACCAAAAAAGAGCCAGCATTGCCAAGTCAATCCTAAGCCAAAAGAACAAAGCTGGAGGCATCACGCTACCTGAGTTCAAACTATACTACAAGGCTACAGTAACCAAAACAGCATGGTACTGGTACCAAAACAGAGATATAGACGAATGGAACAGAAAAGAGCCCTCAGAAATAATGCCACATATCTACAACTATCTGATCTTTGACAAACCTGACAAAAACAAGCAATGGGGAAAGGATTCCCTATTTAATAAATGGTGCTGGGAAAACTGGCTAGCCATATGTAGAAAGCTGAAACTGGATCCCTTCCTTACACCTTATACAAATATTAATTCAAGATGGATTAAAGACTTACATGTTAGACCTAAAACCATAAAAACCCTAGAAGAAAACCTAGGCAATACCAGTCAGGACATAGGCATGGGCAAGGACTACATGTCTAAAACACCAATAGCAATGACAACAAAACCTAAAATTGACAAATGGGATCTAATTAAACTAAAGAGCTTCTGCACAGCAAAAGAAATTACCATCAGAGTGAACAGGCAACCTACAGAATGGGAGAAAATTTTTGCAACTTACTCATCTGACAAAGGGCTAATATCCAGAATCTACAATGAACTCAAACAAATTTACAGGAAAAAAACAACCCCATCAAAAAGTGAGCAAAGGATATGAACAGATACTCCTCAAAAGAAGACATTTATGCAGCCAAAAGACATATGAAAAATGCTCATCATCACTGACCATCAAAGAAATGCAAATCAAAACCACAATGAGATGCCATCTCACACCAGTTAGAATGGCGATCATTAAAAAGTCAGGAAACAACAGGTGCTGGAGAGGATGTGGAGAAATAGGAACACTTTTACACTGTTGGTGGGACCGTAAACTAGTTCAACCATTGTGGAAGTCAGTGTGGTGATTTCTCAGGGATCTAGAACTAGAAATACCATTTGACCCAGCCATCCCATTACTGGGTATATACCCAAAGGACTATAAATCATGCTTCTATAAAGACACATGCACACATATGTTTATTGTGGCACTATTCACAATAGCAAAGACTTGGAACCAAGCCAAATGTCCAACAATGATAGACTGGATTAAGAAAATGTGGCACATATACACCATGGAATACTATGTAGCCATAAAAAATGATGAGTTCATGTCCTTCACAGGGACATGGATGAAGCTGGAAACCATCATTCTCAGCAAACTGTCACAAGGACAAAAAACCAAATATGGCATGTTCTCACTCATAGGTGGGAATTGAACAATGATAACACATGGACACAGGAAGGGGAACATCACACACTGGGGCCTGTTGTGGGGTGGGGGAAGCGGGGAGGGATAGCATTAGGAGATATACCTAATGCTAAATCACGAGTTAATGGGTGCAGCACACCGACATGGCACATGTATACGTATGTAACAAACCTGCACGTTGTGCACATGTACCCTAAAACTTAAAGTATAATTTAAAAAAAAAAGGCTATGTCCCAATGACTTCACTGCTGAATTTTACCGACTATTTAAAGAAGGACTAATACCAGTCCTAGTCAAACTATTCTGAAAAATAGAGGGGGAGGGAATGTTTCCAAACTCACTCTATGAGCACAGTATTACCCTGATAACAAAACCAGACAAAGACACATCAAAAAGAAGAAAACCGCAGGCCAATATCTCTGATGAACAGAGATGCAAAATTTTTCAATGAAATATTTGCAAATTGAATTCAACAACACAATAAAAAGTTCATTCATGATGACCAGGTGGAATATATCCCAAAATTTCAAGGATGGTTCAATGTATGCAAATCCATCAGTGTGACATGTCATATCAGCAGGATAAAGGACAAAAAACATGTGACCATTTTAATTGATGCTGAAAAAGCATCTGATAAAATTCAACATCTGTTCATGATAAAAACTCTCAAAAAATAAAAAATAAAAAACTGAGTATAAAGGAACATAGCCCAATGCAATAAAAGTCATATATGTCAGACCAACCCACAGTACCATACTGAATGAAGAAAAACTTTGAAAGCCTTTCCTTTAAGATCTGGAACACAACAAGGATTTCCACTTTTACCAATGTTATTCAACATAGTACTGGAAGTCCTATCTAGAGCAATCAGACAAGAGAAAGAAATGAAAGGCATCCAAGTTGGAAAGGAAAAAGTCAAATTATCTTCATTTGTAAATGATATGATCTTATACTGGGAAAACCTAAAAACCAAATAACTACTTGAACTGATAAACAAGTTCAGTAAAGTTGTAAAATACAACATCAACATACAAAAATCAGTAGTATTTTATATGCCAACAGCACACAAAAAGAAATCAAGAAATACATTATAATTGATTGAAAGAAATCAAGTACTTGATTGTATTGTAAATCTCATTTACAATAGCTACAAATAAATGAAACAACTAGGAATTAACATAACCAAAGATGTGAAAGGTCTCTACAATAATAACTACAAAATATTGATGAAAGAAATTGAAGAGGATACAAAAAAGGAAAGATACTACCTGTTTATGAATTGGAAGAATAAATATTGTTAAAATGTCCATACTACCTAAGGCAATTTACAGATTTAGTGCAATCCCTATCAAAATGTTAATGATATTTTTCACAGAAATAGAGAAAAAAATCCTAAAATTTATATAGTACCACATAAGACCAAGAAGAGCCAAAAATATCCTGAGCAAAAGAACAAAATTGGAGGAATTACATTACCTGAATTTAAATTATACTATGACATTATAATAACCAAAACAGCATGGTACTGGCACAAAACTGGACACATAGACCAATGAAACAGAATAGAGAACACAGAAACAAATCCATACATCTACAATAAACTAATTTTTTTAAGTTTTATTTTTTTGCAGACAGAGTCTCACTCTGTTGCCCAGGTTGGAGTGCAGTGGTGCAATCTCGGCTCATTGCAACCTGCACCCACTGGGTGCAAGCTATTCTCCTGCCTCAGCTTCCAGAGTAGCTGGGATTACAGGATGCACCAACATATCCAGTGATTTTTTTTTTTTTTTGTATTTTTAGTAGAAATGAGTTTTCACCATGTTGGCCAGGCTGGTCTCGAACTCCTGGCCTCAAGTGATCCACCTGCCTCAGCCTCCCAAACTGCTGGGATTACAGGTTTGAGCCACTGTGCCTGGCCATATCTTTGACTTTTGATGGTTTAATATAATGTGTCTCAGTGTAGGTCTCTTTGAAATTATTATCCTTGCATTCATAGAGATTTTTGGATTTCCACATATACAATTTTCCCACAAATTTGGGAAATTTTCAGCCATCATTTCTTCAAATAAGTTTTCTGCCTCCCTCTCTTTTTTTCTTTCTTTTCTTCTTCTGAAAGCTCCCATAATGTGTATGTCAGCCTTCTTCATGGTGTCCAAAAGTCTCTTATGCTCTGTTCACTCTTTCTTGTGCATTTTTTCTTTTTTTTTTTCTTCTCAGACTCAAATGGTCTATCTTCAAGTTTGGTAATTCTTTTCTTCTGTTTGTTGAGCCTGCTGTTTAACTCTTCACGTAAATTTTAAATTCAGTTGTTGCATTTTTCAGCTCCAGAGTTTCGTTTGATTTCTTTTATAATTTCTATTTCTTCATTGATATTCTTATTTTGTTTATATATTATTTTCCTAAATTTTTTTGTCTGTATTTTTCTTTAGTTCTTAGAGCATATTTAGGGCAGTTGTTTTAAAGTCCTTATCAAGTTAGATGCATATTTCTTCAAGGATGGTTTCCAGATCTTTATTTGGTCCTTTAAATGTGCCATATTTTCCTGTTTCTTCGTATGCCTTGTGATTATTTGTTAGAAATTTGGCATTTGGGAAAAAAAAAAAACAGCCACCTATAAAAGTCTTCATATACCAGCTCCATGCAGTGGAAGACCTTTAGTAATTACCATGGCGTATTTTAAACATTGAGGTCACCCCAACGTTAAAGCTTAAATTCTTCTTAGGCCTTTTTCTGGGCATATATTTTCCCTGAATGTTTGTGGTGGGGGCTCTGGGCTTAAAATGTTTTTCTCTGTTTACTTGTCTGTATATAGGTGTCTTTTTCTCCAACATAGTCTCATCACAGGTTTTTCTCAAGGTTTTGTATGTTCTATTGAATTTGTCTCCCTATAATTCCTTGCCGAATGCATCCACAGGTTTGTACTCCCCTTGAGGCTTTTACTGGTGTGCCACTGCCTTCGGTAGCTTTTTCCAACCTGAAATCTGCGCTATGATATTTTCCCTGTCTGTGCTCTTTTTCAAGCAATGCAGACATCAAGTCCTTAGGCAGTCCACAGACAGGTTAAAACATTGTAAATAAAGTCCACTCTATTTCCTCCACCTGAGGGAGGGATCAAGAGCTGGACCACTTCCAACTTCAAGGTGCCAGAGAGGGTGTGGGAAAAGGAGAAGTAAAAATGCTATGAAATTTCCTGCCATTTTAAATGTGTAAGTTTTTCAAACTGGATATTTACTTGGTTTCTGTAGATATTTGGTGGTTTTCCAGAGCTCCTATAAAATAATTTTAGGCAGTTTCTTAGTGTGTTTTTAATGTTTCCATGGGAATGAGGGCCTGGAGCTTCCTAGTCTGCCATCTTGCTGATGTCATCCTCTCTCTCTAATTAATTTGTTCTGTCATTCTTATGGAAGACTATTTCACACTTCTTCTTTCCAAATTTTGAACACCATGTTTGATGCCTCACTCAGAGTAACAAACAGTTCATAGACCAGCATGAGTTTAAGGATCCCATTTTGAGTAGTACTGATCTAAATGCCTGAGTATGACATATATGTGGTCTGGGGTATGCTGTGTGCTATGGCCTGATGTTGATGTCTTCCCAAAATTCATGTGTTGAAATTATAACCCCAGAAGTGATGGATCGGGACGTATGACCTTTGGGAGAGGATTAGATAATGACAGTGAGGCCTTCATAAATGGAATTAGTGCCCTTATGAAAGACACTCCAGAGAGATCCTCTTCCCTTCCACCACATGAGGACACAGCAAGAGGACTCCCATCTGTGAATCTTGAAGAAAGCCCTCACCAGACACCAATTCTGCTAGTGCATTGACTATGGGCTTCCTAGCCTTCAGAACTGTGAAAAATTTCTGTTGTCTATAAGCTACCCAGTGTTTGGTATTTTGTGATAGCCCCCTGAATGCTCTAAGACACTGTGGCATTGTAAATGACAACTTACTGCATTTTGTACCTCCTTCTACTAAACAAGAAGAATAACACTGAGTTATCCTCCTGGATTTTGGAGTTAAAATATACTTCATTTGGGAATATTGCTTCAGAATATTGACTCATCCATAGGCTGCCAGAGAGGTTTTATTTTGTTTTGTTTTTTTGTTTGTTTTGTTTTGTTTTTTCCTAGTAGGTTCAGAGTGCAGTGCATGTTGTTCTGCCCCTTGGGTCATACAATCCAAGTGCTAGAAAACCTGTGGTGGTTAAGAATGTATGAAATTTTTGGCAGACTCCAATAGAAGTGACAGAGCACACACCCTCTGGAGAAAAAACACGACTTTTTAAATAGATAACTACTTTCCACTTGAAAGACAGCTTATGGTGAGACACTAGGGCAAAGTGAAGATTGAACACCTGATAACAGAAAAAAACGAATGACCATGGCTTGCAATGGCAGAGGAATGAGAGTGCAAGGCTAAACACACAGACACATTTCATACACTTCTCAAGTAATATTTGCTAACATCCCATCAGGCAAACAAAGTTAAACACCTAACCTGAATCAAGAAGCAGGAAAGTACATTCTGCTCTCCCTGAGGCCAAGGAAGACACATAATCAAATTAAACATCAACAGACTTGGAATGTATGCCACTCCCACAGAGATAATTGCGCTCACAGTGCAAGAGTGAATATTTTTGAAGAATAATATAATCTAACACAAGTACCAAATTATAAAGTTAGGTAGTCTCAGCAGAAATTCATCAGGGAAGAGAGCTAGTACATTTGGGACCAAGCTCAAACAGATCCAGAAAGCACAAGTGTGTTACATAAGCAGATGTTGTTTGCATTTATATCCTATCTCTGTTCCCTCAAACCACACTTGTAACCTCTTTGTGGTGTGAGAAGACTGCTATGACCAACTCACAGAAGATAATTATGACTTGATTCCAAGCTGTGCCAATGTGAAATGTTGGCATTAACAGGAAATGGACCCCTGTCCTGAGGTCTCAAAGGCGTGATGATCAGTAGCAAAGGGAAATTCTCTTGGGGTAGAATTAGTCATCCATCTTGCCTAGAGGAAGGGGTGGCCAGAAGAAAAGATATAGACTGACCCCTGGACAAATGGCTTGGCTGATTAGTCAGAGACTTGAAAGATACAATATTAGAAGAGAATAAACAAGGAGATCTTCAAAATAAATAAGTGAATGGACCTCTGGGAGTGGATGTGAAGTGTACCGATCTTTTTGTTTCCTATCAATGCCCAGTAGCAAGTATCCATTGTAGAGTAGCTGCTGATCAACCAGAAGGGGAGGAGAGTTTCTGCAGTGGAGGTCAGCCAGCCTGTCTTCATCCATTGTGATGCATACCCAGTGGACCACAGTGGCAGCGAAGGAGCCTGGGAATGGATCTAACAATATAAGTTTGCCTTTATTAAGGCCTATCTATCTAACACCTCTGACAACAGAAGAAAAGGATATGTGACACCACTTCTTTGGGGGGACCTACCATGCAGCAGGGAATGAATCCATTGTACTGTCTCCATCTTAAAGGAGCATAAATTCGCCTTTATTAGAACAGATATAAATATCAATATATGTCTCTATCATCACCACTGGCCAAGGCTTACAGAATACCTTGTCCAGAGACACGGTATTATACAACAGTGCTACATATCAAAGGACACAGAAAAGCACATCTGAGAATAGATTCATTATCATGAGTTTCCCTAGTCTTATCTATCTATCACCCAGAAGCTGCCAGTCTGATATAACACTGCAATAGTTAGCCTATTGAAGACTCAACTAAGGTACCAGCAGTGTGGTTGCTGTTCTCCAGGATTTGATATGTGTTAAATCAATCACCAATATATGGTTCTGTATCTCCAATTGCCATAATTCATGGACACAGGAAGTAAGAGTTGGAAACAGGAATGCCTCCTCTCACTATCATACCTGTTGCTTAGTTGTAGAATTTCTGCTTTCTGTCTCTTCAAGTTTGAGCCATGCTGAGGTAGAGGTCCTGCTCACAGCATGTGGAGAATTGAAGAGTTTTGCCAGGGGATACATTAAATGTTCCACTAACAGGGTGCAACTCTCACCTTGTTAATTTGGGCTTCTCATTTGAGTGGATAAACAGGAAAAACAGAAGGTTATGTAACAGGTAGGGTTAACTGATCTTGTTTACATGAGGAGCCAGAATTGGCACTACATAATAAGGATAAATGAGTATGGCTACTTTGTTGGAAAAGTACCTCTTAGAATGACCAGGCTTGATAACAACTGCCAATGAGCAAACATAACAAATACATGCCAACAAATGTGGGGCAACTAATGGCTTAGATCCCTGGGTGATCAGAGTCTGTAATGCTCTACCATACATTCACCTCTGGCCAGCCTGATAGCTGTCCAAGAGTGAGGAAAATCTAAGATTGCTGGAAGAGAAGAGAGATGATGGACAACAACTGTGGGCTTTGGACCAGGTGCAGCAGTTGTTAGTCCACTTTATATCATTCACCCTGTTTGCTACTTAAGTGCTTCAGGAGTTCACTATTGGCTAAAACTTTAAAGAAGTCTCTAAGTGCTTGGACTTGTGCCCCTACTCCCTACCCCTTGGGGAAGATGCAAAGGTGTCATTTTCTTACAACACATACACACACACGTATGCACAATGAAAGTCCTATATTCCAGGAAGGAAGTTGAATGTAATGGGTAGACCAATGCCTACCTCTTTTTCTGCCCTGCTGTCAAGCTCTGTTCCTTGATCTCAGCCACATGGCTTTTATCTTTGAGCTTATAGATCCTTACCATTCATCCAAACTTTGATGAAACCGTACACCACATTAGGATCTCATATCCCATGGCCATTAAAGGAGTCAGAGGATGCAACTCAGGAGTCCAGGAGACTTCATGTTATTTGGCAAACTTTAACCAATAAAAACAGGAGACAGTATGAAGTTGAGAAAATAAATTCCCCCCACTCCTCTTTCCCATGGACTATTCCAAGGCACAGCTTTTGGGTGCGTGCCGTCTAAAAAAACCCATGCGCTGAGCAGCAGCAGATGCTGAGAGACCTGCTTTGTCTTTTTCTTCCTGGACTCACCAGGAAGCAGTAGCGAATATGGTAAAGCATCATGTTGTTTTGTTTTTAAAATCTTATTGTTGCACTTTACTTTTTCTTCATTCTTGCTACTGTGGGCCTGCACCACCCAAATGAAGCATCAGCCGGTTATGTTTTCTGAGAAATCGTGGCTAAGAGATGAGCCTTCATCTAAACACATGCTTTCATTCTAACTTCCTGCCTCTCACAACAAGTAGATTTCTACTTGAAGGAAACCTCCCTTGCCTGTTAAAATCCATCCCCACTTTGGAGCAGGTCTTTGCCTTGCAATTGTTTCCACCTTCTCCTGCATTGTAATTTTCCCTTTCTACTGGACTATTCCCATCAGAGCACAAAGGTGCTGTGATATTTCCCATCTTTAGAAATCTATCTCTTGTCCTCACCTCCTCCAGCTACTACTCACTTCTCAGGGATCCTTTATAGCAACATTTAAGTAAGTCTCCACTTTCTCTTCATCTATTATTTCCCTCACACATGCCAAGATTTGTCCTCACGACTTCATTTATTAAAATTGCACATGTCCGCTGGGCATGATGGCTCATGCCTATAATCCCAGCAGTTTGGGAGGCCAGGGTGGGTGGATCACCTGAGGTCAGGAGTTTGAGACCAGCCTGACCAACATGGTGAAACCCCGTCTCTACTAAAAGTGCAAAAATTAGCCAGGTGTTGTGGTGCACACCTGTAATCCCAGCTACTCGGGAGGCTGAGACAGGAGAATCGCCTGAACCTGGGAGGTGGAGGTTGCAGTGAGCCGAGATCACGCCATTGTAATCCAGCCTGGGCAATACGAGCAAAACTCCATCTCGGAAAAAAAAAAAAAAAAAAATTGCACATCAATGTCCTCTCCCTCAAAAAATCATTTCCCTCCCAAAAGTATCAGTCAAGTCTCAGTGCTAAAATATCTGCCCATTTTGGCAGCATTTGATGCAGTCGATCATGGCTTCTTTTGAAACACATTCTTCATTTGGGTTCTAGGATGCCACCTCTCTTTTTCCTTTTTACCTTAATGGAAACTCATTCTCATTGCTTCTTGCAATGAGAATCCCTTGTTTCTCATATTTAAATGTTGGATTTCAGACCCTTTCTCTTCTCTATCTATAATTTCTTCTTAGGTAATTTTTTTCCAACTTTAGCTTTAAATCCATCTGTATTCTGATGACTGCCAAATTTTTGTTTCCAGTCCCAATCTATCCCCTAAGCTCTGTACTTACATAGTAATCATCTACTAGACATCCTTCTGAATATTCAAGAGTAACTTTAAGTGAAACATACATGCATGTGTACACACACACATACCCAAACACCCACACACACAGAGGCACACGTTCCTCCGCTCACCTTCAGTACAGTGCACTACCCTGCTTCCGGTAGCTCTCAAATGAAACTTAGCAGACATTTTGATTACTCTTCCTCTGTCACACTCTGCTACTACCATATCAGTAAACCCCATCAACATTTTAAAAAACAAATCCTAGATCCAAATGTTTCTCATAGTCTCCACTGATAGCACCTAAGAGAAGCCACCAAAATATCATAGCTCGAGCATGACCTCCTTGCAATTTCTCCAACTCCCAAGTGTGCACCTACCTCAGGAACTTTGCACTTGCTATTTTGGCTCTTGTGAATTCTGTTTTTTAAGATCTTTAGGGCTTGCTTCTTTAACAACATTCATATCTCTCTGCAGCCTTTCTCCTACTCTATGCTGCTTTATAGCACTATCACCAACTGACAACATATTACATGTTCACTTGCATACTTTGTCTCCTGCACTAGATAATGAGGTCCATGAGGATTAGGGTAATGTTTTCTTTATCATCTCATTACTCCAGCACTTAAAAGAGTACTTGGCTCATGGTAGGCATCAATAAGTATTTGTTGAATGAATAATAACTAAATGAAATGACTTAATTGTTCTTTACCAATAATGCAGACATTCATTTATAGGTTTATTTATTTATTTAAGCCACCTGTTCTTTTTTGTATGCCAATATCTTCTTACCTTAGGAATTTTAGGTTGCTCCCAATTGCTGTATATATTTACTTTAAATATGTCAATGTTGGATTTTCTAGTATATTTTAATGTTTTAGATTATGAACTCATTTTCCCAGGCACTTTCTTCTGTGAGTGCTCTGTGTGTTCTGCAGGTTATGGAGGATTCTGCAAGAGATGGTTCCTTGTTGCCTTTGCCAAGTTGTTACTCATTTTACAGGTTCCAGACCAAATGTATTTAACACAAAAGGTTAGGCCTTATATCCTAGTGTAGTTCAGACTAGGTTCTCTGATTTCTTGCTGCAGAATCATTTCTTCCTTGTGGCCTAGATGGAGGTAACCATTTTCCTGCCTTATTCAGGCCAGGAAGTGAAGGTTTTTTCCTAGGTGCAACATTTTTCAGTCTCCTAGCTTTATCCAGGGCACATATTTCAGCTGTTCTATGTATGCAGTGCTAGCAATTGATTTGTATCCGACATAGGCAGGAAGGTCTCTACAGTCTGTATTCTGTTCATTTCCCATCACTGATTCTGTGATTCCAGCATCTTTTTTCCACCACGTGTTGCATCTGTGTCTGCAGAAGTAGAGTTAGTTCCTTCTTGATTTCCAGCTCAGCAACCTATTTGATTTCTTCAAAAAATATTTTATGTAGCATTTTAATATGTTTGAAATGGAAGATGGTTTCTCACATTAATTCACCATAGTCTTCCCTAGAAGTCTCTAACTTTATTTGTAAATGTCTGGGCTAGTGGCTCTTAATTTATGTTTTCATAATGACGGTAGTGGTGCTAGTGAAAATGTGGTATATTGAGCGGGAATGCAGTGAGGCTTTACAAGGCAATTAGTATTGAGAAAAATGTCCCATTGTCTGAAAAGAAATAATAAATGGTGCAGCTGCTGGAATGAATTTACCACAAACTTGGTCACTTGAAATAGCACATGTTTATTCTCTTACAATTATGAATGTCAGAAGTCAGAGATTAACATCACTGGGCAGAAATCAAGGCATCAGCAGTATCACAGTCCCTCAAGAGGCTCCAGAGGAAGAGTCCCTTGCCTCTTCTAGCTTTTAGTGCTGCCAGTATTCATTGGCTTATAGCCACATCACTTTAATCTTAAGGGAAAATTTTCAAATTCCTCTCTGCTTCATCTCCCCATAGCTTTCTCTCTGTGTCAGATTTCCTCTGTCTCTCTCTTATAAGGATAGACCTGATTACAGTTAGGGCCTGCCTGGCTAATACAGCATAATCTCCTCATCTAAAAATCCTTAATCACATCTGTAAACTCTTCCCCCATCACACATCCCCCTTTTAGCTTATAGAGTGTAAGGATCACAGACTCAAGTGACTAGGATATAAGTATCTTTTAGAGAATGATTTTTCTGTCACAAATGGTGATGATGATTTTAAACAAGAAAGTTGTCCTTCCCCTTTCAGCATCCAAAAGTAACAATTTTATGGGGAGATAGCGAAAATAGAACACATACAAGCCAAGGCCAGGAGAGCTGATTTATACAGCAGGGACAGAAAAGATGATGAATGGAGTCACAGTTAACAACACCCATCAGAGAAATTATAGGTGTGAGATTATCCTGTTTGGGGGAAACTCTTGGGAGAAGACTGAGTACAAGGAAGATGATAGAGCTGCCCTTGACATCCCCAGTTCTCCATAGTTCAATTCGTTTTTAGGAAACACTACTTACTTGTGGAATTAAAACAGCAATAGTTGCGAATGGCTAATGGGGGGAAAAAAGCCCTATAACTTGTTATATCATACTCCTTCAGTAACTCCAGAGGTATAAGGAGCTCATGGATCCTGAGGGATGGGCTACACAGAGATCGATACATTCATTTCAAGTACACCAGTCTCAACCAGAGGTCAATGAGAGCCCTTCACCATACATTGAAGCATTTTCTTCAGCAAGAGTGTATTTCCCCAAATCGGGGAGGGGTAAGAAAATACCATCGCTTGTAGGGGTCACAGAAAAAGAAGGGTGGAGGTCCACAAGGTTCAATAAACTAAAAAGGTCATCAGTTTCAAAAAGAACCTATTAGAGGTCATTCATGCCAAGTTCTAAATTAGTGCTGTTTGTTTTTTCTTTAAAATTAAGCACAGTAAGAGATGTTTCATGAAGACAAAAGACATCAAAGACAAGACAGGAATTTTTTCCACAAATGTGTTAAAGTGATGAAATTTAGCATAGAGACTAGGTGATCTGCCACTTCGATGTGAGGATCCAGATGATCCATTCTTTGGTCACTGGGGAAGTTAGTGGGGAGGTGGGTGGTCTAGCACCTAAACCCAATGCGGGGTGAAAAAGCCCATCCT
The DNA here is from genome assembly GCF_000001405.40 of Homo sapiens. Classification (NCBI taxonomy): domain Eukaryota; kingdom Metazoa; phylum Chordata; class Mammalia; order Primates; family Hominidae; genus Homo; species Homo sapiens. Next base: position 132,400,722 of record NC_000011.10, read on the forward strand.
TCCAACTCTTTAACAGGAGCTCCGAATACATCTTACCACTTAGAGAGTCTTAAGGTAGGAGAGTCTGTATTTTTAAGGGCAAATAAACCTTGAAAGAGGAAATTTACCGGTCATTTACAGACCTCAGTGTGAATGTCTTCAATAAATGAATCCCATTGTCTCTTCTGTGTTCCAGTTTTCAGGACAGAAGTAAAAACTTTTGATTGGTGTGTGTGTGAGGAGTTAGAGAAAAATTGGAGGTGATTTTTGGAATATAAAACACCCCTAAAAAGGGAAAGGGAGAATCTAAGTAGAATTCAGAGCTACGTGCTTTGGCCAGTCTCAGGGAAGAGGAAACTAGCACTTACATTTCATTATGTACCACGCATACTTATCTCATTTAAATTTTCTCAGCCCTGGGGGTGGCAGGGCCATTGCATTTTACAAATGTAAAAGAGCACCTCATGGAGACGATACTTGTTTAGGGTCATGGTTGGGCAGGAAGCCCAACCTGAGTGTTTGTCTTATATCCATCATCAGGAGTCTTCTGGCCAGAGGATGCTGTGGAGCTGGGTTGGAGACAACACCCAACTGTATGGCCACAGTTCCTTACTTGCATGTCAGTTGCCTCCAGTGTGGAGAAAAGGGAGTGGTAGAGATTCCCTCTTCAAGGTGGTTTATGCCCTTGCGAGTGTTCTGGCCTTCGGTCTTAGCAATATCACTTTACGTTTAAATGATCCTGTTCCAACTGCCCACTGGGCTTCTTGGGGGCAGGAACTGTGTCTTCCTTAGTACGATCACCTGGTGTCCAGCACAGCACTGCTGGCTACAGGTCCATGGCAGGGAGACTGCAGGCTGTCTTCAGTGTCCAGTGAGGGAATCTTTCCCAGCACCATTTGGATCCAGCCAACAGTTATAAAGTGCCCTTTGTGCTCAGGCGCCATGCCAGGCGCTTGCAGATAATTTTTATTCGTTAATTCTCACATCGCCCTATGACACCGCTATGATAATTCTTAATTAACAGATAAGGAAACTGAGGTGTGGAGAGGTAAGAGGGCTTGCCTCAGGTTTGATGGTGGTTGGGTGTTAAGATTTGAGCACATCTGTCTTGTGACTCCACATTCAGCATGCTTTCCCCACACCAGGCTTACTGAATATCCCTCCAAGGACGCTGCTGTCTATCAGAACTAGCAGGAAAAAACATGGTCTTTGCACAATGGGAACTTAAGATAAAGAAAAGAAAGAGAAATACCTAGGGATGCTTTAAAAAGCAACATGCCTGAGGCTAACAGGTAAATGGCCAACTGACCAAGGCACTGGGGAGCCAAGGGGATTTGGAGTGATCCCAAGTAAGTGGGGTTAATCAGAGGAGGCCACGTTTCCTGCAGGAGGTGGCATCGGAGTCAGCCTAGCCAGCAGGTCTGCATTGCAGAACTCACTCACTGAAGAGCGTGCTATGCTCACTTGAAAGTGGGTGTAATTAAGTTCTTCCCTGAGCAGCTGCAGAGCATGCAGGTTGCTGGGGCTGCCACGAGTGTATTGCTAGTGCCCCCCTGTGCACAAAGGAAGAACTGAGCAATGTGCGGGGTAAGCGGGGTGGGGATGGAACAGCTGTCTGTGCCCTTCACCAGGAGCATGCATTTCCATTCTCACATCCCTGAAACTGCTCCTTTAGTCTGAGGAGCATGTAAGTAAGCAGGGAGACCTTCCCCTCCTCACATCCCAGCTGCAGTGAGCGAGTCTCTGTCCCTGGGCACTCTGTCTGGGAGCTCTGCCACAGGTACTCGCCTCCACAGATGTGCTGTGGACAGGGCAAGCTGGAGCTTCCCTTTAGGGAAGGAGCAGGAATTTCACTCCCTGGCCAGGCTCTGTGCAATTAGGACAGCCTGGTCTAGTTGAAAGAGCCCTGGGCTGGGAACTAGACACCATGAGCTCTAGATGTCAATGTTTTTGCCTAGTTTTGTTTTGCTGGGCAATTTGTTCTCTGGATTTCAGTTTCTTTGTCTGGAAAACAAGTACTGGTTCACGTGCCGTTGGCCAGTGCGTCAATAGTCCAGTGCCCACGTGGTCCTTCCTCAGCTTTCCAGTACGGTGGTATATTTGCTCACCTCCTCTCCTGCCTTGCTCCTCATTCTCTCTATCCCCTTGGAATTAGTCATAAAGAATTTGGACGGTTTAGTGGGTTAGTTTATATAGGTTAGAAAATAAAAAACAAAAACAAAAACAAAACAAAAAACAGATGTTTCCTGAGGCTCCTCTGGCTGCCGACTTAGATTCCATGTAAGAACAATCAGCCCCACCCTGAAGATGGACAACACTTTGTTTCCTTAATTTAATTCACCTTGACACACACACACACACACACACATATATATATATATACATGCAGTGACTATGTACGTCAAATGAAATACTCCCCCGTGCCCCTCCAAACTGATAAGCTCAAGGAGATACTTACTTGCATTGTAAAAACTGCAATACAGAATTATATCTTTGCTATGCTTACATCTCTGTAAAATTATGTATTAGACAAGAATTTGAGAGCAATATTACAAATAAAACAATAAGACAACAGTTGATTTGATGAGGATTGTGAAGGTGGGAAGAGGAAGCTTTGAATGTTATAGTGTTGTCTATGCAAATACACACGTGGACCATAGTAGGTATTTATAGACATAAGTTTAATAGACACAGGGCACCATAAAACGTGGACAGCAGGGAGTCACTTTCATAATGGCATCTAAAAAGTCTTGGTACAGATGGCATTTCAATGTCAACATTAAAAGAGGAAGTTTGCATACCCAATGAAGCAGGCTATGGATTAAAAGAAACAACAAATGGATTCATTCATTCATTTGTTCACTCACTCATTCATTGTTGGGAATACAAAGGGAATTGATGCACAGTTCATGCCCTGCAGAAAAATACAGGGAACACAAACTCAAAAGAGTCGAGAAACGTACATTATCAGGTGAACACACAAACCCGAGAAGTCTTTCCCAATTAGCCATTAATGATTGCTTCCTACCTTGGCAGCTCATTGTTTATAAGCAATCTGTCAGTTATAAGTACTGCTATTATTAACAGTATTATTTACTCTGCAGCTATAGAGCTCACTGGGAGAAGTGGGAGGGAGAAAGGAAAGTGAGAACATGGGGGGCTGTGCATTTTAAATGGAGGCCTGAATTGGGATGGTAGTAACGGGAAGCCAAGCTTTCAAGTACTTAGTGAAAACTAGAAAACACTCCTAACAAATGAATGGATCCCGAACTGTACACCTGATGTACACCTGCTGTGGTATACAGCCTGCCTCACCTCTTCATTCCCAGGGCAGTTAACAGAGAATGGTGTGCACTGTTTGTATTTCCCTTTCTTCCTCCCAGAAGCACAAACTGCATGTCTCCCGGTGACTTGGACTGCACTGACACCAGTTGGATTTTACCCAGCAGACCAGATGCAGGTGGGAGATTCCCCATCCGCACCCCTCCCTGTGTGCTTGTGGTTCATAAGCCAAGCCGACACTGCAGGGAGGTACTCTTGTGGTAGGTGGTCACATGGAGAGCTGGGGCTGTGGGCAGTGCCTTCTCCTTGCCATCTGAACATTGGGTCATCCTGAGGAGAGATAGACCCCAAACCCTCGGATGCATGACAGACCCTTGACTCCAAGGAGCAGACCCCACTGGATAAGGGAGAGACGCCCAACCCTGCCCAGTAGGACACTACTTCCACTTGGCTCTGTTCTGCTTCCCTGGCAGATTTGCAGGGCTGGGCATTGGCTACAAGAGCTCTCGCATTCCCAGTCTGCTTCATTCTTGGCTTCCTATTGGGTGATCCATGATGGAGTCCCGCAAAAACAAAAACCAAGAAAAAGCCAAACTTTACCCTATCACCATCATTACCAACAAAATTTCACTATTTGAAGTATTCTAGGCTTAAGTTCACACCAAAAAAAGAAACTCGCTTTTCCCCTCCTCCCCACCTCACTTCATAGGACATCAAGCCCTTCTAGAGAAGAGGCATACCTTAGAAGAAACACTATTGAAAGGCCATGTTTGTTTGTTTATGTAGGTCTTCTAAAACAAGCTGCCATCTTTAATACTCATTTCTCAATCTCAGTCCAAAAACACTTTCTCTAAGTAAAATGAATGAGGAAATTCAGTTTCCATTTTACTTTTAGTTTAGTTTAGCCAAGGAGTTTGACAAAAATCGCTTAAAAAAATCTTTTAAGGAATGCATTAAGGCTAAAAAAGCCCAAACCCACCATGAGAAAGCACATCACAGAAGGCCCTATATGTCCTTATTCTTTATTTTTTTATGTTTATTTTTGAGACAGGGTCTCATTCTGTCACCCATGATGGAGTGCAGTGGCCCAGTCCTAGCTCACCGCAGCTTCTGACTCCTGGGCTCAAGTGATCCTCCTGCCTCAACCTTCTGAGTAGTCAGGAACACAGGGGTGTTAGTTTTTAATTTTTTGTAGAGATGGGGTCTCACTATGTTGCCTAGACTGGTCTTGAACTCCTGGCCCCGAGCAATCCTCCTGCCTTAGCCTCCCAAATAGCTGGAATTACAAGTGTAAGCCATGCCACCCGGCTTCATTCCATTTTTTAAACAATTATATCTCCCCATTGAGAATGTGAAAAATGAGATATGTGGCAGGGCTAGGGAAACAAAGGGTTAAGTACCTTCTTCTTCAACAGTGTGCTCTGGGGATGAGAAGAACCCTGGTCAATAAACAGATATATTGACTTGTTATTATTTAAAGTTGTTTAACCAGGTAGAGATAAACGAAAGCTTTCAGCAGCTGAACTATCACACAAATCACAATTAAGGTGGCATATGTGTTTGGAAGACGTAAAATCAATTCCCGTGAAGATAATGTTTTAGTCTCTATTTGAACTTGAAAACAGAAGTAAATTTTCAGTAGCAACAGCTGGTCTTGTTCCATCCAGGAGGCTCTCTATTAACTGTATAAGAAGGGCCTTTATTACCTCTTCTAATGGTTTTCCTCTATGGTTTTGTCTTCATCAAAAAGGCCCAGTTGATTGTTGTGTTGCTGTTTACTGATGTGGCACAGAGGACGGCAGCTGGGCGCCCACCCACCCCGGTGTTGGGCCCTCCCTCCCCTGAGTGCTGTTTATTGTTTATGGAGGGAGAACAATGGATCCTGGGAACAACTGGTCAGGCTGGGTAGGGGAGGGAGGGGAACTTGCCCTCTTTCTCAGCTTTGCTCCTCCAGGTAGCCTTCCCTGAGCTGCACTGGTGGGGAGGTGTGTGTTTAGGCAAAGGAGGGCATTTGAGCAAAGTAGTCTTTGTGATGTAATCACCCCCCCCAAGTTTCCAGCAGTGGGAGTGACCTCTAAAGACTACTCACCATTTCAGGTTTTAGTCATGCAAATTTGTGCGTGTGTGTGTGTGTGTGGTGTGTGTCACACGTGTGTGTTGTCCTTCCAATTCTATCCTATACTCCCAGAGGCAGGGACCACATTTTATGCCACTCCATTCTTTACCAGGCTGAGTGTGGTGCTGGCACAAAGCAGATGCTCAGGGAAAGGAGGCTGTGGCACTGGGAATCCACTGGATATAAGCCACCTCCTGGTTGAGTTAGTCGTGCAGTCTCTCTCTCTTTCTTTCTTTCTTTCTCTCTTTCTCTCTTTCTCTCTCTCTGTCTCTCTTTCTTTCTCTCTCTCTCTCTCTTTCTTTCTTTCTTTCTGACAGAGTTTTGCTGTCACCCAGCTTGGAGTGCAGTAGTGCAATCTCGGCTCACTGCAACCTCCGCCTCCTGGGTTCAAGTGATTCTCCAGCCTCAGCCTCCCGAGTAGCTGGGACTACTGCAGGTGCCTGCCACCATTCCTGGCTAATTTTTATATTTTTGGTAGAGACAGGGTTTCACCACATTGGCCAGGCTGGTCTCGAACTCCTGACCTCAAATGATCCCCCCACTCGGCCTCCCAAAGTGCTGAGATTACAGGTGTGAGCCACCACACTCAGCCCTGTGTAGTCTTTCTTAGGTGAGGTACAAGGGTGCAGTGTAAGCTGGTGGGAACTAGGTCAGGTTTCCCTTTTGGGGGTCGCAGGGCTTGTTGGGGAAGAGGAAATGTACACTGATGAGGTGGGAACTTGACTGCCCCAGAGCAGGAGGGAAGGTGCAAGGACAGAATTTCTTGCTTGGGAACAGAGGCTGGCCAGGAGAGGAAAGGGGACCAGGAATACATGAGTAGCCAGGGAACCCGGACAGCAGCTCTCATCTGCCTCTAACTAGGTGTCAGACCAGGACAAAGCATTGGCCTCTGTGTGGCAGGTGCTTTGCCTGAAAAATATGAGCAGTGAAACCCAAGCTTCTTGCAAACACGACTGGTTATAAAAATATAAGATTAGTATCACTATTCCAGAGGAAACAACAAACAAATGAACAAACAAAAGCACGATGAAAAGAAATTACTTGCTCTACTCAGGCCACTTCCTTTCAGACAAAATAAGTAGACAAATACCATCGATCCTCCCTTCTCAATATCTTTCATGTCTGTATGATCCCTCCCAGCCTTGGCCACCTCCTACATCAGATGCTCATGACCACAAACACGGGCCACACATAGCTCCCCCGCCTCCCCTTCCCTGCCTACTGGGGCTAGCTTCCCCCTTTCGCTCTATCCAGTACATCTCTGCAAGGCCTCAGCTCAAAGGACCATTTTGATTATGTTCTTCCTCAGCTCAAAAGCCATGGATTCGTTCATTCCGTGGATACCGATGCCCACCCTGTGCCAGGCACTGTCGTAGATATTGAGAAAACAGCAAACATACAAACTACCTCCTGCTATTGTGCTCATTGTCATGGAGGGTGACAGGAAAAATGAGACAGATAGAAAGGTAGAGAGATAAAGAGATGGGTGGGTAGATGATTTTAAGTAGACCTATATATTTATATTTAGAATCCATATAAGTGGAGTCATATTTAACTGAATCAAGTCAATATTTTACAGTTCATAATCTCTCTTCCCAGGCTGTGATTTTTGTCAGCCCCTGTTGTTTGTCCCAACTAAAAGAAAAAAGCAAAGATTTCTTCTTACTCGTATGATACTCCATTGTGAACTTTGAGTCTAAAATTAATTCTCTTATCTCCTCAGTTCTCTTTAGGACTGCAAGATTCTTTTGTCTGTTGCTTCCCTGAGGCTCTGAGACCCATCCTTGAGTTAAGGTCAGTCTCAGGTGAGCCTATAGCCCCAGTGGTTCATTCCCCAGTGGGAAGGTGGACAGGGTCAGTGCTGAAGAGCACAGTCATTTTCTGCACCTGGCCTTTGAATCCAGCCAGGAGATTGCCTAGAAAGTTGATGTTGTTTTCTTTCAAGATATAGGAACCCCTGCCCTCCTTTCTTCCAAGAGATGGAAACTCTTTTCTTCCAAGAGACAGACACCCTTCCCACTTTGTGAGCTTTCTGGAAGCTCACAAATAAGGCAGTCATGCAAGAGCCTGAAGTGACTTTCTCTTGTGTTCGTTAAAGAAATCCCAGTGTTTTTTGGAACACGGGGTGAACCCTGAAGCATGGAGACAACCTGGCGTGTAACTGGAAAGGGCACGTAGTTGGAAATTTGATGGACTTGCCTTGGAACCCCACCCCTGCTAGTCTTCAACAGTGGGCCTTGGAGCTTCAGTGGGGATAACACATTATTCCCAAGATTGCTTTGAATATTATATGAACTAGGACACATGACAGCCTGAACTTCTCACGTGATTTCCATAAATACACAAATGTTAACAGCTTTCCATCCTTGCTCAGCTCCCTCACCAGCCTCTGCTCCCTGCACATGTATCACTATTGTCCTGAGGTTGCTGTACAGGAACAGGAGTGGGTCTGCAGAGAGAGAAGATTCACCTGCAGACTCCCCGTGCACTACAACAAAACTCATCTTCACAAGGCAGAATTCTTCGCCTGCATGGTGCCTTTCACTTCTTGTCTCACTCTCTTCCTTAGCAGTTTCAAATTTCTTAAGGTAGGAAATAACTAAGAGGAGGAATGGGGTAGGTTGAAAAGTGCTGAAGCTGCCCATGGAACAGAGGTGAGTAGAGGAAAGAGCCAGGCAGGGACAATGGGGAGTTTTGAGACAAACTCAACTAGAAATTTACACCAAAGTGGAAACATCCCAGCAAGCAGACTGACTCAGCACTGGGGCCACCATCACACAAGGTGGGTAATAGGAAACAGAGAGAAATCACAAATGGGGCTGTCCACACTGCCATGGCACTGAAACTGAGCCTCTGTGTGCCTCAAGAGGAGAATTGGCAGCTTTGTGTCTGAGGACTTCCAGTGAGTCCTTGTATGGTCCTAGCTGATTCAACTATGCAGTGACTATTTCTCTAATAAGCTGATTCCCCCGAGACCTTTAGTGACAAAGAGACAGAAACTGAAGTGGTTTGGTCTTGTAACCAGAGCAACCATCCTTGCAAATCCACCACACAGGAAACAAGATTGAGAGCAAAAGAGATAGGCTTCATGGGCAGAGCCCCAGGCTGCCTATGTTCTCAGGTATACAGGTGCTTTCCCAGAAAGCACCTGTACACCTTCAGGGTCTGGGCAGCAGAGAACTTACAGGCATCCTCTATGCATTTGTACCTGGTTCGCTTATGCTCAAATGGCTGCAGAGAATGGAGGAAAGGAAATTGGATATGATTAAGCATTTAGAAGCTGGGCACCTTGTTAGGCACACTACATATTTTATTTCATGGAATCCCAACCATAAATCTGGTAATGTGATATGTAATTGAAACCAGCCCTTACACGATGCCTTCTAGACAATCATAAGTGGTAGGTGTGGGGTGGCTTGAAAGAGGCAGAAGACTGTGAAGAGAATGAGGAAAGAAGTTACTGATTGTCTACCACTGAATGCCAAGCATCTACAGGCAAGAAGCTGTGCAGGGATTTTCCTATTACTCTTTCTCTTATACACCTCATAGCAATGTCACAGGGTAGTTCTCTCCCAGCTCTATGTGGTAGATGAGTAGACTGAAACTGTAGGAGATTATTTCATAAGCTTATAGGAACACAGCCAGTACGTGGCAGAATCAGAATTTCAACTTGGTTCTCCCTGACCTGAAAGACTGTGCTGTCTTGCCTCCTGAGCAACACAAATAGACCCAATTCACATGGCTCTGTACTGGATGTGAGCTGACAGGGCCACCTGGATGCAGTCAGACACTGTGGCTTCCTACTGAGATTCAGCCTCCTCTAGTTTTAGGAGAACCTCTCTGGGATCATTGAAAAAAAAAAAGGAACAAGCTTAATGTATATTTCAATCCTTAAGTCATTCAAATGAAATGCATCACTCTTAATCAGAGGTAAGCTCTCTGATGAGGTTTGAAAGCTTAAAAACCTTTCTGGAATTTGTTAGCAAGCAAGTGAGCATCAAACTATGTGATGAAAATACAAAGAGAACTTGCATCACTGTAATATTACAGGCAAATTGGGAGAAAACTCCACCCTCATTCGAAGACGCTCAGTGGTCAGCTATTCTCACAGAACCCAGTGAATAATGGCTTGGCCCTTTGTATGAGGCCCAGGAAGAGCCAAACTTCATCTAGGCAGTGGGACAGCTGTGCCAGTTTCCCCCTTCCCCATTTAAAGCATCTGTTACTTCTTTACTGCCTAATCAGAGAACTGCTCTCTACTCTTCTATCACAACAAGCAGTTAAAAAAAAAGAAAAGAGAAAACCAGTACCTTTTTAAGACAAAATCAGGATACAGAGGAAATGGAGGATGATAAATGAATTGCAGATGGATGATCCAAGAAGCCAGAGTTCCTCTGGAATTAAAGTGAGAGGCAGAGAAAGGAAATCAGGCATCCCTTGTGCATGGCAGTGGATATAATTAGATGACTTAGGAAAATGCTGATGGTGCTTAAATGTCTCCACCTGGAGGTTCTACAGATACTTAAAACTGGATATATCAAAAATTGGATGGAACCTCATCATTCTTTTAAGTTTTGAGAATCGTAGGATGGTACCATCTTCCGTCCAGTTGGCTGAATTTGAAACCTTGTGTATTCCCCATATTCTACATCCTCCATCACCCCATACCTCCAGGCCCTCCCATCAAAACTACCCCTGAAAAATCATCCCAACTTGCCTGTTTTTTCTAATTCCTTCTTACCATTTCTCACCTGAATTATTTCAATGACTCCTAACATGTTTTCCCCTTGCCAGTGTGACCGATGCCCAGTTAGTCCCTGTTGCTGCCTGGCTGATCTTTCTACACTGCAAGACCAATTTAGCCGCTCTTTTTATTAAATCCTTCAACATCTTCCTTATTTTTTTCAGGACAAGTCCCAGTATATCAGCATTCCCCATAGAGGTTTTTAGGGTCTAGACCTCGTCTCCTGCCATGCACCTCTGCCTGCACCCCTCATGGGGTAATCTATACTTACAGTTTCCTGACCATGCTGTGCTTCTCTCGTGCCTCTATGTGCTCTTTGACGATGTCCCTCTGTCCACAGTCACTTGCTCCTCTCCCTCTCCCTTTCCCTGGCTAGGTCCTTCCGCTTCCTGAAGGCTCAGGTGAGACCTCTCATCTTCTGGAAGAGTGCCTTCAGCCCTCCTGTCTGGGTTAAGTGGCTTCTACTGGGCTCCTCAAGCCCTTGATTAAAAACTACCATGTGCTGTGCTGTGAAATCTGGGCTAGGACTTTCTGGAAGATATACACTCTGTCTCTCAATTTGAATCCTCAGTACCTGTCATAACTTGGCTATCTGATACCTGTTTCTTAGATTAAAAATTTAGTTCTACTCTATTGCTTCAACACTCCTTTGGAATTCTACCAAAACCTTATTGATGCCTTTCCAACCTTGTGTTCTTGAATAATCCAAGACTCAGAAATGTGTTTCTCCTCTTTGAATTTCAACAAAGAAATTACATATAAATTACAATTTTTAATTTTTTCAATGAAGTTGAATTTTCAACACATTTGAATTATATCTTCAAACAACTCAGGAAAGTGAGGACATAAAAGAAGGCTGAGAGAAGAACAAGAGAAAAAAAACACAAATGTTTACTTTGCAAGTAATTGTTATACGCTGGGACTAAGCTAAACTCCCTTACGTATTCACATCTAGAAGTGGAATAATTCTCACAGCTATTCTACTGAGATGCGTATCATTACCATTGTTTTATTAAAGATGAGACTGAAGTTCAGAAAGGGTAAGAAATTGGTGTAAGACAATATAACAGGTAATTTGCGAGGTCAAGTTTTCTGAAACAAGCCAGCTGGTTGGAGAACTCATGGTAAAGGCAAGGCAGTAAGTCATATGGGAGAGAGGAATTCATGGAGATAAAACTAAGACTATTTTTATCTTCGAAACAACAGACCCTGTGGGACACTGACATGCAAATGACCCGGGTGTTTCATCCTACATCACAGAGTGTTAGCCTTCTCTGGAGAAGCCTAGTCTTGGGGTCTATTCAGCAAGTCCACTCGTAAGCTCCGCCTACCCCTCCATGCCTCAGCTGCAGCGCATGCCCCCAGATGGAGCTTCTCTTTCCCTCATCAGCAAGGCTCGTGGTGTTAGAGCCAGTGAAAGGTGATATGCTCAGTAATCCTATGTGGGACTGAGACTTCATAACCAGCTTCCTAACCAGCCTTGACATTATAGGTGTCGCTCCCTCCTCTCCAACAGGTCTGTGTTAGCCTGTCATCAACTGTACAGTGTGGTCCTTTGGCCACTTGTAGTTTTAACTGCCTTGATGGTACTCATTCATTTAACAAATGCTATTCACGCCATTGATAAATTATCGAATACCGAATGTGTATGATCCTGTAACCCAATGATTTTTGTAGTAATTTATCTGTGCACCATGTCTGCAGCTTATGTTAGCTGTTGTTAGCTGTTTACATTCCAGCGTTTTATCCCTGCGGAAGAAATGGGGTACAGCGAGAATGCCTCCTAATCATCTCACAATATTTGCTCTGCACTTTGCAGTCGTTTCCTCATATCTCTGTCATAATACTTGCCATGCTCAACTGTAATTTTTCTTCTTATACAGCAGTTTTTAGATCTTAAATGTGAACTCCTCAAGTGGAGTTCCTGACTAAATGTGATGCATGAATAATGACTAACTGGGGAAATATAAGGGAAAGAAAAAAGATATCCCAATGATTGGATGAACATATTAAAAGAAGGTAGCATCACTTCTAATTTGATGTTTGGTTTTCAAAACTGATCATAGGGTTTGGCCTCAACTAGCACTCCCCGTGAATTTTTCTCAAAGTGAATAATTAATTCAACAGCAAATTAAATTGTGGGGAAAGAAGGAGGTCAGTTGCCAGTTGAGGTCCCTCCTGTCTGTTTCGTCAGTTGTTTGTTATGTTCATTGCGCGACTACAATCCTAGTGTTACACCTGCTCATCTGGGTATTTCCACTCCACTCCCAACTCCGCATGCTTTTCCTACTTAATACACCTTGATAGGAAGAGGAATGCCCTTAATATATCTCCAGAGGCACTTCTGAATATATAGGATTTTCATAGGGCAAAGATAAAAATGCATCCAATCATTTAGCTGCCATGCTTACGAGTTACTAGATAAAGCTTCCCTTGTGGAATAGTGAGATAACAGCAAAGATTTTCATTACCTTGAAGTGGATTGGTAAACAGGTGTGTCCGCTAAAGGCTAGCTGGAGCAAGCCTGGTGGATGGACTGACAGCTGGGAAAGGATAGATGGTCTAAATAAATAGATGAGTGAGAAACAGTCTCACATTAAGGAGGTGCATGAGTATAGAGATGGAAAAAGGGTTAGATAAATGGGAAAATAATATGTGAATGGATAGTTGAGTAGTTAGCCGATGGGAGAATAAATTGGTTCATGGATGATGGATGGAGCTGAGTGGCTAAATGGAATGAGAGACTGACAGCAGATGGATGGGTAAATGTGGTATGAACAGGAGCAAGAAAGGGTCAGGTGCACATAGGAAGAGGATGATGAAAAGGAAGGAAAAAAAGGCAACAAGAAAGGGAGTACTAAAGGTACTGAGATGGCTAGGGGAACTGGAATTTCATTCCCTTGATGAATCATAATTTTACAATGAGCCAGAGGAAATTGGAAACTCCCAATTATTGATGCCTAGTGTTTACTTGCCATTGCAATTTACAAAGAACATGTGTCTAGTCTATCAACTTATCTGTGTTCCATTCCCTGTAGGGGAGACTGAGTCATGAAAGGATTAGACTTTGTCTACGTAGGAAGCCAACAAGAATATAAGACTCACAACTTTAGCTCAGGGACTTTGCCAGAGAAGCTACATGTGCTGTAAAATTAATGAAATAATTTTACACTTTCTATTCAGTTATCAAATCATAATTAGTCACTGTCCCTAAGCTTTATTTGAGGACAGCCTTAAGAAATCTCATAGTTGCAAAATAAACCAAATAGCAGCCAAATAATTCTGAACCAGTGTACACTAGGTGGTGTAATTAAATTCACCAGTGATACAGATGAGAGAACAAAGGCTAAGAAAGTCACTTACCAGTCTAAGATCTCACACCTAGTTAACGGCAGAACTGGGAAGGCTTAATTGATATACAAATGGCTAATGAGAAACTGAGGTGTAAAAAGAAGTTAGTATCCATTTCTTTAGAAAAGCAGATGGATGTGTGATGGAGAAAGGGGAGCTGGGGTTTCACTGGAAGAGAAAGGTGTTTTAGAAATGGCAATCAGAGGAAAGGAGCCGCTCCTCTGGGGTTCTTTCTCATACTATTCCACAAGAAGCCTCAGCTGAATGAAACCCAACCCAAGTAAAACCTAAGATGCATAAACCTTCATCTAATGGCACACACTTTTAAGAATCAATGTACATCCTCGACCCCATGTCTTCTCATACTTACCCTTGTTAACGTGGTGTGTACTTCAAGAAATCAAGCAACAGGAACTTAGGGACTCAAATGCCCAAACTGGGCAGTATCTGGTCACCCCTATTTTTCTGACACTTCTCTTCTGCTTTCGTTTTCGCCTACACCAACAAACAATTTAGACTTTGAGGCTGCAGCTACATTTTATATTGTTTGTAAACAGCATAGATCTTTGATATACAAATGTCATACGGACAGTGCTAAGGCTGCTTTCTACAGTGTGTGCGAGAGAGAGAAGGAGGGAGAGAGAGAGGTGGGGGGTGCAGCTCCAGGCTTTCTGAGTGCATCTACTCTCCAGGGCCAAAAACGCACATATGGGAGAAGCAGAGCTCGCTTCATATTTTTCCCGTCCTGGATATCAATGAGATGTCCTAATAAACAGCCCCCCAAAAGTTACAAATTTCTCGAACTTTATTGGTACACTGCACAATCACAACCATCTCGTATTCATCCTGAATTAGAAAAGGTTACAACTACAATGTAACATGCACAAAATTCAGGTAGTATATTCACCCTTGATACAATTATTGACAGAAATCAAGTCTTCATTGATTTTTTGAAGGAAAAAATACGAAAGAAAATAAAAGAAAAAAAGAACTCTAGAAGGCTGACAAAGTCATACTCTTGTATCGTGTGATAAATTTTTAAAGCATTTGAACATAGATTTTTTTTGAAGGATAATTGTGAGAATGGGCACACCCATTGTCTGACACAGCTATAACGGCACCATTGATAAGTCATAATTTTTTTTTAAATCTAAAGGACTCTGAACTTGACAGACACATTTTCGTTCACCCACACAGTCCTCACAACTGCACTTGACATGTCACGAAAATTTCCGAACGATTAAAAATGCTCCCTTTAACTAACACAAGGGCAGCTTGCAGTACATAGCATTGTTATTACTGATAGCTTTATAAATCTGCCAAATAACATAGAATGTAGCCTCAAAAGGATGGTCGAGGGTTCGCAATCTTTCTTTCTCCACCCAGTGGTGTGGAGCAACTCTGTGCCTTAAAGAGGGCACCATGGAAAGAAACAAAAAGGAATCTCTTTCAAAATGCTGGAAATTAGGCTTAGCTCACTACTTTCAGGATAAAGACAACTGCATCTAATTAAGTCCACTCCACATTTCTTTGGACTCTAAGTATTCTGCACCTGAAGGCTAAATTGAACTGGCTCAGCCCTATCTTTTTTGCCACATCTTTAATTACAAATCTATTTCTTCTTCCTTTCATTTACTTCTCTTCTCTTAAGTAAGAAATGTGGGAAATGAGACTGGCAGTTTTGTTTGTTTGCATGTGGTGATCATTAGGCGTTCTCATCATATGGTCTCTTTTTGAAAATGTTGCCTTCCTACTTACACACCTGTGAAGTTTTACTCAAGTGCTCAAACTTATTTGTCTTCAAGTAAAAAGACAGGGAAGCTCTGAATAATAGGAGGGGAGGCAATTGGGTATAAGAGTTTCCAAGATAAGGTCACGTGCAAAATGAAAACAAAAGATTCTTGCTGTTGGAGAAAAAGAAAATAAATGCATTTTTTCCAAAAAGAAAAACCTTATGCTGCTTCCCTTAATTCCAAAGGGATTGACAATTTGCTTTTGTGTGTGTGTTGGTCTGTTTCATTTTGGACTGGTTTTAGGTAATGCATAGCCAGTTTTTCTTTCTCAAGATCAAAGTCAGTATGGAATTGAGGAAAGATGCCCCACCACCAGATCTTACCTCATCTTAAGCCATTCCTCCCCTCCTACCATGGGCTGGCGACAGCCAACCAGCACTTGAAAATTCAATGTACAGCCACTCCTGATGCCGCCACAGGGATAAGCTCTCGTCGGGGTTGCCTGCCCACTTTGGGGTTCTCTGCTTTTCTCATGGAATAGTTCTTTCAGCATAAATAGAACTTGCTGACTTCTCTTTGTTGAAGGCAAATTGACTGAATTGATGCAGAAAAAGATTCTGAAACCCAGCCTCAGTTTTGAAGTTGCTAGAGTCCAGGAATAGTCTTCTCACCCAGGTTTTGAGAACAAACTGCCCAATCTGTAAATGTATCATCTAGTAAGAGGCATGGATGTAAGAAGAAAGAGACTGGGGCCTCTTTGTGACACAACACCTTACCTTTTCTTCTGTTTCGTGGAGCACAGTTGCAGCAGAACAGCCATGCGCAGTGCTCTGCATAAAGCCTGTACATGTTTTCACAACCACTTCTCTACATCTCCCCCTCCCTGAATTAAAGCAAGAATGAGAAAAACTAAACATGCTTGTTTAGACTTGCAGTCGACTGTATCAGGCACTTGACATTAAACTACTGAAAAACAAGCTTGGCTGCAGCCTTAACACGAGCACTTTCATTGGCATTACTTTGGTGGAAGTGCATATGAACTCTGTTTTGGGAAGGGGAAGGGTTTCAGAGTCCCTACATTGCTAATTCCTCTCACCTAATCTCCTAACAGGACTTATTTGGCTTCCTTTTCATGTGGAAAACCTGCAAGAGATGTACTTGCTCAGACTTGTATGTTTTGTCCTGCCTTGCCCCCACCCCATGCCCACTACTGGCACCCTGAACAAATCTAGCCTGTAGGCATTCTCCATGTACTCTCCGTGTGTGAAGTTGGAAAAGTGTGGATATTGTCTTGTGTAAGCATTTGTTGTTCTATATGCTTCAAAATGATGGGTGACAGCCACTCTCCCATGAAGCCATCCCCACCAAAGAAACACAAAAACACAGAAGCAGAAATATGTCTGTTGTGAAGAAGTCATTTTCACTCCCAGTGAGTACCCCAGTTGCCTTGGGTTGTATTTACTTTGTTGTCTTTACCCCAGACAGATGAGGATCAACTGTAGCATTTCTCTCCCTCTGAAACGTGGCTGGGATAGGTACCCACCAGAGGGGCATCTTAGTATCCTTTGGAAGGGGGAACAGCAGGGTTCCATAGTGGCCCTGAAGCCAGCCTTGTTGGGTTGAGAGGTTCTGATGATCTTGGCCAAAGGAGCATGGACCCTTTCCTGTAGAACAAGTCTTGGAGTGAGGAATAGGTCCAGCTTGTCCATTTCAAGCACTGTGTTCTCCAAGACTGTCCACTCTTCACAGCCTTCACATTTATTCAACTCCAAAGTAACAAATTTATCATCAGTAGCATGCTCAGATGACACATTTAATTCTCATACACTATCTGACACCAACTCAACTCCAGATGCTGAAGGTGGTGACAGATCTGAAACGTCTATGTGCGACCTTTAATTCTGATTTTGCGCCTGCTCATGATCATCCCTGGAACTGGGAATCAATGCACCATTCCTGGCACATCAGTTACGGTTCCCGAATCTGGCTCCTGGCAGCTCACTAGGAAATGCAGATGTCTGTTTACAGCTGGAAAATGTAACATTAATTTCACTCACACCAGCTCTACCTCTTAAGACAGTGCTTAGCATTTAGTGTGCCAAGATAGCCTATGTTTGTATGTATGTATATATGTATAGATATCTCTGTGTGTGTTTCCCCATGGCAGAGGTCACACTCATGTGCCTTGATGGACAAAAACAAAGAGGACACTGATACCAGAGGAAGAAGACCAGTTAAGCATTAAGGGCACAGAATTCAATGGTGCTCATATTTTTTATTTTTTAGACTGAGGGCCTGAAAAGGTTTTCCAACTGAGGCAGGGCAGGTCTGCGATTGATGCTGCATTCTCATCCTCTCTGTGGATCAGTCCCTGCAGCACACCTGTGCGGTCTGCAATGCCTTTATTTTGAATCCCAGGCAACTTTGCTGGATGAGTCCTTCTCGTCCCAGGAGACAAGACAGCAAAGGTGGCTCAGCTCTTGTTTGTATGCTGGGTCTGCTTTGAACCTGAAGAGCTGGTGAAGTTCTTCCCCAAAGCCATTGGAGAAGCAGCTGCATCAGAGGAAACTGTGTCACTGACACTTTCTCCCTTCTGTTTGCAGTGTTGTGTTAATCAAGTGCTTGAAAATTAAGTCAGTTGCTCAAGTGCCCTCAGCTTAGAAGAGCTTCCTGAAACAAATACCAGAGTTGTCAATACACCCGCCATGTAATTGGCCTCCATCAGCTTTTTACTGGATAGTTTTCAAACAGATTAAACCAGAACTGGAGCAGAAAGGAGACTCTAGCTGAAGTCATCCCACTCAGGCGGGTGGACTCTTCACTTTGCATTGCAGAGACAGATGTGTTTTTCTCTCAAGTTCTTGCTGCTAAGGAAAGCCAGCCATAGGTTCCTGACATGTACTTTCTTGAAGGGTTGAGAGAAGCATAAAGGCTGGCACCTTTGTCCTTCAAGTGCAAAAGGAAAACCACAGTGCTAATCAAAACTTTTCTAGGCTGATCTGCTTCCCAAGAAAGTGTTTTAGAAAACACAGGCTCTTCTGGGAATAGTGAGTGACTGATCATTAGCTTGCTACTTTGGCCTATCTGTTAGTGTCTCCCTTGGGTGGATAGGATACCAGATTTTAAAGAGTCCACAACACAGGGTATTGCTTTTGTATTTTGTTAACCTGTGAGATCGTTGGCTTTCACAGAAGTTGAAAGATAATTTTGAAGATGCCAATGTCTGCTGATGGTGTATAAATGAATACAGTGGGAGAGATACAATATGGTTAGAGATTCATATGGGGATGAATTGATAGTGAGTAGTAGGGAGAGAATAGAAAGGAGTGTTAGACAATTACATTGATAGATTGATAAACAGTAAATAGATTGCTAGAGAGGAAGACAGGTGGGTAGATAATTGGATGGTGAGATAAATCAGATATTTGAGTAGATGGGTAACTGTACCATTACTTTGATAGATAGCTTGACAAAACCTAAATAAATCAGCCACCTATCAATCACGTTTATGAGTTGAACTTCTCTTTTTAAAATAGAGGTTCTATCTTCAAAATGCCTCCCCCTTTTTTGGTTACTTGACTTGCAAAATTTAGTGTTGGGTTTCATGCATAGCCCCAAACTTCAAATCTCTGCAGATGGTGGAAGGAATGAGTAGAGCGGAGGGGCTACAGAAGATGGCACAATCATCTATATTGAAATCTATAGATATGGATATAGTAGGATAGTGTCCCAGAAAGAAAAGACGTGAACCCTAATGGAATTAGATAATAATTAACATGGATGGGGGCATATGTACATTGTCATTAAGAAAATAATCACAGATAATAGGACACTTGGATGTAGCTCTTGCTGTGCACTATGTTATAAGTCAAGTTGTGTCTTCAGGGTGTTTATTGTGAGGCTCAATTTTTGCCCAAATGAAACTTACGTTTTGTTGTGTGTGGCAGAGGATGTTGTTGGGAATGATGATGAGGAGAGAAGCAGAGGAAAGGGAAGGGTCAAGGTAGCAGGAGCAGACCCCATTTTTGGACACACCAATGAATGATTATCCTACACGTGGTAGAACCCTGCCCACCCCGCCCCCAACCCCACTCATTCAAGCTGGAAATAAAAGCAAACAAACAAATAAACAAAAACAAAAAGAAAACAAATCTAGAATAACAGAAAAAAACAAAAAGAAGCCCAAGCTGGTTTGCTCTCCGCAGTGTAGATTAAAGTCTGTGATATGGAGAAGCAGGCGTTGCTCAGAGGACCTAGGATTTCTTATCAAAACTTGATGAAGAAGTGGGCTAAGAGGGTCCCTGATAGCCAGAGACAAGCCAGTGCTCTGGAGGCCGAGTTTACACCATCAATGACTGCTCCAGGCCCTGTGTAGGGGAGAGAGAGACAGACCCATTAGCATACACCCAAGGACACCATAGTTCTTCCCTGACAAGCAAATACACATACATGCTTCCCACCTTCCACCCTTCCGCTGACCATTCCAAGTCTAAACAAAGGAAAAAGCCCATTGGGAGTATTTAGGAACTCAAAGGGGCAAGCTGTTGGGATGCCTTGACCAATGCAGCCTGCTCTGAAAGACTATGCTTAAAAAGTAAATAGGTGAAGCTCAGGCTAGTCATTGAGGCCCGTGGGCCCAAAGGTTAAGGCAACACATGGAAAGGCAGACCTGCTGGCTGTTTTCTAATCAGTGCCTCTAACTGTGTGCTATACTTGGAGAGTGTCCAGTACAGACAATGATGAGTCGGGGGGCACAAGGCCAGAGAGGCAAGGAGCAGATGGTGGGGTAGGAAGGGGAGACGGATGGAGACATAAGTCCAAGTGTTGATGTAGCAGACTTGTCAACCTCAATGCATGCAACCTAGGTGTTGTGGAGGCTCCTCCTGCAGCAGCTAAGGAAGGAGGAACAATCATCCCCATGGGTTTTAAAGGCTGGAATTAGGCTTGTCCCAGCAGTCAGTGCTGCCTCCCTAAAGGCCTTGAAGCAGATCAACATGCCCAAAACAGACTGCCCCTGAAGATTCCACCCAAGGGGCTCTCCCTTGATTTTTTTCTAGCTTCTCTCTCTCTCTCTCTCTGGCCCCTTCCTGTATCCCCAATAAATCATTCAAGGTCCACCGGGAAATAAGTCCACAGTATCATGAGTGCTGTTCTTTTCCCCTCACCTTCCATGGCTCAAGAAGACAAATCACATGAATTGGTATTATCCTAGCCTGCTTCAAGGGCAGGTGTATCTAACTTGGACCAGGTGTTCCTCCATCACCTTTATCAGCAAGCACATAGGGTGGTACGCAAGACTAGGAGCCAGCAGCAAGTGTATCCCAGAAAAAGCAAAATCTATTATTACCAAGGGATTAAAAGCCATTACGAGGCATTTCTATAAAACTAGTGAAGAAGCAAAGGAGATTCAAAGGAGACAGTACACCTCTTCTACCATCTCAAGCCAGGACTTCACAGCTTCTTTGAGAAGCAAATTGGCCTACTGGAAATAAGCTGAGGTGCAGCAGAACCTCTTTAGACAGGACTAGTTCATTTGGCTTGCCTGTCAACCTTATGGTGAGGATTCATGCCTTGCCCAGGAGGGACTGATGGGAACATTTTACTTTGGGAAAGTCACGTCTCTCACTTCAGCAATGAGTATACAACTGTTCCTCTCCACTAATCTTAACATGAATACCTTTTCTTTCTACTTAAAATATACATGCTTTTATGGACTAAAAGTCATATTTACTTGATAGCTTGAAGTCTGACTCATATTAGCCTGCATTTTTGTCAGAGAATATTCACAAAAAAGGGCGGAATCCAGGTTGTAGCGACATGTTAATGTCCCAGAGGAGGCTCCATAGATATTGATGGAAAGTAGCCTGACTGTGGGGCCTCCAGCAGTCCTGGCACACATCCTGAGAAATCATACTGGCCTGCAGAATGCACTGAGCTAGAAATGCTCAGGTTGAAGCTCAAGGTAATTCTCTACATATTGTCTTTGAAAGATGAGTGATTTAGGTTTTTAAATAAGTTTATTTACATTTTTAAATAAAAATATGTACATAAAGCTACTTTTAAAGAAACATATGGGCAGATTCATAAGGCCCATATGTTTCTTTAAAATTATCTTTTTGTATATATTTTTCTTAAAAAGTATTTTCATGACATATATGGCATATATACTAGACTAGTTTTGTATGTGTATATGTATATACGTATATATATATGTCTTTGTCTAATTATTATTTTGAGCTTAAGAAACAATTGAAGCCCTGATATGCTCCACTCTAGACAGAACTCTTGAGTATAGGAGTCATTCTATCCCAAGTTCTACCAGTGAACTGAAACATTCCTGTGGATACCATGCCATCGGCCCAAGGTTGAATATAGCTAAAGCAAAGAGGAGTGGGGCAATATACACAGAAAACAGACCATGGAAGAGTGGGGCTCAGAGAGAGAAGGAGGCAGAATAGTAAAAGGAAATGAGTGTTTCTGGTGGTGAGCAGCAGTTGCCATCGGATGCTTGGTGCTTACTGGGTGGAGGTTTACAGTCATATTCAGCTTCTGTTGAGCATTCTCAAGAGTGGAAATGAAAGGGAGACTTAGCAGGTATGTAGGCTGCTCAGCCTGCTTAGGGCAATGATGACAACACACGTTCACACCGTGCTCTCCACGTGGCAAGCACGATTCTAAATGCTAAACATATAATCAGTCATTTAATCATCACATCAACCCTATGAGCTATGTGCTACTGTCATTCCCACTTTGTAAACAGGAAAACTGGGAACAGAGCAGTTAGACATCTTAGCTATGGCCACGCAACTTATGCACCTTGAGCTGGATTAGAACCAAGTCACTGTCCTCAGAATCTATGCCCTTAATTGTTACAAGTCTACTTCCTCTCTGTAGAAAATGACCATTTGTGCAGGTTTTCCAGGGACCACAGTATCATGGTGTGAGAGAAACAATGGACTGGGAATGCAGTGTCTCTGTATGAATGTGCTGCACCCTAGCTGAGTGACGTTCCCTCTCCGGGCTTTGCTTCTCGCATTGCAAATTGAGAAGAGATGGGGTTTGATGACCTGTGAGGTCCTTCTTCTATTAGCTCTCTGAGTTATTACATGAATGGAAATTCTGCATCCAGGTGTTAGGAGAGATAGTTGGTGAGTAGCCAGACAGCCTTCTTCAGTTGAAAGAAAACCGTCAACACGTGCCTTTTGCACTTCAGAATTCCATCTCCCCTGAGACAGCAAGAGGGCACCGAACACTCTAGTCCCTAAAGTTTCCCTTTTGCAGCCCCATTTTCTATGTGGCTTCAGGGAGTTTTATTCTTCAGCAGCTATGATGAGCACCTGCTTTGTCGTATCAAATGCCATAGCAATTTACTGCCAAAGTGCCTTTGGTCAATTGGTGTATGAGAAATGGCTGGGCTATTGTGGCCAGAGAATGAATTTAATCCACTACGATACACAGTGAAGCTAGCATCACTTTCCTCATACAGATCCTGGGCACATTTGAGACTTGTCAGCTGGGCCAAATGCCAATGCGGTGAGGGCTCTGCCGGAGGGCTCTCCAGCTGTGTTTGGAGCTGGTACATCTATGTACACTCTCTAGACTTGAAGAGTGTGAGACAAAAGCCATGGGCAATGAACTCATTCTTTAATTGCATCTTTGCAGTAGCCCTGTGTAACTGGAAATGAGGAAAAGAAAGTTTCTGGGTTAGTTCTCTCCCACTAGGCTGCTGTATGCTACAGTTGCTCACCTAACTTGGCCAAATGCTTTTCTGCTTTAATATAAAAGTGATGGGTTGCTGCAATTTAAGTAATTTGGTGTGGTCCCATGGCCTCGGGGCTCACGTTTGGTCCCATGGGTTACCATGAGGCTTTTGTAAATGTTAGCTCAACAAAGCTACAGAGCCACCTGTGTGACAGGGGAGGACATGGTTTTGAAGGAACTATTCAGGCTGAGCTCAGCAGTGGTAGCACTGAAGCTTGCATACATGGCTTCAGAGTCAGATTGAGTACAGTTTTCTTAGAGCATGGCCTCGGCTGGTAACAGCTGCATGGACTTCTCCAGGTACTTGGTACCCAAGATGATACAATTTTGAATTTCAATATATAGGGTCAGAAACCCAGATGTTTGTATTTATTCATTTATTGGTAAAAATTGGAAGAAAGGTGATTCTTCTCTAAAACCTAGAATACTAGAGGCAGTTTTTTTTTTTTTTAGATGGAGTCTCGCTCTGTCGCCCAGGCTGGAGTGCAGTGGCGTGATCTCGGCTCACTGCAAGCTCCACCTCCTGGGTTCACGCCGTTCTCCTGCCTCATCCTCCCAAGTAGCTGGGACTACAGACGCCTGCCACCATGCCCAGCTAATTTTTTGTATTTTTAGTAGAGACGGGGTTTCACCACGTTAGCCAGGATGTTCTCGAACTCCTGACCTCGTGATCTGCCCACCTCAGCCTCCCAAAGTGTGGGGATTACAGGTGTAAGCCACCATGCCCGGCTGAGAGGCAGATTTTTAATGACATATTCTATTCCAGAAAACTGATGCTAAAATGCACCCGGATAAAAGCCCACGGGTTTGGAAGAAAGGCGAAGGAGCAGACTTCCTGGAAGCATAACTGAGAAAACATCCCTAGGGACCTCAGGAAATGCTCTCTACGCTCCCCCGGGGTAAGGTCGCTGACCGCAATCTGGCAATGTTGGAGTTGGACCCATTTGGATTTAAATTCTGACCCTGTGGGTTGCCAGCTCTGTGATCTTAGGCAAGATACTTCCTGTTTTCTCACTGAAAACAGGCATGATGATGCTGAGTTTGCAGGACTGATTGAAGGATGAACGTAATCAGTAGAGTGCCTGGTACAAAGTAGTCATGTGATCATGGCAACTGCTGTTGGAACAGGACCTGCACACCTCCCTGTCCCTTTCTTAGTGGAGACTAATACTAGCTTGTTTAGATAGTTCCAAAATATGTTGAACCTGGGGTGAGGTATTGGTAAGGGAGTGAGTAAAGAGGTGAGATAGCTTAAGATTGCAGCTGAGAGAGACCACTGGCTGTGAGGGCTCTGGAGGATGTGGGGCATTGAGCAGGGCACTGGGAGCCAGCCACAGCCAAGCTTCCTGGCTAGGTCAAAGGGTAATGTGTCCATCCTGCAATGGAGACGGGCCCCAAGCCAACCTTGGGAAATGTTGAAGTCGTTCATTCAACATATGTGAATTGATCCCTGCCATGCACTAGGCTCTGCTTTCACAAAGAAAGACAGAAACAGTCCATACCTTCAAAAAGCACAAACTTCAGGAGGAGCTAGCTTATCCTCTGTCCTTGATTAAATAAATAAACAAATAAACAGACAAATATTTTTTTTAAACCATCAGAGATTCTGGGAAGAAAGCCATTTGGAACAAATAACCCTAAATCCCTTTCATCTCAGGAACATCCTGCCTGTTGGATAGTCTTAAGAGCATTGATTTTAAGAGTCAGAACTGAATTTGAATTCTGGCTCTGCTATCCAATAGCAGGAAGACTTTGGACAAGACCGCCGACTACTCTGAAACAGTTTATTTTATGTATAAAATGTGGAAGGAGTAGTTCTATCTACCCTTGCAGGATTGCTCTGAGAATGAGTTAAGATGGTGTGTGCAATCATCAAGTACAGAGTAAAGGATGATGAAATATTAGGTGAGTTGGAACTAAGGCAAGAATTGCTAATCCATAAAACAGCATCTTGTGTGGGGGTTCTGCTTTTAAAGAAAGAGGTGTTCTAGAATACTAGGTTCTCAAAGGTTACTCTCCAACACCAGCTGAAAGCAAGCTTGGCTCTGGCTGGTAATTGGGTGACCTTCTCCCTTCTGGAAAGGCCTGAAGTGGCTGCTAACCACAGGTAAAATCTTCCTAATGAATGGCAGCTATTCTGAGGAAGCGTATTCAGTAGCCCAGTACTTTCTGTGGGCAAATGCCACATTTAAGGACTCTTTCTCTATTTATGGTTAGCAATAATTCAATTGAACTAGAATGGCTGCTACAAATATCAGGCTTAATTAAATATTTTCAGGGATAAATGGAAAGTGAGAACATGTAATTATGCCCTTTACCATTATTCCAGCACCTCCTCCTTCACCCTTTTTAATGTTAAAAATTAATGGCTTCTTCATGCCTGAAGTTAAGCATCTTTAAAAATATAAGCTGAAATGAAGATGCAAAGCCACAAAATAAACTGAGTGACAACACAGTGACAACAACAAAATACTTTGGGGACAGGTATACAGACAAATAAGATTTCCTTTAGAATATAGAAAGAATAGTTAGAGACCAGATATGGTTAAGAGACAAGTTTCAGAAATGACAAAGGGATCCATTTGTGTGGACATTATGGCCAGAGCAGGTCCATGCAGCTACAAGGGAAGCTCAGCAGGGGTAAGACACATAGCAACAACAACAACAAAAATGAACAAATAAAAATTCTACTTTTGAGAGGCTACGTGTCTTGGTAAATTGCTAGGTTTGTGCAAAAGTCATCATGGTTTTTGCCATTACTTTTTTTTTAGAGACCGAGTCTCACTCTGTCACCCAGGCTGGAGCGCAGTGGCACGATCTCGGCTGAATCTGCCTTTCAGGTTCAAGTGATTCTCCTGCCTCAGCCTCCCAAGTAGCAGGGATTATGGGCATGCACCACCATGTCTGGCTAATTTTTGTATTTTTGTAGAGATGGGGTTTCACCATGTTGCCAAGGCTGGTCTTGAACTGCTAGCCTCAAGTGACCCACTCGCCTCGGCCTCCCAAAATGCTGGAATTACAGGCATGAGCCACCACGCCTGGCCTAAACATTAGATTTTTTAGAAGAAAATTTGGTTGAAGGCTTAAAACAGAATAAAGCCACACCTACCACATAAGAACGGGGAATTTCAAGCCTGGCCATCCTGGCACTAAGCTTTTGCTGCTGCATTCAGGGGTGGCTCACCACCCTCTTGAGTGGCAGGTGTTGACAATCACAGTACCCAAACTCAGCACAGAGCTCTCAGAAAAAAATATAGAAGCTTCCTGCTGAGATCCTGCCTCATGAGAGATTTTGAGGCTTAAAAATGTAGTGTATATAACAAGCCATGAAGGTATTGGAATGTGTCACTGGTTTTCCTTTCCATGATTACAATGAAAATATGACATCGATCTCCAGCAACCATAAACTATATAGCTGAAATTCTACTAAAATGGCAGATGGTAGGGTGACCACACTAAAAAAGAAAAGAAAAAAAAAGCCCCTAGGCAAGTTGAGCTTGTTGACAGCACAGTGAGATTAATGAAATATCTGAAGTCTAAGAAGATACGGTTTTGTTCTGAAATCTGGATAGGTTTTGTAAGTATGATTATGAACTGTGTGACCTTCCTAATGAGGAACCAAGAGGATAATGATGTTCTTGGTGATTAAAAGAGGAGCAAAGAAATCTAATTAGATGATGTATGTGTTACACTTGTTGGTGAAACATAAAGCTATTTTTAGAGGTGCTGGCTGATGAAGGCACATCACTTCCCTTCAAAGGGAACTTTTCCTCCATTGAGTTTAATTACAGCGGCAAACGTGGCGCTGTGTTGTTTCACAAGTAAGATCAACCAACGAGGCTCTGCAGCACAACTGAAACCAGTCGATAAAGAGGCAACCATCTTTCTTCTGTTCTCCTTAACACACCCTGTTTTGTGCTTACTACAAAAACAAAAGCTTAAGAAGTTAATATCAGAAGTTAATTCAAATCCGTCAGCTCATCACAAACCTGGAAGAGACAAGACTTGAGTCTTTGTTGAACCATAAGCTCTGTGTCTGTGCTGACATCAGCACACCCTGAACGCTCAATGTTAAATTCTAAATGCTCAGGCTAATAGCCAGATGTCAATGATTCAGAGCGAGGAGGGCGGGGTACGAGCAAACCACAAGGAACCTCATCAAGAATGAAATGGGAAATGTCTGCAGTTTTTTTCTACTATGTTGACATTTTGCAGGTTGGGGGAAAATACAAATGATTACGCTGCTGTCATCAGCCAAAAGCAATGGTGTTTCTCTCTGACTCATTCCCTTCCCACCTGGATTTAAATTGTGGAGTTGAAAAATAAAAATCATACACGTTATCAGCAGGAAATGGACAAATATGTGCAGCTTTTGATGTCTCTGCAAGAAGATATCATGTGATGAACGTCTTCCTAAACAGAGAATTGGAATATGTGGTATAGCCTCCTTCAAAAGGGAGATCTGGGATGGGGGTCCCTAAATTTTAAATTAGATTTGGAACATACAGGAGGCCAGAACGCAAGGGAAAGTCAGAAAAATAGTCATTTGGCTTCCCTGAGGGGAGGGGACTACAAGTCCTCTTGGGTATTTGGCTTTTCTTTGGTTAGTGAAAGGTATGAAACTGTATAGAGGCTATAACTGATGCCCTCATTGGCTGGAAGATATATTTATTAATTCAACAAACAGTTACTGGGCAACGCTCACTGGAAGATATAGTGTTACATCTTCTAAGTGCAGAAAATGACACAAACAAAATATAAGCATAGGGGTAATCTACCATGAGAGCCCAAAAGATGAGGGATTGATTCTTCAGCGGAGCTCACAAATGCTTTACATATGGGGCATCATTGAGCAGAGTCCAGAAAGTATGCACTCATCAGGCAGAGAAGAGGGCACAAGCCTGCCTCTGAGACCCTCCAGCACACTGGGAGACACAGTATATGGGTTTGAAAGAAACAGGGGATTAAGATCAGACAGACCTAGGTACAAAACCTGCTGCTGTCCCTTGCCCCTTCCATCCATGGTGGAATCCCTCCTACCTGGGGGAATTCAGTAACATCATTTGTTCTTTGAGCTCTAGGCTCTTCTTCTGTCCAATGAAAAATGATAACAATATCAATCTCAAAGTGTTCTTATGTGTCTAAAGCCATGTGTGGCTGACACTCGATAGCTGGCAGCTTCTTCATTCCTCAAGCATGGCACTTCCTATATTTTATTGTAACTGTCTATTTACTTGTTTGTGCAAGATCAGAAATTCTGTTTCTCCTGGTACTTTAGTCCTTAGTATAATTCCTGGCATACAGTAGGCACTAAACAAATATTTGTTGACTAGATGAATGGATGGAGGGATGGATGGATGGATGGATGGATGGATGGATGGATGGATGGAGAGTGGCAACAGCATGATGTGTAACGGGATCTGGGACACAGGGGGCCCAGCCTGGTGGATGCAGGGAAGGTTGCAGGTGGAGTGCTGGGGACACTTGAAGCTATAAGGCTACGCTGATCTCACAGCGAGAACAGCCTTAATGCCAAGCTGTTCTGGGAGGCAGAAGTTTTCAGCAATCGAAATGACAAGGTTCATTCTGAGTTTTGGAAATGTCACTTGGCCCTGCTGTGGCAAACCGACAGGAGTTGGATTGCCGAAGAAAGATGAGGGAACCAGTGAGAGGATATCACAATTGTCCATGTGAGACGTGTGCCACAATGTGAGTGATAATGGAGATGGAGAAGTCAGAGGAAAGGCCATTTGGTGGGACTTGATGGCTAACAGATGTGAGGAGTGAGGGAGAGGAGGAAGTCAAAAATGACCAGAGATTCTAGAGAGTGTGCAGGGGAAGAGCGAGGCATGCCCCGAGCGTTCCCAGCGGAGAAGGGCTGCCTTTGAGACCCCTGCGGAATATTCAGGGAGAGAGAGTGGCTTGTAGCTCAGAATTCAGGAGAGAACTAAAGACACAAATTCAGGAATTATCAGGCTGTTGTTCAGAGGCCATCAATCTTCAGTGTGCATAGGATTCCCTGGGAGAGCTTCTTAAAAAGTACATTCTCAGGACCTTCCCTAGAGATTTCGATTAAATGATTCTGGGGCAAGGCTCACATATCTGCATTTTTAAAGCATCCGGAATAAGGCTAATGCAGGCCAACAAATACCTCACCACTGGGTGCCTGAAGGTACAGAAGAGCCCTTCCCCTCTCACCATAGGCTGACCCCCGGGAAGACTGATAGGGCAGGTGCCGGAGGAGCTAGAAGCAGACTGAGGAAGGTAAGGAGACAGTCACCACCCGGTTATATCACATAAGCCAGAAGTGGGGCATTGTGGGGTGAGAGGGGCTCTGGCACTGAGACGAGGTCGGGTGTTAGAGGGAGACAGATCGTGGTAGCTGAGGCATAAGTAGGTTTGAGAAAGGCAGATACAATGCGAATTCTCCCTCCCAGAGGCCTGTGGCTGGAGGGAAGAAAAGGCACGGGTGAGGCATGGAGGTCGCACTGAAGAGAAGCTCAGTCTTTGTGCCCCCTCTCCATGTCCCAGCTAGAGCCACCTGGGGATAGGTGTAGTTGTGAAGACGCCCTAATACAGACATGGAACGAGAAGATGGAGGGGGAAGAGGAGGGAGGTGGGGGATAAGGCAGCGGCGATGAGGGCTCTGCCCATGGGTGGGATGGTTTCCCATGAGAAGGAGGTCAGCAAAGGGCAGATGAGAGCCGCTGCCTGGTGCAGGCTCTGGCAGAAGGAAGTCCGGCTCAGAGAGCCAGTCTGATATGTATATTTATTCTAGAAGAATGGCCATTAGCAAAAGAAAATAGAGATTACGCCCTCATGGCTCCCAGGAGCCGCGAGGCAGGCTGGAGTCACAGCTGCTCCAAGAGGGCTCAGGCTTGGCCTGAGGAAGAAACTCTGTGCACAGATGTTGACTTAACTGGAGCGTTTTCCTTTTTCACTTGCGATGACAGGATTCCTATGAGTTGTCCCTGCGCCCTACACTTAACTCTTAATGTAACTGATTTGTGTCGCTGCAATTTCACAGATAAAATGTGAGAAATTTGTTTTTCTCTCTGCAGTCTCCCCCCTCCGTCTTGGCTTTGTTTGCGTTCTCTCTCCCCTTCCCCTGCCAGTTCCAGTCATCCAGGCGTTTACATGCCTCATTAAGCACGTCGCACTCTCTGCAGTGCCAGATGTAATCAAGTCCAGAATCTTCCTTCTCTGCACACTAAGGACAGGATGGGGGGATGGGGCTTCTTGCTCAAGGCCCAGAGGGGACAAAGGGGGTTGGCGAACTGAGAGAAAGTGAGTCACCTCCACAAGGGACAGAGCTGTGGTCAGCAAGCTGAAACCCAGCCACCCCTGCTGTACTTAGGCCTGGCAAGACTTCGAGGTGCCAAGGGGCTCCCTGTGGACCTTCCAATGGCTGCACCCACTCAGTAAAGCTAACGAATGCTTAGAGCAAGCTGATTTGCAATGGTTGGAGCAAGCTACTGTGCAAAGATTGTCCATGGTTATGGTTGATAGCTTTTGGAGACCTGTTCCTTGCCTTTTGTTCCCATTGTTTCCCAAATTCAGCCCAGACACTTAGAAAGCTGAAAGTAACCTTGGAGTTCATCTTGCTCTGCTTTTCTGTTTTACGCATGACTTAGGAACAGACAGCATCACAGTTTGTCTGTATCAGAGTCAGGACTGGAACCCCGTGTTCCTTGCTGCTGGCGTTGACCGCCTTTCCACATCGGGCCACTTTTCCAGCACCTGCAGTTGCCTGGGGCTAAGGAAAGTGGGTGGTCTAAAATATGGCTGTGAGTTGGCGCTCTGCCTAGCTGACCACTCTGTCCTTGTGGCTCTGTGTGGGGAAGGCAACCGGTGTGATAAAGAAGAAGCATTTCATATCAGTGCCAACAGCTGTTTCATCTTGGACGATCACCTACCATGTTGTCACTCACACGTTTCTAGTCATTTCAGGTTTCCAACCACTCACCAACCCATTGTCTCCAGTTTTTGCCCTCTGCATTCTTTCAAAATTGCTTATATCCCATTTTCCTTTGCTCTTTGCTTGTAGGTATGAAATATATAAAAGATGTAGTGTGAGAGAGGCACGCTGTGAAGGGATCACGGGGCAGAGTCAAAGAGGGCTCTCAGAAAACAGACTGACCGTCTGTGAGAGTAAATACAAATGCATGCCTGCAGATGGGGACTGTGTGTTGGGGAAGTAGGAGCATACGGGTTGCAAATCTAAAAATTGTCCTTTACAAGAATGGCTTCAGAAGTAGATAGAAGAAAGGAGAATTTGATGTGGGAGATGGGTCCAAGAAGACTAATTGCTGATATGAGGCTCCATTTGGAAAGTCACCATGTCCATGATGGGTTGCCAGGTCTTATGAGCTGGATTGCAATAGGAGCAAAGTGCTCCAGCATGGGAATGGGAGTATATAGCCTCAAATCCCAGCACAAGCACTGATAAGCCAGGGTGTTTTGAGTTATCTGCCTAACCTCTCAATTTCCTCAAGTGTAAAATCAGGATAAATATAGTACTTACTTCATAGAGTCACTAAGGGTGATAAAAAAGGAAAAGCACTTAGTCTAGTACCCTGTACACAGTAAATGGTTGGTAATAATTAGGCATAATTATGGGGGCATTGAGGACTAGGAAGAGCATCCCTGGCCAGGAGAAAGAGCAGGTCAACCAGACACTATCTGTCTGATCTTGTGCTGAAACTATTGCCACACAGTCATAGGATCAGAGAATTGTGCCTTGTAGGGACCACAGAAACCAAACATCTTATCCAAAATGCCTTCACTGATTAAAAATATAAAAGACCCACTGAGATTGACCTTCCCAAAGCCATTCAGCCAGCGAGCAGCATAGGGTGAGACACATACCCCTTCCTCTATGCCATGGCATTTCAATTCCTGACAGCTAAATTGTGGCTGTGACCAATACGTCCTTTCCATCCCCACATATATTCACACATTCATTCATTCCACAAAGTTTTCCTGTGAGCTACTGTGTGTAGAACCTTGTATTAGGTCCTAGGGATTAAGCCAGGTATAGCCCCTATGTTCCTGGAGCTTACAGGATAAAGAGGAAGAAATACTTTAAACAAACAACTTTTGAAATATTAAACAAAAACAAAATTACAACTAGAAGATAAAGTCTATAGAAACAAGGAATCTATCTGTTGAGTCACTGCTGTCTCCTGATCACATAGAACAGTGCCTGGCTTGTAACGGGTCCTAAATGCATGTTTGCTAAATGAATGCTAGACAATGCTCTGTGTGAGTGCAGCAGTCAAAGGCGCGGAATGAGTGGATGCAGAATTGGGGACTGGCCTGCTCAGAGAGGTCAGGAAAGTCTTCCTTCAGGAAGGGATGCTGAA
Organism: Homo sapiens; assembly: GCF_000001405.40. Lineage (NCBI taxonomy): Eukaryota > Metazoa > Chordata > Mammalia > Primates > Hominidae > Homo > Homo sapiens. Next base: position 132,433,053 of record NC_000011.10, read on the forward strand.
TGCAAGTGTGTGCCAACAGGGTGAAGTGAGATAGGGTGGGTTATAGGGACCGTGAATGCTGGAGAGGAAGGGCACAGGGGACTTTGGAGGAAGGAAAAGAAGTCCAGTTGAGCAGTGACTCTGGCAGGCATATGGGGGGAAGAGGCGATAGCATGGGCCATGTCACAATAAGTGTTGGCGGGTACCAGTAGAAACACGACAGTATTCAGTGAGTCATGCCGCTTTGATGAACATTGTCTTATTGACAATTCACAGTGACACTCTCATGTCCACAGGTCAGAAAATATCACCCTACTTAGCCGAGTGGACTCAGGCCTGTGGTTTTTGTTTGTGGTCGAATCCACACATCTAAATGTAGCATTTATGGGATTCTGAATGGACACAACCTGATTTAATCCTGTCACCAGTCTCTTGAAGCAGGCGTTAATGTCCCAATAGCATATATGCGGGAAGGAAGACTCAGCAAGTTTAAGTGAATTGGGATGTGAAGGCTGAATTGGGATGTAAATGTCTGCCTGTGCTATGGGCTGAATCGCATCCCTCTACTACCGAATGTCTATGTTGATGCTCTAACCCCCAGTATGTCTGTATTTGGAGGTGGCACCTATAGGGAAGTAATTAAGGTTAAGTGAGGTCATAAGGGTGGGACCCTGATCCAATATAGTTACTGTCCTTATCAGAAGAGACACCAGAAAGCTCCCTCTCTCTCTTTTTCTATGAGAATTCAGAGGAGAAACCATGTGAGGACATAGCAGCTGTCTGCAAGCCATGAGGTGAGCCCTCACAGGAACCACCTTGGCAGAAACCTGCATCTTGGACTTCTAGCCTCCAGGACTTTGAGATAATAAATGTCTGTTGTTTAAGCTATCCCATCGGTAGTATTTTGTTACAGCAACACAAGCCAACTAAGACAGTTTTGGTATACACTGGTTGTTGTTATCTGCCATGACACACCTCTTTCTTAGTGAAGGGCAGAGAGAGACAAGAAGGGCCATTGGGTTGTCAGTCCTGTGCCCTTCTCTGCATCATACTCCCTGCAACAGCAATCCCACCAACCATGGGGATAATGGCAGGTTGTGGCAGGGAAGTGACTCAATCCCACCCTATCCTCTCAGTGTTTTTAAGACTAAGGCATGGGTGTTCCTGGTCACTGGGATGCGGGCAGCACTATACATCTGTGAGTGTCTTGGATCAAGAGCTGTGAGCAGTGATAGTTGAGGAGCTGATTTCAGGTCTAGAAAATTCAAATGTCATCTCTTTGCATGTGAATGAGATTGACATCTTAGAACAGTAGGGTTGAGGGTCTTCCAGTTCTGGAAGCAGAGCTGAGCAGCAGCTACTGCTTCTTCTAAATGCCTCAGCGACTGTGTAAGAGTGTGTGTGAGTGCATGCATGTGTGTGCCTGTTTCTCTTTGCTGACGCTGTGGGCAAATGCTCCAATACCTAATACAGGGCTCCATCTCTAGGTCTCATCCAGTATCTATTCATTAGCTAAGTGGTCTTCAGTGTTACCCAAGCTCTTTAGTCCTCCTTTCACTTACCTGTAAAATGGGGTTAATAACCTGCCTTGCACAGCCCTGACATGATGCCTAGAAACCAGTACACGTTTGGTAAATAGCAGATATTATGATTATAATAATGATCCCAAGTACTTTTATTTTAAAATAAAGTTTTTAGAACTAAACCATTAGCCCTGTTTGCCTTGGGCTAAAAGAATAAAACATTCATAGTAGGGTGACGTCCCCACTGAGACAGTTATCTATTAATCCAGTTGGTCTCTGGGCTGGGTTGCTCTTGGTGCTGCTGTGTACAGAAATAGCAGAATGAGCATTCTTTTCAAAGATGACCAAATATAAGGTTCTTGTTTTGGGGGCAAAAACCCCTTCCCCTGAAACACATAAAGCTATTCCACAGAGTGCATTTGAAAGCCATCATATTCTACATGCTTATTATCTAAACTGTGTAAACCAAGCCCCTTGAGGTCTATCTACCTCAGAGACATAAATTACAGAGGTGAAGCAGGCAAGCCTATCTTTGAAGTAGGCTAAAACTCAAAGGCATAGGCATTCAGGCAGGCAGAGGTAGGAAGGAACATGCTGTACCCACCTGCCACTGCTGATGAGGGGCTTATTTCTAAGACACACACAGCACAATGCACACACAATGCAGAGAGAAAACAAAAGACATAGATCACACATTTCAGATGGTTGGTGGACAAAGTTTACTTAATGTCAGTGCTGAAAGCTTGTGTCTGAGGTGCACGTGGAAACGTGGATACCTCTCTTCATCCTTCATCCTCTCATCCTACTCATCGGATGCTTCCCTCTAATCAAACCTCAGCAAATAAACAAATACATATGCACATACAGTATCACAACAAGCTGGCCCTGGCCCATGGTGTGAAATGTTGCAGAAGGATATGGATGCGGCAGTGTGGGAAAATGGAGTTAGGGAGACATAGGGGCTTTAAAGGAGGTCAGTCCTGGCTCCCAAGCCTTCTCCACCCATATGGGAGGGAAAGATCTTCAGAGAGGGTTTGCTGCTCCAGTTGTGGATAGAGCAGCCACCTGATAAGGTCTCAGACTACTACTCCATTCTTCCCCATGGATGAGAATACGAAATGCAAGCAACATGAGAATCATGATGGAAGCAGGTGACTTGGTTTAAAGCAACAAATATCACCCCCAGAATCAGAGACTCCAACTACAGAAGGCATCTTAAAATTACACAGTTGAATTGACCCATGGTTCTATCTTCTTTATACAAAAACCATTCTACCTGATTCACAGTTTGGTTTACTGCTATTGTAAGGGCAAACTTTGCCTTTTAATGACCATGAAATATCAATTACTGTGTAACTATCTCTGCATGGCATGCTAGGGGAATGGCAGGGAGAAGTATGTCTTATCTACAGGTGGTGGGTTGAGTAGGATGGATGGACACAGGCCAAGCAGATTGCAACTTCCTCCCTCCTGAGTCCCTCAAGCTTCCCCATGTGGCTGAGCCCACTGCATCCAGGCTTCCAGCACTCACCATACAATGTGATGCTGGCATTGGTGTTCCCAAGCTTGTTCGTGGCCACACAAGTATAGTTCCCATAATCCTTTTCTGAAACATTGAAGAAAGTCAGAGTGGACATGCGGCCTTTGTTTTCAATCCTCATTCCATCCAGACCAGTGGCTAACCTGCAAGAGGGAAGACATTGCTATCAATTCATTCTACAAAGAGGCCCTCCTCCTCACCAAACTCTTTTCTCCAACTAATCTCGTCCTTCAAACTCAAACCCTAAGCACTTCAGTGTCCAACAGGAGGAGAAGGGAAATGATGCTCTTGCCCAATGGGATAAATGTACTGGCTTCTAATTCCCAACGACTGACATGTCTACAACCAGTCTCAGATTCAGAATCATGGTCAGTTCATTTTCTCCACTTCCCAGCCTCCTCCATTTTTTTTCTCGTTGTAAAAATAGACTTTGTTACAAAAGAGGGCATAGTATATTTCTGTTTTGCCTTATCTTTCCCCTTTTCTTCATCCTCATCCTTCTCCCATGTGGGGATAGACCATCAGCTCTGCTTCAGAACTGTCCAGGTGTCATTTAAAAGGTACCTGGTTTCTTCCTTGAACCACTGGAATTCAGCCATGGGGACTGCAGAGGCTTCACAGCTCAGGATGCCCTTCTGACCGACTGAAACACCAGTGTTCTTGGCTTTTGAGATATAGGGAGGATCTGTGGGAAACACACACACACACATGCACAGGCATGCACGCACGCACACACAGAGTGATTTCGTGAAAGAGATGAAGGGCACATCCAGCCATTTGCTATGTAAATGGATTTCTTGTGACAACCCTCTTTCCCAGTAAAATAATCATTTATTTCAGGAAAAATAAGCTGCTTGAAGATACTGCATTGACCCCAACCTCTTTTTCAGGCCTCCAAACCCATTCTCAGTTAACAATTCTCTCCATTTGCTGAAAACTCTGGCAGTCACAGGAAGATTCCAGGGACAAATGGCACGGAGGCCATGGTGGGCAAAGCCATCTGATGAAGTATTTTCCTGTTGGCAGGAACCTGGGTCCTTTGGAAAATGGCACTGCCATTACCAGATTGTCCACCTACTCCCTGTGCCGTCTTTTCCCCAGAACCCCCTGGCTGCAGGTCCACTCACAGTTTACAGTGATTTTTACTTTCCGCACATCGGGCGCAGCGACATCGTTCAACGCGCTGCATTCGTACTCCCCGGACTGGTCTCGCTTGATGTCAGAGATCTCCAGGTACTCATCCTCACTTACAAAGCCCTGGCCTTCTGGGAAGAAAGAAGCAGACAGGAAACAATCAGGAAACTGTGTAACCAGGGACAGAACCATATTCACATCTAGAGATTGTAGGAGGAGGAAGAGAAAAAGCCATCAGAATGGAGTAGGACATCAAGTCAAAGACATAGGGCATCATGTTGCTCAAAAGATACGGCAAAGGAAGAAAGAAATTCTGTGCTTGAGTCTTGCATCAATGTATTTTCAGTCAAGTCACTTAACTTTCTTAGAGCATTTGGTAAGAACATGTCATTATTTTTCTTATATGATTATTGTGATAATTAACTCAGAGATGACATGATAAATACTTCAGTGCATTGCCAAACTGATATTTTAAAAAGAACTGTCATGATCAATAATATAATAAAACTATGGAATAACTTTAGGGTATGTTACTGTGGAGCACATCTTAATTTTTCATTTGTAGAAATGTTTTTGTATGCAGAATACAAACTACTACTTGTAGAACGAATAAGTAAGCATTCTACCCTTTAATATAAATAGATGCAAAGTAGTTGGTTTTGTTTCCACCTGTGTTGGAGAAGATAGAGTGAGAATGAATGAACGAGGAAGGACCCCACGATGGCTTTGTAATAGATGCTCAATAAGCATTGGCCAACACAAATGTGATAGCCCCAAATGCTGGATCTGTGGTTGCCAGAATAGCCTAGTGGATTTAATACTCAATTTGGTGGAGCTCCCTGGAGGATTCATTCTCAGGTACTTGTGAAACTTGTCATTTATAATTCAAAATATTATGGGCTGCAAAATTTGTATTGCTTTTATGCCACCATTACAGGTTCTTGCAACAATCTGGCCTCTCCGCCTTACCCCTTATCTTACTCCCTGTGGTTCAGTGCAAAGACAACAGACCCTCTGTCTTCCATCACAAATGTTCTGAGTTCTGTCAAAACACTGAGATCCCATCAAAACCAAGATAAAGCCCAAGGATAAGGCACAGCCATTTGCATTTCTTATAGGCCTGCAGTCCTGAGGGCCACAGTAGTTTTCAGGGCAACAAAAGTGTGAGCTTTCGCCACAACCTTGTGCAAGCATGTTCTAATCCAATGGGTTTGGGTCCACCATGGATGTGAAGCAGGAAGGTGTCTGTGGAGGGGGTGGGCCAGTGTGTAGGACATAGGATGTGGAGCAGGAACGTGTCTGTGGAGGTGGGATGGTGTGCAAGTGTATAGGGTGGGCAGCAGGAAGGTGGAAGGTGGGGACAGTGTGTAGGGTGTAGGGTGTGCAGCAGGAATGTGTCTGTGGAGATGGGCTGGTGTCCAGGGTATAGGGTGTGCAGCAGAAAGGTGTCTGTGGAGGTGGGCCAGTGTGCAGGGTGTAGGGTGTGCAGCAGGAAGGTGGAGGAGGTGGGCTAGTGTGTAGTGTGTAAGGTGTGCAGCAGTAAGGGTCTGTGGAGGTGGGCTTGGGTATAGGGGGTAAGGAGGCAGGTACTTAGGTGCCCTGACTCTGCTCCAAGTCTAAGCCTTGGGGGCTTCCACCACCCACCTACCCATTTCCCCAGACCATGTGCTTTCTGGCTCTTGTTGTCTTCCCTGCCTCCATGTCCTACCCCAGGTCATGCCCACCCAGGGAGTACCATCAGTCTCTGGATACTGGCTACCAATCATCTATTTATAGAAATGTCACTGCAAATCAGCACCGTTCTGTTAGTCCAATCTGTGCAATTCCATGGAGGAAATAATGCATTGGCTAGTGGGAGCAATCCATTTGCCTGGCTACCCTCCTCAAACCTGGTCCTGGTGACAGGGTCCCAAAATGTACCCATAGATGTGAGGTTCAGAGTCATTGGGAAATCTGGGTGGACCCACATAAGAAGTGGCTGAAGGGTGCAGGGTGAAAGATCCCCAGACTGAAGAAATGGGGTCTGAAATAGTGACCCACATGCTCCCAGCCTAGGATCTGAGCGTCTCTCCTGAATGATGCTGCTCACCCCCGATGGTTCCAGCCACCAGATGGGAACTTAGACAATTTCAAGAAAGAAACTCCAGAGCATGCGCCACCTGGGTCTGGGTTAAGCCGGCATTTGCTGGATGGTGCTACTGGATCAAAAGCCTCTACCACAGCAGACATAATGATCCAGGCTAGTTCATACACTAACTCTTCAAGGTGCATTACGGTTATGCAAACACTTTCTTGCCCTACTCCCTTTATTTCTCTATAGGCTAACAGAATATCATAGTGAAAGGGATTCTGAGATTACTTTTTAAATGAAATTTAACAAAGAAAAATTAGTTGATCAATCTAAGCCTTTTTAAGGATTAAACAACAATGGAATCAAACACATCAAAATGACGTTCCAGACACCTCGCCATTTTTTTTTTTTTTCCTGAAAGAAATAAATGTGGTAGAATGAGAAGCCTGGATTTCTACTACGATGACTCCATTATTTTTTCAAAATGTACCACAGAGGATTTTGCCATGAGTAATTAAATTGCATTGCATTTAACCAAACACATGGGCTACCTGCTGAGGGCCTGGCTAGAGTCTCAGGCAGGGTCAACGTTCCCCTTTCCTTAGAGAGAAGAAAGACCCAGATCATGCTGCTTGGTGGACCTCAGCCAGATGCCTTAAAAGCTTCAGATAAAATGAGATCCATGAATGCCAGTAGACTTAGAAATGTTGACCTACACGTAGGGAGGGGATGGTTTCACAGAATGGGGAGGCCCGTGTGCATTTACATGGGTAAGACAGGTCCTGCATCCTTCCAGTGGAATTACCAGATGACATGGCAACTTCTGGAATGTGGGATTTGTTTTCACTGTCTGTGATGCTGTTTTTATGGGACCAGTTATGCAACAGCAGAAATGGAAGGAAGGAAGGAAGAAAAAGTGCATTTCATGTAAAATGGGGATCGTTATAATACTACCTCATTAAGTGAGAAAATGAGTTTTGTCAAGTTTGTACAATGTGCTTCTCAGATTTTAATTTGCATATAAATTCTTTAGAGTTTTTTTTTTTTTTAAATATAGATTCTGATCCAGTAGGTCTGGAGTGGAGTCTGGGATTCCACGTTTCTGACACATGCCCAGGGGCTGCCTCCATGGCTGGGCCGGGGCCCCCACCCTGAGCAGTGAAGCTGTGATGCACTGTGCCGCGCTGTTCGTGGGCTCTCTCCCACCCACACACGTGAAGTCTTCTAGGGTCAGTGTGTTAGGAAAATATACTAAGAGCCCCTCAGGCTGAGACCCTTGTGGAGCCTGCCCCTCCAAGGACTCACTGTTCTTGGAGTTTAGGGCTCAGTAGGCTGGCTACACTGAGGCTGAGAATCAGGATGCATGGATTCTTCATGATCTTCCCACATAACATGCATCCTCACCAAAACATGTTTCTTCGTTGAAAAAGGGAAAATGTTGTTGAAACTTCTCTCCATCTCAGACTCAGTGAAGGTGACTTACCTGTTATTTTCTTAACTACTTTGAATGCTGGGTGAAATTTTTAAAGCAGAATGAATCTAGGTTGCTACTTGCCTGGAGACCTAGGAAGCTGTAGGGCTGCCCTCTCCAGTTCTGGTTGCAATGTAAAGTTCTGATTCCATGCTGCAGATAATGGGGCAGAAGGCAATCAATGTTTTAATCCTCTTTACTAGCTGCCAGGAAACCAAATTGCTGACTATGAGTTAAAGGAAGGAAAACGGGCAGGGAGAAACAGATGAGGGAGGAACAGGATAGGATAGGAAGGAGAGGGAGGAGGAAGGAAAGAAAGACAGAGGTGGGGTAAGCAAGATGGCCTGTGAGCCATTGGAAAGATTCTGAAGATGTGTTCACCAAGGACTTTTTTGTTTTTTTTTTTTTTTTTTTTGAGACGGAGTTTCGCTCTGTCGCCCAGGCTGGAGTGCAGTGGCGGGATCTCGGCTCACTGCAAGCTCCGCCTCCCGGGTTCACGCCATTCTCCTGCCTCAGCCTCCCAAGTAGCTGGGACTGCAGGCGCCCGCCACTACGCCCGGCTAATTTTTTTGTATTTTTAGTAGAGACGGGGTTTCACCGTTTTAGCCGGGATGGTCTCGATCTCCTGACCTCGTGATCCGCCCGCCTCGGCCTCCCAAAGTGCTGGGATTACAGGCGTGAGCCACCGCGCCCGGCCCACCAAGGACTTTTTTAAAAAGGCTGTAAGACTGCAATATTTTCCTTGTCAAACAGGAACTGCAAGTCTGCTCAACAGTTTTGCTTTATAGCAAAATGTCCTGTAGTAAGACAATAACCCAGAGGCATTATGAACCTGCTCTAAGCACTCCAGCATCCCAATATAACAAGGTTGGAAGCAACAGAAAGCAGATTCTGAATCACTGGAAGAAATATGTAAAAACTGAGGCTGTTTCCATGGAAAGAGTGCCTCAAAGAAGATGAGTTCAATTCACTGCATTAGCAAAATTAAGATCTGCAAAAATACAAATGAGGCCATTCATCCGGGGATGTGGGGGTTGTTGCCTCAGATGCAGGTTGCATCCTTGGGGATAGGATGAGCAGAAGCCTCAGGGTTCTGTGGATCTAAGGGGGCTTTTTCAGTAGGGACACACATTCCAACAGCACAGTCACAGAATACAAAGAGCATGAAACATCCACAAGCAGGGTCTGTTCTGCTAGAAATGGAGGAACAGACAGAAAAACAACTCAGGGGAGAAGGACCACTGGCTGGCCTGCTGGCTCTGACCTCACTGCACTTATTCTGCTCACATCCAGGATGAGCGAGGTGTTGTGTCAGACGCTGTGGTGAGGGAATGGGGGCAGAGACAATATGGAAAACAAGGATCTTCACCTTGCATAGTCTGCAATCTCATGGGGCCAGGACTCAAAGCAGTTTATATTTTTCTGTATCTTAGGCTCAATTTTTTAGTTCTTTGTCATTTCTAGATGCCTCAAGTAAGGTGTAGTGAGTCAAACAGATTTATTAGAGCTGAGAGAAACCTAACTATTTGGGGATGAAAAAGATCAAACAGGAAATCCAGAGCAAAATATGGGGGCTTCCTGACCGACTTCTCTTTTCTTTCTCCCTTTATGTCCTTTTGTGCCAGCGATATCTCAGCCATCAATCTTGCATCCAATTTTCCTGTTTATTGCCTCAGCCAATTCCTTAGAGTTATAAAGTTAAAAGAACCATGAGGGGTCAAAGATTTTAGCCTTCCACTTTTTTGGATTATACAAAGTCCTGACAAAATATCTTATCTTCTCTCTGAATACCTCTGGGGACAATTTTAGGAGGTGAAGATAGGGTTTGGCAGTGTCCCCACCCAAATCTCACCTTGAATTGTAATTATCCCCACGTGTCAAGGGCAGGGCCAGGTGGAAATGATTGAATCATGGGCGCAGTTCCCCCATACTGTAGTCTTGGTAGTGAAGAAGTCTTATGAGATCTGATGGGTTTATAAATGGGAGTTCCCCTGCACAAGCTTCTTGCCTGCTGCCATGTAAGATGTCCCTTGCTCTTCCACTATGACTGTGAGGCTTCCCCAGCCATGTGGAACTGTGAGTCGATTAAACCTCTTTGCTTTATAAATTCCCCAGTCTCGGGTGTGTCTTTATTAGCAGCGTAAGAACAGGCTAAACAGGTGACCTGTCCCTTTGTTGGTCTATTCACAGTATGCAAAAACAAAACAAAACAAAAAAAACTTGGTGTTGAGGCAATCCCCATCTGGTTTCTCCATTTGGAATGATTAAAAGTCACCTCTAAGCATCTCCACCCTGACTGTCCTTCTAGGTTTGCTGTCTAGGGCATGGCTCTACCTGCAGAAGCTGCGCTGAGATAAAATGCCAGCAACTGCTGCAGCATGTACCAGACCAGCCAGGAGGTAACACAGAGAGCAACATTTCTGGGGGCTTGTGCCACCAAGGAAAAGAACAACAGGAGATGAGAGCAGTGAGGAGGATCTAGGGTTTCAGGAGGCAGCCACACAGGGAGGACAAGGTGTGGGGAAGGGGAAGTGGGAGGAGCAAGAAAGCAAGAGGGAAATGAGCTGCCAGAAGGAAGCCAGTGGGAGTGGGCAGAGGGTGGCCACCCAGGGGTCTTTTTGGCTCACATGGTTGGGTTTCTGGGAAAACAAGAAAAGGAGTTTCCCTGCTGCCCAGCAAGAGAGACTATTACAGACGATCCTGATCAACACTGAATTTGCAAAGTTGGAATCAAATGTCCAGGTGATTGACGACCAAGTGCATGCCTCTGGCCTGTAAGGCCACAACTAGGCTGCCTGAACCATCTTAGAAACAAGCCTTTTACCCACTCTCAAAAGCTAGGTCACAATTCAAGCTGTCAAGGAACACAGATTTTACTTCTGTAAGGGAAGAACCATGTTTGTAAATATCTGCTGGACATCCTGTCATGGACATCTGGAGTAAGATAGACCACAGGAAGGAGATAAGGCTGTCTGAAACCACCTCCTCCCCACTGCTTCTTGTCCTTGATATGTGCAGGGAAAGGTACAGACTGTCAAAAGTTCCTGAGGAGACATGTGCCTGAATCCTATCACTCATCTTTCTTTCCCTCCAGGATTTTGGCTAATAGAACATAATCACAAAACTGAGCTATGAGCAGATCAAAACATCCGCTGGGCTACAATCCCCACTTGGGATCCAAGGCTGACATGAGGTTCTTGCCTTTCTCTCTGAGAATTAGAGACAGTGGGACTTGCACAGTAGAATGCTTGACTTTAGTACTCAGTCACAGGCTCAAAGTGGACCCGAGAGTATGAGCTGTGTCGCAATGCAGAGTCTGGGGTAAGGAGGACGCCAGACCCAGGTATCAGGCCAGGGAGGGGATGGAGACACAGGAGTAATGCCTTCACTTCTAGATGGCAGCCTTATGTCTTCTTAACTAGGCCCAATAAATGCCCAAGCAACCACTTCACCATGACGTTGGTCACCCGCCTCCCATGGGGGAGGCAAAGAGTGGACAGGGTGGAGGAAAGCTGCCCTCTAGAAACCTGTGAGGGTTATGAATAGGACTTCTCCTTTTATCCTAGAGATCTCCTGGCATCCTTCTCCATCACATACCTCCTGATGTGAGAGCCCCCTTCTTTTGAAGGATACACATCAGAAACATGCATGAATTTGGAATTACGGTAGAGTTTTAGCATTTGGGACCCAGTATGGCTCATATAACCTGAGTCTTGTACTGTTTACCCTTCTTCCTAGTCCATTGTCCAAGTTGCAAGCACCCTGAGTAGATGTCACATCTTCTACTTCCTTAACTCATTACAGCAGCTAACGTAGGCTAAGCCCACAGTATGTGTTCACATTATGCCTGATGGCTAGGTTTGAAAACTTAATCCCTGCAGAACTCCCCCTCTCCCTCTCCTATTTAATCCACTCTCTTTCTGCCAGGCTCTGCCCCACATTTTCTGTCCCCAACTCCGTCCCCCGCCCCAACCTCCAATCCTTGACTCTCCTTAGAACCCTACTGGCAACAAGCAACTCTGAGCCCGCCCTCCTTAATTAAACCAAGGAATGTGGACAGCAGTACATTGCATCCTTGCCTGCTCCCAACTTCCAGATTTGTTACCTTTGCTGCATTGGAGTTAATGAAAAGTGTGATAAACCCACTGTTTCATTTTCCTTTAATTAACACAAGCAATTGAATTGTGCTAAAGTCATTTTGGTTTGGAGGCCAAGCGCCTGGTCAATGTCTCACTTGCTGGCGGTGACAGAAGCTCTTTGTTTTGGGCTCAGAAACCTTTCTCAGGCTGTGGCCACCAGGACCTCCTCTGCGGGAGGAGTGGCTTGCCCCCATCCAGGGCGGCCATGCTGGCTGCCTTCCCTGAGGCTGACAGTAAGTTGGCTAATCACAAGATCAATGTGTTACTGTGAAAGTTAACTGTGCTTCCAGTGGGGGAAGGAGTACATTAATAAAGATCTCCATAGCTGGGGGCTCAGAGGAATTCCCTGGCAGGGGTGAGTTTTCTAGATCCTCCCTTCCATGCATGTGTGAGAATGATGGAAGTGTTTAATGCCCCTCACTGTCAGACCGGGAGTAGCCGAGGATGACACAAAGACAAAAGGACTCAAGTGACTCCTCCAGTACAACTGTCCCCAAAGAGAAACTCTCATACACTGGGGCTCTTGAACTCTTTACCGGGAAAAGTTAAAGAGGAGAGGACCTAAAGGGTTTTGTCTTGTAGGTGGAGGCAGAAGAAGGGATGGCAAGGAAACTCTCTGAAATCAGGTTTAAGAGGATACACCTAAAATAGATGTTCTCATCCCTGGGGGGTCATGAGACTTACCCAAGGAGCACTTTAAAAATAGACTCTTGTGTTCATGCTTATGGATGGTGAACATGGTCTGGGGTGAGGGGTCCCAGCACCAGCATCCTCTAAAACTTCCCAGGGGACTCTAATGTACAGTCAGGGGTGAGAATTCAGGGTTGGTAAGTTGAGGACTCCTGTTGCTTTCATTTTCCAAGTTCCAGTTACACATGTATGCTCCCAGGCTTCCTCTGCTGAGAAGTCATTCAGAGCCAAGGAGTGTATGAGGATGTGCACATCTTACAGTGTGCTCAGATCTCCTGTCAACTGTCAGCTTCTATGAAAAATATACCATCATGATGTCAACAGCAGCAGCTTTATTGTAGGTGGGTCAGGAAAAAGAAATCTTGTGGTGGGGTAGGGTGGTGATAGCCAGGTCAGTCTCCAGCAGCTAGAGATCCCCAGATAGTCAAACGAAGAGCATGAAGACAAGAGGCTTCTTTCCAAAGCACAGTGAAGAGGTGTGTTTAGCTTGGCTCTGCTTGTGTCTTTTTTTTTTTTTTTTTTTTTTTTTTTGAGATGGGTTCATTATGTGTGGGAAGAATCAAGACACAACATTTTTAGGATCTGGATGATACTGTTGACTCATTGGGAGTGGTTCTGAGTGAGTGTCACAGAAACAGCCAGGGTACCTGTGAGGATGTGGCACATTCCCTTTAAATGAAAGTGCAGTATGTGTGCCAGAAAAGGAAGAGAGGAGCTAGACAGAGAGGCAGAGGAGGGAGGGAGGGAGGGAGGAAGAGAGAGAGAGAATGAGGATGCAAAACACTAGAATTCCATACAGGCAGACAAATGACTGAGGATAGAAGCTTAAATCCATTTGATGAGCAGAGTAGCCTATTTGGGCCAAAAAAAGTCGCTAGCATTTTTATTCTAAAAAGTATAAAAAATAAACTGAAACTAACAGTTCAGACCCAAAGAATGCAGGGGTAGAAGGAGAAAAATCATTATTTTTACATAGTAGAGCTTAAACAGCTAAGTTATTGACAAAATGTTTAAGTACACTTGAAAAGTTTTTATTTATTTTACACATTTTCCCCTTATGATTATGATTATTTGGATTCTAAACCAACAGGGTTACTTTAGTATCAACAAGCTAAAGTGAAATGAGTTCTGAGAAGTAAAAGTACTGCTTTAAAAAAAAACCTTCATAATTAAACGACAGCATTTTTTTTAGAAACCTGATCAATGCATGGAAGGAGACACTGCCTCTTTCATTTACAATGTCTAAAGAAAGTTGCCTTAACCTTGTCTGCAGCAACCTACTCAAGCACAGCCAGTCACCCAGGCCCAGTTTCTTCAAGAAGGCTGTATTTTTGTAGTATAGGAGTGTCTTGTGCCCTGGCGTGGTCAGTGGACTGCCAATACTGTGTTACCTAAGGGCGCTTTGGCAAAGTGGCTTCTTGAGCCCAAAGCAGACCTACAGGGCTGGCATCTGCCAGCAGATGGGCAGTATACAAAACCTTCAATTAGTTACAACATCAAAGTAAGTCCTTTGCCCTTTGCTTGCCTTTGGGGGAATTAAAACTTTCCTTCTAATGCCAACTGCGTCTGACTTGTTTTCCCTGAGGATTAATTTATTCGTATAGCAGTGTCAGGAATGCCTTTGTTGTTTTCCTGAGCTGGGTGGACCCATAGTTAGGTTTTCCTGGGATAGTGCCAGTTGACACCTGTCTTCCCAATGTACTTTGTTTTCTTTTGAGACAGAGTTTCACGCTCTCTTGCCCAGACAGGAGTGCAGTGGCGCAATCTTGGCTCACTGCAACCTCCACATCCTGGGTTCAAGCAATTCTCCTGCCTCAGCCTCCTGAATACCTGGGACTACAGGTGCATGCACCATGCCCAGTTAATTTTTTTTTTTTTTTTGTATTTTTTAGTAGAGACAGGGTTTCACCATGTTGCCCAGGCTGGTCTCGAACTCCTGAGCTCAGTCAATCCACCTGCCTTGGCCTCCCAAAGTGACAGAATTACAGGCGTGAGCCACCATACCCGGTCGACAGTGTACTTTTTAACTGTCACCTTTCATTCTTTAAAGTACACTGGTCTGGATCATAAACCAGGTGGCCGACATACTCCTAGCCTACTGAAAGGTCTGCTGTCAGGCCCTAGGGCCTTAGCTACTGGTGACATCTTACTCTGTGCCTGGGGCAGGCCCAACACTCAACCTTCTTAAGAGAGGCAGTGGCTTAGGACCAAATAGGGTGTGGCCGCTCCAATGTAGGACTCTGCTGGACTGATGGTCAAGAAAGATTCTGTGTGCTCTCTTTCTCCCAGAGCTCCAGGCTCATCAGCTATACTCTTCTCTGGAAGACAGACAATTGCAGCTGGTTGGAGCCTAAGCCAACCAGAGAGGGAATCAGCACTGCAGCCCCCAGGAGAAGGAAAGCCAGCAAGGGCTCAAGGGCTCTTGGCTCAAAGTCCTGGCAGACCAAGTACCAGACCTGCCCCTTTCTGAAGTGGTTGGGATGGCCCAGAGCACTGAAAGAAATAGTCCTAGGGTCTTTTCAGGGTATTGGGGAAATGCCCTTTTGAGGAACAGCACAGCTCAGTTCCTGCAGATGAAGCCTTGATGCAGCCTGACTCTTCTTACTTCCTCTCTTTCTTTCCTTTTATTTGATGCTGTCTCTTTTATCCTTTCCCTATATTAGTTCCTGGCATCACAGCCGTTTAACAATGATGCCAACCATCAGCATTCATCAATATTTTCAAAATACTTGTATTAGCTTGTAGGCAAAGTACCCACTAACCCAGGCAGCACAATTGGCATGCAAGCCACAACCAGAGACATCCTGCACACTTCGCAGAGCATAAAGGTCTGAGCTCTGAAGTATCACGAGGAGATAGCATTGCTCATGCACTGAGCCCTAGTGTGCACTGAGAGGAAAGGATCAGGAGCTGTGCACTCAAGGGGCGAAGTCTCCACTAGGGGCAGGGGTCCCTTTGAAAACTTAGCTGGCAAGGGCTCTCCTCATCTGCACCTTGTGCTATTCTAGGCAAGTCTGTCTCCCTCTTACCATCTACCTCAGACTATGATAAGCTGACTTCTCACCAAAGGCATCTGTCTTGCTAGCCTCCCTTCTTAGCCTAGTCACCCAAGAAGTCACTTTATATGACCTTCTGTGACTCATGCTAACAGTAGAACTCAAGGAGGAAACCACTGAATTTGAGATCAGAAGACCGAGGATCTAATCCCAGTTTTGTCACAAATATGTGATTTTTCAGTAAGTGTTTTCAGCCCTTCAAACCACAATTATTTTTTCTGTCAATACAAAAATTGCATCAGATGACCTCCAAGGTCACTATCCATTTTAATGTTTTATAACCTTTCATCACCTAGCAATATGGTCTATGACTAAGGAACCCAAATAATTCCTTAAGTTCTGGAAATCTGATAATCATGGCATTGATGGACTGAGTTCCAACCCAGGAGCTCAGGGTCACTGTCCCACAAAGGAGCATAAGGTCCCTGCAGAGCTGGCCCAGGCCACACTGGCTTTATTTGAGGTCTTGACAGTCCACACACAAAAATAGAGACACCATGACAATTTCAAGGTAGCTCTCATCTGTCACTGTGCTTTAGCTGCTTGGTGATGGGGAGGAAAGAGAGGTTTTGACAATTATGAAGGACTATGTGTGTCTGAACGTAATGTCTTGTGTTAATGGGGGAAATTAATTCTTTCCTTTCCTTTCTAAGATTCTATTCATGTAGATCTTGACAAGTAGCTGTTCTTTCCTCCCTCTCCTTGATGGGTAGACTGGAATAATGTCTCATAGGTATAACTAATCATCCACTTAGATGATTTGAGGCCCATTTTCATGCGTCTGAGGGTACACTTCAAATGCAGGAAAATGATGCTTCTACCTACTTTCTGTCCTCCTCGCCTTTACTAAAAATATCCCTTCTTAGTTACATGGCTCACTTCGCTAATCCTTCCCAACCAGATACAGAGCAACCAGGAAAGGGGCTGCCAGGACAGTGAAGACAATTCCAGTATGATGCCCAAACTTTCAGCTTTACATCAACTGTTATAACCGGACTGTGACTACGGCAGCTCAGCACCAACAGGTTCAGAGGTGCCAAATGGAAGCTGAGGAGGCCAAGGTTTCGGCCTTTGCTCTGCCACTAACTAGCCAGGACCCCTGAGCAGGCCACTTTACTTCATCCAGCCTCGGTTTCTTTATCTGCAAAACGAGGGGATCCGGCCAGCTCATTTCTTAGGTCGCTCAGCCACTGCTCTTTCCTGGCTCTTTTCATGAGGGTCTTTCTGGACCAGAAGATAGAGATTCTGTGCACTCTCCCCCAATCCTTGGACAGCACTCGACATTTGATTTGGGCTCGGAGCTTCTAGGAAGTGAAGTTTGGAGGTGTGAGTTCTGTTTCTGCCCCAGAAACCTGCGCTGGCTCTGGTTCTGGGAGATGGAGCCTTGAGCATGCTGTGATGTGACATGGTGGCTGCAGCCAGGGCTGGTCGTCCTCCAAAGCACCCTGCCCAGGCCCCAGGGGAGACAGACCCCTGCCTTCCTTGCTGGGTCTTCATGTGCTTCCTCATCACTACACTCCAGGCCTTGATCAAATAAACGCATCTGACCTATTCCTAGATTGTTTCCCACCAGCCCAAATTAGTTTATCAGTTTTGTTTTTGTTGCCTTAGGAAGCATGGAGCCTCCATCTTCTTGGCAGAAAATGTCGCTGTGAGGGAGAAAGACAAAGAGGAACGCAAGGTGACTAGGGCTCCAACAGAGCAGGCCTGGACTGCAGGATCGTGGATAGAAACAGGTAGTTTGGAAGAGGCTGCTGCACAGGAAACCATATGGGGCGGGTGCTGGAGCCTGGTGCCTCGACGGTGGTGTCTGCAGATTTTTAGGGCTGCCCGTAGAGGGGCCTCCTGCAGAAAATGAGTCATGATGGAGAGGCAGCCACCGTTCCAATGCAGTGAGCTTACTCTACTTCCACTGGACTCTAGAGGGTTTTTTTTTTTCAATTATAGAATATCGTATCCTGAGAGTAAGTCACGAAATTAATGTAAAAAACAGTGTGATATTTATTGCTTTCTGCACATACACAGACAGACACACAAGTGTTATAAATGCATGGCAGTAAAGAAAGTAAGATGCAGGGTGATTCTTTTCAAACCTTCCTCACCATTGAGGAAGTAACACCACACTAGGCTCAGGAGTGATTATGACTTTCTGTGTCCATTTGGATAAATTGCGTAACCACCCTAGGCTTCTTGTTCTGTCATTAGTTAAAATAATGGGGTGGGGTTTGATGATTTCTAAAAAGCGTTAGCTCTAATTTTCGATAGTCAGTAGCTGTTTGAAAAGTAACATGTGTTCCTTCCAACCATTGACTCAATGTGTGTGTGTGTGCATGGGTGTGTGTATGTGTGTATAAAGAGAAACACAGCTAAATAAGGAATAAATCTCACCTAGAATCTCATGAGAAGAGACAAAGCAATAAGAAAGCCCTAAAGAGGCTTGAGCTTAGCAAATCAGAAGGCAATTCATCTTGAGAAGAAAACAAGTGATATTTACATTATTAAATCTCAATTACAAAGCAAATCAGCTGCAGAAGAGAAGAGACCATTTCCATCAATTATTACTGAGCTGAACATAATTTTTCTATCACCAGCAGATTGTAAATGGGGGCTACAGCTCATCCAGGAACTCTTCTATCATAGGAGTTATTAATCGGGTATTAACTTTGTCGAATTAGCAAGGACACTGACGAGATGGTGAGGGAAGCAGGAAGGGTATAGGGCTGGGGCGGGGGTGGGGGCGCAGACGGGAGGACACAGCAGGTGAATTCCTGAGACCACAGAGGCACAGAACACTCTAGAAGGCCTGGGATCAGTCCTTTATGCAGCTGGTCTGGCTTCTGTGTTGAAGAAAATACCCAGCTCTGGGGTTTTCAGTCCCAAAAAGTCAACACATGAACAGGTAAAAATAAAAAATAGCACCTTCTTGACTGGCGATTCCATTCCTGTTTAGGAGCACTGAGGGGATGCCAGGACTCTGCACAGCTCTAGGTGAGGGGTGCGGCTCTGTTGCTGCCCCTGCTGTGGGGCCTCCATCTAGGGCCCTAAAAGTCTGAGTGCCTCCTACTGGGTGGAAGGTGTGGGCCATCCATCCCATCAGAACCTCATGTAGATTGGTGGAGAACAAAAGCACAAACAAAAGACTTTTTTTGTGTGTGTTCCATCAATGTGCTGCAGTTCCTTATGGGTCTCAGTAAAAACTGTTATCAACGCAGTAACTTTCTAGGTTTTTTGTGCCCCGTTTTCTCTCTTCCTCTGTATTACCAGTTTTTCAAACTCTGCCCTCACTGGATTTCTGTGCGGTACAGAGTAGGTTTCAATTCCCCTAAACCGCTTTGCTCCCTCCCTGGGTTCAATGTCACGCTCCTCCATTGTCACAGGACAGGCTAGGCTATTGGATAACTGATTTGTGTTCTGTTCTCAAAGCTGTAGAAGAATGGAAGGAATGAGAAACATTTTCCCTGCCCCATCCCCAAAAATGTGGCAGGCCCTGCAAATCCTCAATTCTTAGCTTCTTGCCTCAGAGTTGTTAATGACTTTTGTGTCATGGGGTCTAAAGCAGTTGCTAGGCACCCAGAAGATTATTACTATTCAAGCTTTTGTTTCACAGAAACAAGCAAACAGAGTCTAGGCTCACGGAGGTGGGTGGGCACCAAGCTGGGGGAGGATGAAAGGTCCAAAGCTTGGGTTTGTGAAGGAGTCCCCACCAGTGGCAGACTACCTGTCATTTCCCACGATCTCCAAGGCAGACCTCCAGTCAGCGACAGCACCTCACACTGGGTGACGATGAAGCTGGATCTAAAAGCTGTGATCCACCAGCCTGCCCTCCCTCCCTCCCTTCCTCACTTCCTTCCTTCCTTCCTTCCTTCCTTCTTTCAGCCTGCCTGCCTGCCTGCCTTCCTTTTTTCCTTCCTTCCTGCCTGCCTTCCTACTTTCCTTCCTTCCTGCCTGCCTTCCTACTTTCCTTCCTTCTTGCCTTCCTTCCTTCTTCACCTCCTTTTTTCATGTCCTCCCTCACTTCCTTTGTTCCTTCACTCAACAAACATTTTTGAACTCTTACACAATAAGCCTACCACTAAGGACTAATAACTAAAGACCCTTTCTCAGCATTCTGTATACTCCAGTGAGGAAAGACAGTCTCCCAAAATATGACTCAGATTGAATTTCTCACCAGCCAGACGGGCAGCCCCAACAAATCAACCATGAACACAAACATTCTTATAAGTGAGATTTCAAACATAGAAATAATAGGTGTCATTCATATACCACCCCTCCTCCTTTCCCCTGGACATATCTGACCTTGCTTATAAGTCTCCTCTGTATAGTCTCCCTGCACCATGCCCACATCTTGTAAGGGATTGTCTTATTCAGGCTGCCTAGAGTTGCTCAAAGTTGAAGATGCCATCTATTTCCCACTGGGCTCTTGACTGTTATGACTTCCTTGACTTTAGGGTCTTTGTTAGATGCCCCTCATCTGGGTTCCTGTAGAACGTACATTTATCTTCGCATTTGTCATGTTAGAGCAGTAATTCTCAACCTGGTAATTTTGTCCACAGGATACATTTGGCAGTGTCTAGAGACAGTTTTGGTCTTTATGGCTGAGGTTAGGAAAGCTGTACTACATTGCACAGGACAGTCTCCCTTGACAAATAATTATCTGACCCCAAATATCACTAGCACCAAAGCTGAGAAACCTGCACCAAAATGTAAATGCGTATTGAATCGCTGACATCTCCCACTAGAGAGAAGGAAGCTCGGTGACTACAAAGACCATCCATTTCATTCCCAGGGGCATCCCCAGGGCCGGGTGTAATTCCTAACACATGATCGGGCCCCACAAAAGGACCGCAGAAAAATACAAAGAACGAGTGAGTCCATTCAGCAACAAAATGCAGTGCCAGTCTTATGTCATCTAATTGTCTAGTGCTGAGGGTAAGACTGATTACTCATAACTAAATATAAGCTTAGCAAGAAATAACCCAAAAAATGCATGGTGATTAAGCCCCTCGGCAGGGTTTCGAGGACAGAGCAGATACTATTTAGCTGGTTGGGCGTGGGGCTGGTACAAAGAAACATAGCTCTGGCTACAGGCAGTGCTCAAAGAAGCCTTGAAATGTTCTCACTTCAGCAGGCAGAACTGGGATGGCACAGAGGGTAGGGACACAGCATGGACAGGGTGAGGAGGAAGAGACATTCTGGAATTCACACTGCAGGTTATTTCCTTACTGGTACTACTTTTCTGAGGAACATTGCTGATGACTCTTGGCTAAGTGGATTCTGGTTGCAGAAGACAATTCTGCCCTTCTAAGTGAACTGAAGGAAATTGCAGTCATGTGGCAACTGCTATTTTCATGTTTTGCCTTCTCAACATAGTTTGTCACTTCTATATGATTAGCAAGGGAAGATGCCTACTATGTGCACAACACATGCTAGGTTTTTGCGGGGGAAGGTTAAGAAACCAGGACTGGCAAATAGACATCATTCAACATGTATCTATTGCATCAAATCCTGCAAAGCACATTGTTTCTTAATTGGTCTCATTTGTATGGTCTATAATTTTAGACTTCAAAGGATGAGAGGGTCACCTTTAGCTTTCGTTGCTAGTTTTACAGACCCAGCTTCTCCCAGGTCATAACTTGTTCCTGGGAAATGAGGTCTGAGAAAATCAGTGTTTGCATCCATTCCTGGGAGATAACTAATCTGAAAAGTGTGATGGTGGAAGCCTGATTTGGAAGGGTGAGGACCGATGCTCAGTGAGCCAGAGCCCACTCTTCCGAGGTCAGGCTTCAGTGGGCTAATATCTCATCAGGAGGCACCAGGCCCTCACTATCCTGCGGTAACAGCCCCTCTACTGCGGAGATGCTCCACTGCCTCTTCCACACACTGCTCACTGCGACAGCCTCGCAGAGGGCTCCCAGCTGAGGACAGAGGACAGATGATGGGAGAAGCCAGCACCCAGGGCCTTCGGGAACATGGCAGCAGCCATGTTGAATAGGGTTTGTGGCTTTCTGTAACCTATTAAATTTTGCCCATTACAGAGAGGAGAGAAGGGCTGCCTTCAGATCCAATCTAGCCTACTCTATGGGAAACAGGATGAACTGACTTGTTGGAAATCCACACCAGCACATAAATTGCTTCATAACTGCAGGGACATATAATATCTGCACACAGCCAGTATGCACACCCCCTAGAAGGGATGTGATTTTCAGTCTAAAATGTCAATTTATTTTTTTCAGTAGGGTTTAATAATCATGCTCTGACCCTGGACTGAATAAACATGTCAGGGGCATTGCCAGTATAACATCTGACTAACCTTTTCCTGTGAGACATTTGTAATTTCATGAACAGAGTATAAGACCATTATAATAGAATGTATCACATAAACCTGGATATATTACAGGTCGAACCCTGTCTCCTAAAACATAACAGCTACATTCTTAAACGATCTTATCTAAATCCCATGCTCCTCATACCAGCATTGCAAAAAGTTTCACAGAGTTTGCGCATCTCATTTCTGTTTAATTGTACACTCTGTAAATTAAGCACAGAACCACAGCCTTCCTTTACTTTGCAAATGATCACACAGTGTATTGTACACCCATCTGGTGGGCGCCTCAGAGATGCCAACTGGCTGCTTAGCCTGAGAGAAGCCTGGAGTGTGCAGTGACCTGAGATGGCTTACATGCTACCGGTGAGATTCCCTTAACTCAAAAGGTCACCTCCTTCCCATAGCAGTGTCCCTGTGGGACTGGATGGTTCCCTGCAAGTAATAACCACTTCTAATAGGGCAGAAACAAATAGGACTTGAGGTTCCCGTGGGCAAAGGTTAAATCTTCAAATCCGCCCTCGAGTGAGATCCCTTTGAGATGCCACTTAGGAGCATGCTATCTCCCTTGCTGGAGATAGTCTTTGTTTACATTTGTTCATCTTCTGTAATATGGATGCCAGTCCCGTCATTTTCAAAACGGTCTCAGTGTAGACACTACATTATATGTTCACTGTACATTTAAATCATTCCAGACTCAAAAGCAGTTCTCTTGTGTTTAAATATCCTAAGCCATTACATATTGATAGAGACTACCGTTGTCTGTCAAAAACCTTCTTTGTCAAATTCATTCATTCATTCATTCATTCATTCATTCATTCATATGTAAGGCATAACTTACTCTATAGACTATAATCTCTGCCCTCACACAGCTTACATTTTAGAGAGAAAGCACAGACATCAGATGACATAACAGATGATATGCGTTAGTGGTTATTGACTGTCAAACTTAAGTAGTGGAATCCTCTCTCTCTCTGCCAATAAAATCCTCTATTAAAATTTTATCGAGTTGCAAAATCTGAGCTGCTATTTTGGGGTTGGGGTAGAGGGGAGGTATAGGAATTCAAGGTTTTGTAGTCTAGTGCTCACTATCTCATTCTCACAGCTGTTCATATTGTCTCTCTCCCACCGTCTCTCCTCGCTTTCTCTAACCCTCACAGAGACACCTACAGAGGTTCAGAGGAAACCTTTGGCATTTTATGAACTGCAGCTAAAAGGATAAACAGTTTCCCATTGTTCAGGAGAGCACAGTGCAATTGAGAAAACAGTGCATAAACATATGAAACTTTACATAACAATGAAAAATTGAACAAGTCAGAACAAAAGAAAAGATGTCCAAGACCTTGAGAATTAAATAGCTCATAATTCTAATAAATGTTAGAGGAATTTTAAGGCAGGAGAGGTCACACCGGGCAGGAAATTTTAAATTTAGTTTTAGTTAATTTTTTTAGAGTTCAGGGATTTTAATGAGAAGAAATTCCATATATCTAGTCAAATACCCTCGTGATCTGTCTTGCTCATTTCCAAGTGCACTGTTGTCAGCAGCAATAGAAAATAGCTGAAAAGACTTCTTGCCTTCCACATTAGCCCATAATCCACAAATGATAAATGATTCTACCTGTGTTTCATGTAGAGGGTGGTGAGGGTGGGTACCCAACTCTCTTCCATGAAGAATCAATGGCATTCACCTAAGGCATCAGGTGTGGGAGAAAGAGCAGTAGTGAACACGTAAAGTGCATTGGACTTGTCAGAGGAAGTTATCAAATAAATGTGTGTTATTATTGTCTATTGAGTATTGTTCAACATAGTCCAATTGAAATTCCTTAAAGATTTAAACCATACTTTTCTGTAATACTCTATTTTTACAATTCCCTGATTAAACGAAAGCTTATTAATCATGCTCATTAATCTGTCAATGCCTGCATTAGGCAGAAGGAATACAGCTGTGTCAGGCAATCACTCCCTTCAGGGATCTGGCAGTCTTGATGTGATGAAGATGATGACAATAGAATGTGGCTCATGCATGGGGGGAGGGATGCCGCAGAGGCAAGGGGAAGACAGGAGGCCACAGAACCAGACTGCTGTGGGTGGTTTCTGGGAGGAGCTGAGACCCGAGCTGAGACCCAGAGAATGAGGATGAATTAGCATAATCAACACATTTTGAAAGGGCATTCCAGGCAGCAGAGGTACCGTGTCACGAAGCACAGAGATAGAGGGAGTCAAATGCTCTGAAAACACAAGAGGCTCCATGAGGCTGACGAATTGAGCAGGGCCATGCATGAGTGGCCTTGAACACAGTCGTAGGGCATGGCTGCTTCCGATAGGTAATAAGACCAATAACACAAGTGGTGAGACATCTACTCTGCTCTTAAGACGCTTACAATAGAGTTGTTCAGAAAGACCAAACCTACACTGATACATTTACAAACACATAGAATTCATGATAAAGAGATTCATGCTTTAACAAATATTTATTGAGTGTCAACTTGTTTGAGGCACTGATTATGGATGCTCCGTCAGTGAATGCTATGGGATTCCTGCCTTCTATGGAGGAGGCAGGTGGTAAAGAGATAACCAAACAAATACCAATATAACAGCAAACCTTAATAAGGACTGTGAAGACATGCCAAAGCAATAAGACCTCCATCCACTAAAAAGTGCTGAGTGATCACTATGTGCCAACCACTTGCCCTGAACCTTTGTTTCCCTTTCTCTGGTGCTGTCCATGGCCTGCCACCCAGATTCCCAATTCAGGGCTAAAGCACTCCTGCCCCAGCTGCCTGGTGTACGGTCTGCTGAGCCCTCTGGGGAACTGAGGCAATGGGCTGTCTCTTCCTATGTTATGCTCACTCAATGCCTTGTTGAATGAATTATTTCATTCAACAAATATCAGCTATTTTGTGCCAGGCACAGGTCTATGCATGGGTCCACGCTAGTGAAAAGGACAGGCAAAGTGTCTGCCGTGGAAGAGCTTAGATTCCAGAGAGGAGAGCCAGTCAACAAACCAATAACATGGAATTTGTCAATGGGTCAGTGATGCAGGAAAAAATAAATCAAGCAGGTTGAAGTGGGATGGGAGGTGGGGAGATATGTGGGAAAGACTATTCTATCCTGAGTGGACAGAGAAGGTCTCTTGGGTAACACATAAGCTGAGGAAGTAAGACATGAACATGTAGGGGTGGTGGGAGAAACAAAGGCATTTAAGCAGCAAAAGATGGACACTACACAATCCATGCATCAAAGAGCATGACGATTCATAAAAGGATACCTCAGAACCCCACTCGGACCCAACTAACATGCATAGAAGATAAGTTGCATAAATCTGGTTATATTCTACCCACTTCCTCTGGCCAACCACAGTGAACACACCCCTGACTAGGAGCTAAAAAGTGTGGATTCTAGACTTGCAGTTTAATTATGCACAGCAGCAAGATAAAGACCGGTGATTCCTTTTCAGCCTGTCTTGCATGATTGCTGTGAGGTTTTGATGAGACAATAATATAAAAGGAATAAGAACTAATAAGAACAGCAATTGTCAAACTTTTTTCCTCAGGACCCCATGACATTCTTAAACAATTATTGAGGACTTCTAACAACTTGCTTTGTAGTATTATGCTTATCAACATTTGCCATGTTAGAAATTTGAATAATTTTTTTAAAAATAATGATTCTTTTTTTAAAAAACACTGATAAACCCATTACATTTTAACGTAAGTACCTATTACGATGAAAAATAAATATTTTCCAACATAAAGATCAGTAAAGACAGTTTTGACATTTTGGTAAATAATGCCAATGTCTGCCATAATAGAGACAGGTAGATCCCCACATCTGCTTCCACACTCAGTCTATTCAATAGATTGTTCTGGTTGACATATGTGAAGAAAATGTAGCCTCCCTCATAAAGTGAGGGAGTTAGGAAATAAAGCATTTAATAGCCCTTTCAGACAATTGTGTGTATTATTCTTTTGTGTACACCAAAACTCAACAAATGGTAGTTTCTTAAAGCTTAATTTCAGAATCTGAGACCATGTCAATGAATGTTTTGTACTCTGTTCCATTAAAATTCATTGGGCCATCCTTCCCAATGTGGGCAGGCATCATACAATTCACTGAGGGCCTGAACAGAACAGAAAGGCAGAGGGAGAGTTTGCTCTTTCTGCCTGCCTGCTCAGGCTGGAACAGGAACCCGCTCCTGCCCTCTAGCTCACACTTATACCACTGACCCTCCTGGCCTCAGGCCTTCAGGCTGTCAGCCTTGGACTAGAACTTCCACTGTTGGTTCTGCTGGTACTCAGGCCTTTGGACTCCAACTGGAACTACACCATCTGCTCCCCTGGGTCTTGTGCTTGGAGAAGGCAGGTCTTGGGACTTCTCAGCCTCCGTAATCATCACATGAGCCAATTCCTTTCTCTCTCTCTCTCTCTCTTCACACATACATACATACATACATACATACATACATACATACATATCTACTTCCTATATATATATCTACATATATATAGGATAATATATATCTATATAGAGAATATATATATATATATACACACATATACATATATATATAGATAGAGAGAGAGAAAGAGAGAGAGAGAGAGAGATCCTACTGGTTCTGTTTCTCTGGAGAACCTTGCCTAATATAGATTCCTTTTTTGCTCCACATATCATTTTGGAACATTACATATTGGTTATGTAGAGGATCTTTATTCACTGCGATATGCATATCTTCCAAATGTTGACATACTTCGTTATACGAAAGTTAAAAAAAAAATCACATCTGTTAATATTGCCACCAATCTCATCAGAAATGTCTTTAGGCACTGGGAACCTGTCAAGCTCATGAAAGCAAATACAAGTTTTCCAAAGTTCTAATTTTAGCTCAAAAGCTCAAATTCCATTTTTAGCAACAAATGCTGTCAGTGGTTTTCGTCCAAGTGACAGGCCCACATTATTCATTTTCAAGAAAAGATCTGCTAGATACTCAAGTGTGAATAATGTTGAGTTATATGTCAGTTGTTTTTTCAAATACAGTGCTGTTGTGGGGGTGGGATGGCTACTTGAGCTGGCAACCAAACAGTCTAACAGGTGATTTTTCCTTGGGAAAACATTGTACTTTGTGCTTTGGGCATACTGCTATTTCATCTCACAGAATGCTGAAAACTCATGCGTTCCAGGGTTGAGATGTAATCAAATTAATTTATGCTGGCTCAACAAGAATATTCTTAAGTTAAAGTGACTTTTTTTTTTTTTACTGTGAGTTTGTGGCAGTGAGGAATGCAATGACTGCTAGCAAAGCCAATGATGCTACATTGATTAGTGCCAAGGCTCCACCATGTGAAACCTCCATTGCTTTTGTACTAACAGGACAAATTGGGAAAGGCTAACAATGTCTTAGTATTACCTTGAAAACAGCTTTGACCTCACAGCAATAAGAGTTTCAACCTCACAAACCCTCTGAAAGGGTCTTGAGTATCCTCAGGGGTCAATGAATCTTACTTTGAGAACCATTGCCAAAGTAGAAACTTAAAGGGACTGAAGTCAACAGGGCAGGAGGAAGATGTATGGTGACTAAAGATAAATGATATCTCAGCAGCAAAAATTGATGCTTGGTATCTTGATGGCAAAGAAGAATAAGAAAAAAATATAGAAAGTATTCAAAAGCATAGCGACTTGGGGCTATCTTTTGCAGAAGCAAATAATCATGCACTTCAACAGCTCCAGAGAGAATCGCCAAACTTCAGCACTGCACAATAAACACAGTTCACAAAGACGACCTTGAGTCATTAAAATAAGTTTACAAAATATCACATATACTACGTTTAACAAGCCAAAGAAGGGAAAGTGTTCTCTTAGGAAGCATTCCTTAGAAAGAGCTCTGGAGCAATAATTGAAATTTTAAAAATTGCTTTGGAGTTTTATTTAGATATTTACTTGTGTGGACTAGCTCATTTCATATGATGGATAAACAAAGCATTTCATGAATTAAATGCTATCCCATGAAATTTGGTAGAATGACTTGTTCCACTTTATAGATGGGCAGTAGGGCTGAGTGAGGTTAATGATGTACCTGAGGATACTGAGTGAACCCAAGGAGAACAGAGCATGAGTCAGGTTCTGAAAAAGTGAAATAAGTATTTGGTATTTGGTCTTCCTCCCCTCTCCTGACAAACAGCTCATAAAACCCTTAGAATCTCTGCAGCTGTAAGAGTGTCCTTTGTATGCTAATGCCATGACTGGGGACTGAGGGCTCCTAGATAGCTCAGGCTGGCAGCTGGTCACCAGAAAAGCAACCAAGCATATGGAGGAAAGAGGGGCTGCAGGCTGAGTTGACCACCAATGGCCAATTATGTAATTAATCATGCCTAGGATATGAAGCCTCTATGAAATTGCAAAAGGACTGGGTTCGAGCAGGTTCTGGAAAGGGGAACACATGGAGGTTCTAAATGGTGGTGCATCCAGAAAGGTCAAGCAAGCTCCATGCTCCTTCCCCATACCTGACGCTATACATCTCTTCAATCTGACGGTTTATCTGGATCCTTGGTAATTCTCTTTGTAATACATGGGTAAACAAAAAAATGGTGTTTCTCTGATTTCTGTGAGCTGATCTGCAAATTAATTAGACCCTGGGAGCAAGTAGCAAGAACTTGGCCTTATAGCTGTGTTTTAGTCCATTCTCATACTGCTAATAAAGACATACTCGAGACTGGATAATTTATAAAAGAAAGAGGTTTAATTGACTCACAGTTCTGCAGGGCTGGGGAGGCCTCAAGAAATTTACAATCATGGCAGAAAGGGAAGGAAACATGTCCTTCTTCACATGATGGCAGGAAGGAGAAGTGCCAAGCGAAAGGGGAAAAGCCCCTTATAAAATCATCAGATCTCCTGAGAATTCACTCACTATCACGAGAACAGCATGAGGGTAACCACGCCCATGATTAAATTACCCTTCACTGGGTCCCTCCCATGACACTTAGGAATTATGGAAACTACAATTCAAGGTGACATTTGGGTGGGAACATAGAACTAAACCATATCAAGCTGTTCTGGAATAAATATAGGTGACAATGTACTACTTGCAATTTTTTGAAATGGGGGCCAGTCTTGTGAGTCTGAGCACTAAATCTGTGGGATCCAACACTATCTTCAGGTAGAGAATAGAATAGAATAAGTAGCAGTACGTGCAACTAGTGTCCACTGGAGAATTACTTGCTGGTGGGAAGAATCCCCCCACCGCACCGCCCCCGCCACACACACACTTTTTGGTGATCAGAGGTGAAGTATTCAGTGTTCTGTGTTGACTGTGTAAGAGAAGAAAAAACACTTTGTTTCTTTCCTACCATATCTCTCAGGATGTGTGCCATTTCCACACCACCTTTCCTGAGGCTGCCTGGTGGGCTTCCCTGTACCAACAACCTGTGAAATTGAAAACTTCAGCCTCTCTGAGGATTTGAGCCCCACACAGGAGATCACAGGAAAGCTGGGTGTCCAGCAACATTGACATGAACTCTGTTCATTGGTCATTCTGAGCTGGAAGCGAGTGGCATTGGAAAAGAGATGATGATTTATAATATCTGAATAATGCAGTGGTGTTTGCTTCCTGGCTAGAGTCTCCTTGGTAAGGCTCTTAGAGCAGGTTCCTCTGCCATAAGACATACAGAAATGCAAGCTCAATTACATTGCATAACCTCTCTAGAAGGGGGGAAGAATGGTCATCCAATGATGAAGACAATATTTCTTAATTCCCTGATCCATCTCTTAGATAAACATGAAATTCATGGCAGTAAAGTGAAATTCTACAGAAAGAGGGTGGCTGGTAACCGTGCCTGGATAATTAGGTTTTGCTAGAAGGCAACACTCAAGTTTGTATCTGGAAATTGCCCCTGAAGGTCAGACATGGAGAGGGACAGGGGTAGCAAGGATGAACAAATACCCAGACCTTGGGGGAAAGAGGGTCCAGAGTCCCAACAAGGCCATGACCACTCTGCACCTGCTGCTGCAATCTCTGTCCACATCAGAAGTGATAGAACTTCTCCCTTACCAATTATCCAGATTAATCAAGTTAAAAATACCCACTTATCCAATAGTGAAGCCAGAACTTTGGAAGATTTGACTTGTCTGCCTAATTGCCTCAAGTCTCTTCTCCCAACTCCTCTGTAAATACAATCTTCCAGTTTCACTTTGAAAGATCTCACTACATCAGCAATGCACATCATTTCACGTCTTTCCCTCTTCATTTTGTTCCATTCAACACCATCTCTTTTCTCAACACTATCACATACTCACTGAAACACTATTTTCTATCACTGAGCACAAAATAGTGTATTAAGGACATTGTCACACATTCAGATGAAAGGGCTGAGTTCTCAGATCTCTAAACCTAGAGTGGGCGCCTGGACAGCAATAACAAGCTTTCCAGGAAACTCTAGTGTAGTCCTCACACCAGAAGCACTTGGTGTCCTTAGGGAACTAGCTAAAAATGCAGAATCTCAGATCCCATTGCAGATGTCCTGAAGAGCATCTGTAGTTTACCAAGATTCCACGTGATTCTCACGTGCATCATCACCCTTGAGAAGCCCTGCTGTACCACACTGCAAGGATTGAGAGGAGCTGAGGGTTAGGGAATCTGGGATTAGAACATGCTTTGCCACAGTGAGGTATATCTCCTGAGCCATTTGACCTTTGAGGACATTCATCTTCTCACCTGCCAATGGAGGTGCACAGACTGCTAGATAAATAGTCCCCAAACTTTGCTGGTCAGTCATCTGTGGCATTTAAGTAGCTTTCTAAAAATACATATTATTGGGCCCCTCCCCTGGGAATTATGGCTCCATAGTGTCTGAAATGCTGATAGGTTTGACTATTGCTAGTCTAGCTACTGTGCATATTTCTGAAATTCAAAGAGACCTAGGTTCAAACACAGCTCAGACACAGTACAGCCATGTAGTCTTGGGCAAGTAATTAACTGCTTTGAGACTCAGTTTCTTCATCCTGTAAATGGAAATAATATTATCAACTCCCTGGAGTTTGAACTACTAAATAGTTTCTGTAATTTATGTAACTTAGCACATAAACAAAATACATTTCATGACTTTTTCTCTTGTTTCTGTGAACTCCTGCCACCCCTCCCTTTCCTTGGCTGCCTTCCCAGCAGATGGAGAAGATTTCCCTCCAAAGGCCTCTGCAGCTGCTGCACTCCCTCTGAACTCTTCTTCCAAAAAGTGCTTGTGTCCCCATCTCCTTCATGTCTCTGTCTGGAAGTTATCACCAGGGAGGCTGTCGCAGACTGCCACATGGAATATCACAAATATTCCCCACCCCAGCCTCCTAATCTTGCCTATGTTTTTATCAGGGGACTTCACACCACGTGACATTATACTGTATATGTACTCGTGTATTTGTTTATTGTCTGACACCCACCCCATCCTACCCACCGCCTCCAGCCTGGCCACTAGAATGTAAGCTCCACGAGAGCAAGAACTATGCTTAGTTCATGGCTTAATCTCTAATGTCTGGAATATGGCCTGGTACAAAACAGCGGCTCTACAATTATTTGTTAAGTAAAAGAATGAATAAATAAAAGTTTCCATTAATCAAATATCTCTACTTTTATTAGTTATTCTTGTTTTGATGGTCCTCGCCTTAACAAACTACTTTTTATCTGGGAAAATGGGCAAATCATTGATGCTTTCTCGGGGTTTTTCAAATTAACGCCACGCAGAGTAAGCCCCTCTATTGATTAACAATAAATTAAACATATGACTTGGGATCTGCAATATTTTTTTCTTTACTTCTTTTCACACAATTAAAAAATGAGTAAACTCCCTGATAAAAGATTCAAACAATTAAGAAGTGTGTTATATGTACAAGATGTGAAAGTAGCTCCTACTCATGACTACCCTCTTCTCATTCCCTTCCCCAGAGGAAAGCATGGTTAGCAATTAATGCTACATCTTAATGTTACAGTTTCTGTGTAGTTATGCATACAGAGGTGTGTATATACATATCGATCTTTTTTATTTACCTAAATGGCAAAATATGCTTATTATTTTTTAACTTTTTCATGAAATAGACCTATTCATGTCTATATGGATCTGCCACATTCTTTTTATGGGCTACATAAAAAGATACATCATAATTTATTTAAATGCTCCCCCTTGTGACAGGCATTTAGGTTGTTTCCAGTTTCTCTCTATTAGCACATTGCCATGATCGTCCTTCTACACACATTTGGTCATAATACAAGAATTTCTAAGGAAAAGATTCTTAGAAATACTCATTAAAATGTAGTGAAGGCTACCCAATTGGTCTACACTGAGCTTCCTAACTTTCACTCTCCGCTAGGGTACCTGAGAATGACCCTTTCCTTATTCACAACAAAGCCACATGTTATTTATCTCCTTGAATTTTACCAATTTCATTCTGTAAAATATCTCCTTATAGTAATTTGCAATGAATTGATTTCTAGTGAAATCAATCATCCTTTTTATTTTTATTATCCACTTGTATTTTTTTACTGTATATTTCCTGTTTATTTAATCAATTTTTCGATTGGACTTTTTTTTACATTTTCTTATATTATTTTCTTAGAATTCTATGTTATTTTGTGTATAGCATCTTTTTTCTTACAGATATTATGAATATTTTCTTCCAGACTGATATGTTTCTTTTAAATTCATTTATGAATCTCTTTCACTGTAATAAGTTTTTTGACATTGCCAAATCTGTCAGCTGCTTTTATAACTTCTGCACTTTGAGTCTTAATTACAAAGTTATTCCCAAACTCACACTTATACAAATATCTTATATACTTTTTAATGCTTTTTCATTTTTATGTTTAACTCTTTTTGGAATTCACTTTGAAGTCTTCCAGATGCGTTTTAAAAATAAAACCAAGTTCTTTATTTTGCATGATTAACCTATACCTATCTTTAAAGTTGAGAAACTAAAAGGGATCATAGGCTAATTGACACGTATTCAGCTCACTGCTTCACATTCCTGTCTTTTTCATTCTTGTGAATTAGGAATCATTTGATGCAGAGCTCCACCAATGCACACCTATATAGAGAAATAAATTCTGATCTTAAGTAGGCCAACTCCCCTTCCTACCAGGGCCATCCTCCCTTTCAGACTCATGTGGAATGTCTCCTGATAGAAGACAATGGCACAGGGAGGCTCCATGGGAGCAAGTCTGAATGATTCTGTATGAGACATAAAGCTTGTTTAGGCCGCGCACGGTGGCTCACGCCTGTCATCCCAGCACTTTGGGAGGCCGAGGCGGGCGGATCACGAGGTCAGGAGATCGAGACCATGATGAAACCCCGTCTCTACTAAAAATACAAAAAAAAAAAAAAAAAATAGCCAGGTGTGGTGGCGGGCGCCTGTAGTCCCAGCTACTCAGGAGGCTGAGGCAGGAGAATGGCGTGAACCCGCGAGGCGGAGCTTGCAGTGAGCCGAGATCACGCCACTGCACTCCAGCCTGGGCGACACAGCGAGACTCCGTCTCGGAAAAAAAAAAAAAAGCTTGCTTCAATCCTGGTCAATGTTTGTTGGAACGAAAAAACAGCTTTTAAGAGAAACGCATGGAAAGAACCAGTTAATACTTTGGACTGAATCAGCAAGATAGAAACAGCTAGCCTGGGCAGTCCAAGATTTTCTTTCTTCCTTGATGTCTCTGAGCACATATAAAAGCTGGTGTAGGATGTGCCTCCAGCCGAGGAGTTGTAGGGTTTGCCTGGATATAGATAAATCTGCTCCCTAATCAGGACCCCAATAAGCATTCGGGGCTGGAGCCTCGGGTCCGTGTCATTAAAATGTGGTTGGTACACATTCATCCATTTTGGATCAGATATTGCACAAAAGAAACTGAGGCAGGTAATTTTAATTATGCATGCACTTATGTGTATTTTTATAGAGATTTATTATAATGCTGTGGCTTCAAATTTGAAAAAAGAAGGAAAGAAAAAGGCCACCTAATATCTTTTCCTTTGTGGAGGGAGAGGGGTTTCCACAGAACAACAAAAAGGAACAGATAAGACCATTCTAGGCTGAGAAGTGTAAAACTAAAGGATAATAAAATCGAGCTGATGCAGTTTAAAGACTCCTCATTACCTGGCCTGAGATACGGCACCCATTGTTGCTAGTGGCTGGAGATTATTTCTCAGCCTGCTGCAGGCTGATAACAGACTCGTCCACTGGCCTGAAGGCTCATTGTTCTGCAGGCAGGAATGACGCCTTGGACAGAAGCCGAGTCCCTGTGCAGCCCTGCTCCTCTAGCCTTCCGTCTCCCTTCAGTGGGATTACAAAGGAAAGCAAGAGTTCCCGTCACCTGAGAGGTGCTCTGGGACTTTTTCAATCCTCCCTCCTCACACTCCAGTTACCTAATTTGGGTCAGGTAGTTCTGAAAATAAAATGCTGAAGTTTTCTTTTCCTGCAGAACAATGTCACATTAGTCAACTTAAAAAGACTGCTCACAGCACAAATTGTCTGTACAACTCATTTTGCCCCTTAATTATATTCCACCTTGTTTTATTATTTAAAGGCATCATGTGAGTTAAGTGTTTATAGATGTTTAAAATGTAAGAGTTGGAAGTGGATCTGGAGATGCAGTTTAATGCTGTCATTTAAAAGGCTGGCACACCAACGCCCAGATGCCATGAGGGTATGCTCACTGGAGAATACTGAGTGCGGAAATGAACTTTCTCCTCCCTCTCCCCAAGGCAGCACTGTGAGAAAGGGGTTTCTGGGTCAGAAGGAAAGGGAGCCTCACATGTTACTACAAGAATTGTGGAGATCACAGCCTCTCACAAATCTTAGTGATAATGGTCTATGAAACCAAATGAGAATCAAAGATTCTGAATTCAAAGTTCAGAGTCTTCCAGCCACTATTCAAGCTGCATTCAAAAGCCAGGAGAGCTGACAACTCCAGGGCAAAGTGTTTGGTGTCACGGTGAACAGCAAGGTTGAATAGATGCGTTCAAGGAGGCTGTTGACATCCCTCTAGCTTCTGATCTCCACGCTGACAAACCTACAGTGTGTCCCTAATCTTGTGACCTACAGGTTGAAAGGAAGGCGTACTCCTTCATTTGGACAAAGCTAATCTTCCTATCTGGGCTTCCAACCCAGCCTCCCTCTCTTTCTGCTTAGCCTTTACTCATGCTTCAGCTCTTGTTGATCTCTAAACTGCTCACTCTCCTCTGGCTCTTTTTCTTCAACCTATGTGAATGGCCAGTGCTTTCCTATCATTAGAAACAACTCCTTACATTGTAAATGCCCCTGTAGCCAAAGTACACCTCTCCTTCCCTCTGCAGGCAAACTAATTATAAAAGCATGCACACTTTCTATCCATACCCCCATCCTTTCTCAAGATACCTATCAGTGGAAATTCAATCCTGAACAACTAGTGCCTTTTTGCATAAAATGTTAGTTGTTTTCATTTTTCATAGAGTTGTATGGATTGTAGAGGTTTGTGATCTGCACTCGTTATGTTGCTTTTTAAAACGATTTCTAAAAATCTTGTTACAGTAATACCTAACACTTGTAATTGTTATACTGCAGCTACAAAAATAATTATTTAAATCAATGTTAAAAATCTTTAGCCTTTTTTAAAAAAATTGATTCTTTCAGAAAACATCCCAAGTATTCCAAATGAGTATTGATTGAGGTAGTTTCAGGTTAATGTATCTGCCAAAACATTACTTTATTGTTCTAAACAAGTAATTAAGAGAGCATTTTAGATTACATAACGCTCTGTGAGGACTTTAAGGTAAAGCAGCTCTACCTCTTTCTGGAAGCTCATTTTAGGGAAAAGTCTCAAACTAAATTAGGTCATTTATGGTAAACGCTGGTGGATCTCAAAACTACATATACCTCCCAGAACTCTCCTGCACTCTAAAATCATGGATCTCATCCATACTGATCCAATCACACCCAGATATCCCACAGGCACTCCACACTCAACATGTCTAGAATTATGCTCATTGCCTCACCTCCAATTATCTTGCCTTCTGTATGTTATTGAAAGTAACCACTACCCAAACCAGTTAGTAAGAGCTCTAGAAATATTCTTGGACAACTGCTTTTGTCTTTTCTGAATTTTATTCATTAGACAAATGTGTTGAACACCTTCTCTGTTCTGAGCTGTTTTAAGTGCCAAGAATTCATCAATCAATAAAAGATGTAAGATACATGTCCTTATGAAATTTATAGTCTAGTGAGGGAGTTGGAAGCAAAAAGAAAATAAGAGGGAAAAGATAGGAAAATAAAAACAAAATCACAATTTAAAAGTGAAACAAGGTGATGCTTTAGAGAATAACTGGGTGCGACATGGAGAGAATTTTCGTGAGACTAGAGCAGAGCAAGCACAGGGCAGGGCTCACACATGTGTGGGTGTGAGAGAGTGTATGTGAGTCTGGGGTGTGTTTGTGTGTGGGGGTGCGTGTGTATGTGTGTATGTGTGTGTGAATGTATGTGTGTGTGTGGTGCCTGTGTGCCTGTGTGTGTGTGGTGACTGTGTGTGTATGTATGTGTGTGTATGTGTGTGGGGTGTGTGTGTATGTATGTGTGTGGGGTGTGTGTGTGTATCTGTGTGTGTGTATATGTGTATGGATGTATGTGTATGTGTATAGGCATGTGTGTATGTGTGTGGGGTGTGTGTGTATGTGTGTGGGGGTGTATGTGTGTGGGGGTGTATGTGTGTGTATATGTGTGGGGGTGTATGTGTGTGTATGTGTGGAGGGGAGTGAGTGTGTGTGTATGTGTGTGTATGTGTGGAGGGGTGTGAGTGTGTGTGTATGTGTGGAGGGGTGTGTGTGTGGAGGGGTGTGTGTGTGTTTGTGTGGTGTGTGTATGTGTGTGGGGGGCTGTATGTGTGTGTATGTATGTGTGGGGGTGTGTATGTGTGGGAGGTGTGTGTGTGTAGGTATGTGTCTGTATATGTGTGTATGTGTGTGGGGGGAGTGTGTGAGTGTGTGTGTACGTGTATGTGTGTTTGTGGTGGGGGATGGTAGTGGTCATAAGAAGAAGCCAAACAGGTAGTTTAAGGCCCAGTCCTGCAAGAGATGTTTGAATTTCATGCAAAGTGCTCTCAGACAACATTTCAGGATTTTGACCTTGCAAGTGATGTGACATGATCTGACTTTGTTTTTAAAAGATGACTACTGAATAGAGAACACATTGTTGCAGAAGGGATGCAAAAATGGAAGCATGGAGGGTGCAGAGGGCATGTTTGTAGTTAAGGCAGGAAGCACCAGTGGCTAGGATGTTGGCAACAGTACAGGAGAGGGAGAGACAAGGAAAGATTTGGGATGAGTTCTGGGGGTAAGGACCCCAGGGCTTCCTACTAGATCAGCTATTCAAAATGAAGGAAGGTGAAGAATTAAGAATGACACCTAGATTTTTTTCTATGTGCTACAATGAGATGGATAGCCGTGTCAGTCACTGAGACTGAGTGAATTAGGGCAGAAACTATGTAAGGTTCACAGGAAAATGCAGGATTCTGCTTTGGACTTAAATTTGAGATATCTACTAGACACTCAATAGAGATGCCCAGTAGACAGATTTGACACGTATGTGAGCATGAACGCATGAATGTGTTTGAAGTTTGAGGAATATCAGTAGCAATAGTAAAAGCAGTAATAATAGCAGCAGTGGAAGCCACTCATGTCTGTTGAGTACCCCTTAAGTGTGATCATAGATATCATTAGCATCCTAACTACAGAAATGAGGAAACTGAGATTAAGTAAATGGCCCAAGGTCATCCAGTTACCAAGTGACAGAGCTAGGATTGAAACCCAGATTGTCTGGTTCCCATGTTCATGCTCTTAACCATTCTACTAAATATGAATTTGTGAGTCAGCATCATATCGCTGATGTGTAAAGCCAGAAGACCAGTTAGGATTATTTATTAAAAAGTAGAGACAGAAGAAAAGGCGTTCTAGGACCTGACTCTTCAATAAGCCAACACTTAGGAATTAAGAAGAAAAAGGAGAACCTCAGATAGAACTGAAAACAAGTTTCTTGGAGGCAGGAAAGAACCCATGACAATGTGAGGTCCTAGAAGTCAAGAAAAGTGGTTCGAAAAGAAGCTCATGAGCAACCGTTTCCAGTTAAATGAGCATCAAAAAATGATCGATGAATTTGGTAACGCATTATTCAATACAGCCCTTGATAAAGTTTCAGCCGAGTGGTAAGTTGCTTGAGAAAAGGAAGAAAGGTGAGGCCAAAAAACACAGCTGGGAGGAGGGGGTTTGATGGCAGGTGAGGCACTTTGTCTACATGGCAGGGGATGGCTGTGGATGGTGGGGCACAGCCTTCTAGTCATCTGCTCTTCAGGTACTGCTCCTGTTCTCCTCTTGACTCAGTTATCTATTAATTATCTATTGCTGCATACCCCAGGCTTAGTAGTTTAAAACAACAGTAATCATTTGTTGTCTCTCATGGTGTCTGTGGGTCAGGGATTTGGAATGCCTTGGTTGACTGTTTCTGTCTCAGTGTTATAAGGTTGTGGCCAAATGCCAGCTGGGGCTGCA
Organism: Homo sapiens; assembly: GCF_000001405.40. NCBI lineage: Eukaryota > Metazoa > Chordata > Mammalia > Primates > Hominidae > Homo > Homo sapiens. The sequence goes on from NC_000011.10 coordinate 132,471,507, forward strand.
ACCATCAGAAAGTTTGCTTGGGGCTGGAGGACCTGATTCAAGTTGGCTCACTCTCGCAACTGGAAATTGGTTCCTCCATCTGTGGGTGTCTCCAGAGGGCTGCCTAATTATCCTCACAACAAAAGACCAAGACAGAAGCTGCAACGCTGTAAATGAACTAGTGTCAGAGGAAATGACACAAGGCCATGCATTCCAGGAGTTGAGAATCATTCATGACCATCTTGGAGGCTGTCAACCACACCCACTCTTTATTGAGCAACTCCTAATTTTATTAAGGATAGCCACGGACCTAGCTAAATACACTCAACAATCTAGGCTCTCTTGTAGCTCAAGAGCCCATCCCATTCAATGAGAACTCCAGCCCACATTGAAAGCAGGCTCAGCTGACATGTGCCTCTTTTCCATTTGCCTTCACTTTCCCTCACCCTCTTTTCCTTGTCTGAAACACAGACACGGTGGAGGAGTAGCAGCAGGCCTACATCATGAAGGCAAAACTCATTTGCTAAAGATGGTTCTGGAAGGCCCTCCCTTTTCCTGGTGAACAAATATTCCACATTCAACACTCAGCTTGGGGGTGCTTCTTCAGTCGTCTTCCTGACAAATATGTAATAACCAACATACATACATGTCACATAAAGGGAATATCCCTACCTTTTTAAATACTTCTCTGCACTTGGTGAAAGTCATTGCAACATGTGTTTTTGTTTGGAGTTCTAGCTTCCATTATTAGACTCTAAGACCTTTGAAGGCAAAGACAGTATCTCATTTGTCTCTGTATCACCAGAGCCTAGCACATAGTAAGCACTCCACAAAAATCTGCTAAATGTGCAAATGGTTCTAGTTTGTGTCTATTCAGGAGAGAGCCGAGGGTTAACACAATCCATTTCTGGCAGGCTTATCCATCCCTGTAAAAGCCTACGGAAGGCTCATTATGAAGGACAATGTTCTGTAATGAAGTCTTCTTGCATATCTTTGGTAATAATCATCATAGAGGGAGAAAATGAGCATCTCTCTGTAATATTTATATTTCCTAGCAGCAAAGACATTCTCTTCTGTAATTCTGCCTGTAAAAGCAGCAAGGAAGCCAAGAATATACAAGTTCTCCATGGTAACTGGGTCACAGTAGCTTGCAGCTTGGCCAGGGCTTCAGATAAATGGAATAAATGGAGGTGAGCTTCCAGCAGCAGGAACTGTGTGGGAGAGTGGAGCTTGCACTGAACAATCTCTCCCCACTGGGACCCACAGTCCCCAGCACAAGTGCTCTGTGCATCGTCACTGCAGGGGGCAGTGGAAGCATGGCCTGATGGCATTTGTATCTTTCTCACTACCTCACAGTGCTGCGCTGACATCTCAGTTTCATCAAATCAACAGGCCACTTTTTAAAAATGCCTCGTATGCTCTGAATGTTAACCCAAGAAGGAGATTTTACCCCAAACCACCAGGGGATTCTTTCTATGTATCCTTAGGCTCTTAGATCATTTCTCTCAACTGCAAACTAGCGAGCCAGCTCCCTTCACTAGGCTTGGAAGAGGAACCATATTAAGCATCTGGTTAGAGAGAACAGCTGTTTAATGCACGGCAATGAAAAATTCTCATTCAAATCAGTCAACTCTTCCATTAAGGACAAGGGGTGCCAAACAGCAAATGCCAAGTGAATGACCTTTGGCAAAGCCATTCCCAGGGGCAGATTCCCAGCCAATGTGCAGCTTTGTGAAAACTTGTGAAAATAAATTTGTGAATGTGTGAAAATTCATGAAAAGGAAGAAAATCAATTGAAGGACAGAAAAAGAGCCCTCGAGCTACTGTGGACACAGAAACTACCTCTTCTGGATGCTACTCCCTTATGGGGAAAGACCCAATCTGTAAGTGAGGCAGCCCTACCAATTCCACAAATATGAAAGAGTGATCACTAAGGAAACCTAACTAGGTCAAGGATCCATTTCCCTCCCTATTGGTGCAGGGCATGAAATAATGAAACTGACAAGGAGACTGCATTTTTCAGAGTAGGTGCTTCTCCACTATCACTGGAGCCAAAATTCATAATTGCAGTAGCTCATGCCTATAATCTCAGCACTTTGGGAGGCCGAGGTGGGAAAATCACTTAAGCCTGGGAGTTCGAGACCAGCCTGTGCAACATGGCTGGATTCTGTCTCTACAAAAAATTTTTAAAATAGTAGGGCATAGTGGTGTGCACCTGTGGTCCCAGCTACTCAGAAGAATGAGGCTGGACAATCACTTGAGCCCAGGAGATCGAGGCTGCAGTGAGCCAAGATCATGTCACTGCACTCCAGCCTTGGTGACAGAGTGAAACTCTGTCACACAAAAAAATCATAATCCATAACTACGTAAAGGAATGGCTTTACATAAGGCCCAAAAGTCATGGCACAGATGAAAATCCAAACAGAACACTGTATTTGTAGAGAAATTAACAGCACTCTCTACAATCTAAGGCCAATTACCTGCAGGAGCCATCAGTGAACTTGCCAGGCCTCAGGTATGTAGCTGAGCCATCCCTGGAACACGTAGCAGGAAGGATGGGAGAGATGAAGGACTTCAGCTGATGGAGAGGAGCCTGCTCGGGCCTGTGGGAGGGGACGACTGGCCTACATTTACCAGCAGACAGACCCAACATGCAGCAGCAATCATATTCATAAAATCATAATCACAGAGTCAGAAACATTAGTGATAGAGAGAGATGGATTGGGTCAGGTAGCCTGCCTCCTGCCTTTGTAGCTTTGCTCCCCAGGTCAATTCCTTGGCCCAGTTTTTACCCTGTTTATAATTTGCAAGGAGAAGCTACCAGAACAGAATGCTTTCTGGAATCTGTTGTCAAGGAGAGAGTAAATTAAGAGGAATTGGACCTCTTCACATAGGAGCGAAAAGAGCCCAGGGGATATGGAAAAGCAGGAAGATGAAACAATAGGCATTTCTCAGTGACCCTGTGGCCTGTCCTCTTCAGTCCTTGCTGGCCCCAGATGTGATAGGTAGCAAAGACATGCACCCTTTGCATCTGCCCAGCTCAGCCTCACATTCTCCCTTATCAAGATTGAATGTGTTCTCAGAATCTCAGGCCTCACTATTTGGAGGAACCAGAAATTTTTCTGCAGTGGCCCCCAAATGGCTGGCCACTGCGGAAAACTTCTAGCCTCCCTTCCTGAACAGATTGTTGCTATCCATCATTCATATAGCTGGTCTTCTGTCTCAGTTCCCTGTTTATGCTCCTGTCCTCACCAGGGTGGAGCACCACCCTGAACCAGCATATGTTATTGGAACCAGGACACATATCTGGTTCCTGTGGGCCTGTCTTCCAAAGTCGTGGATTGCAGTCACTATGGTGTAAAACGCCTAGTCATACCTGGCACCTCAACTGTGTGGCCACCTGATGAAAGGCATAATCCCCTGGTCACAAAATAACTGTCCCCCTTGGGTTCTAGCACCCTCTTTCTTAGCCACAGCTGCCATGTTCTCTCCATTACCATTACTGGAAATACTGCTCCCACCTGCCATACTGCTAGTTATTTCACCAGCCCTAGGTTTCTGTGCTTTCTTCTTCCCTTCTCTCCACCAGCCCTGAGGTCCCTGCCTGAGTCACAACAGATTCCACTGGAGAGAAGCAAAGGTTGGGTTTTGGAGAGTTCTTTATGAAAGCCCTCCAAATACATAAGCCCCCACTAAGACCTATGAAGGCCTGAGGGCTGGCCTAAATCTCCAGTTATTAGATAGGCTTGCTTCTCCTCTTCTCCTATTGCATTTTTCTTAAGTGAGTCAGTGAGTGTACAGAAACAAAGGAGTTATTCGGAGCGATTTTAAAATGTGTGCTATACATGGAACTCTGAAGAGCTGCTTCAAGAAATTCATTAACCTCTTGCTATGGGCTGAACTGTAACTGTGCCCCACCCCCATTCTAACCTCCAGCATCTCAGAATATGACTGTTTGGAGACAGGGTCTTTAAGGGGGTGATTAAGTTACAATGAGGCCATTAGGGTGGGCCAAATCCAATCTGACTGATGTCCTTATTAGATGAGATTAGGACACACAAAGAGACACCAGAGATGCAGGAGCACAGAGAAAAGAACATGTGAAGAGGCTGCAAGAGGGCAGCCATCTGCAAGTTAAAGAGATATCTCAAAGAAAACCAGGCCTGCATGCGCCTTGCACTTGAACTTCCAGCCTCCAGAAACGTGAAAAAAAAAAATATTTCTGTTGTTTAAGCTACCCATTATGTAATATTTTCTTATGACAGCCTGCCCAAACTAATAATACACCTCCTTTCAGCACAGAAAACTCATGTAACATGCAGTATTTTGCCAAACATTGTATGGCTATTGAATTCAAATGTACGTTACATATGAACAGGTATATATACAGATATTTCATCTGTATACATTTATGATAGAGTGACACACAGACAAATCCATCTGTGTGACCCTGTGCAAGTAACCTAACCTCTTTTCGCCCCAGTTTTCTCATCTGTGAAATGGAGATGCTAAGAGTATCTACCTCAAATGGTTATTGTGAAGATGTGTAGAATCCTTAAAAGTACTTGACGCTATCAGCACTATGTAAGATACATATACACACTCTCATGTTTTTAGCATGTACACTATATTTACATGCAAATTTCAAATCAAAGAGCCATACTCTTGAAGTTCAAAAAATCTTAGAAATCATATAGCTTTTCTCAGCATTAAGCCACCTTTAAAAAAGTGCTACTTCCCTTTTACACTGTTGGTGGGACTGTAAACTAGTTCAACCACTGTGGAAGTCAGTGTGGCGATTCCTCAGGGATCTAGAACTAGAAATACCATTTGACCCAGCCATCCCATTACTGGGTATATACCCAAAGGACTATAAATCATGCTGCTATAAAGACACATGCACACGTATGTTTATTGCGGCACTATTCACAATAGCAAAGACTTGGAACCAACCCAAATGTCCAACAATGATAGACTGGATTAAGAAAATGTGGCACATATATACCATGGAATACTATGCGGCCATAAAAAAGGATGAGTTCATGTCCTTTGTAGGGACATGGATGAAGCTGGAAACCATCATTCTCAGCAAACTATCACAAGGACAAAAACCCAAACACCGCATGTTCTCACTCATAGGTGGGAATTGAACAATGAGAACTCATGGACACAGGAATGAGAACATCACACACAGGGGACTGTTTTGGGGTGGAGGGAGCAGGGATGGATAGCATTACGAGATATACCAAATGCTAAATGACGAGTTAATGGGTGCAGCACACCAACATGGCACATGTATACATATGTAACAAACCTGCATGTTGTGCACATGTACCCTAAAATTTAAAGTATAATAATAAAAAAATTAAAAAAAATTAAAAAAAGTGTTACTTCCATGAATCCCATTGTTTGAAATATTTTATCTACTAAACAAATTGCATTTGTTTTCCCAATTTTTAAAATTGAATGCAAGTGTCCTTTTAATCTGAGTATCCATTATGCTGAATTAATATGATTTTTGTCAAAAATAGGTAAATTGACCACTTATCTTTGGGCTTTTATAAGATTTTTAAACACTGGCAATAATACATGGACTCTCATGTTCACCCTGTGGTTCCCAGGTTTCCCAGGTTGGAGACCACAGATAACAGAGTGCAACCCAATGATTTTCAAATGAGGACTCAGAGCCAGAGTGAGTTGCCCAAGATGGCTCTTGAAGCCAAGTCCCCATACACCCATCTCAAGCTCCCTGGCCCACAACACATTCCTGGCTGCACATTCTTTTCCCCAGTTAGCCTGTGCTGCACCAGGTAGTTCCAGAAGTACACAGGGATTAGAGCCACAGAGAATCCACTCTTCCTGCACAGTGGTACAGACGTCTCCTTTCATCTCAGACTGAGACAGGTAGTAGCACACTGGGGATGAGGACTTCAGGAAAGAGGGAAGAGGTTATCAGTCCAGCCGAACTTGGAGTGAGATGCTTCTTGGAGTGGGAAGCCTTCTGGGGCTAGGCATACCTTCTGTGTTGGAAGCAACTGTCATTCTGGAAAGCTTGGAACAGTCAAGATATGGCTAAGAGAAGAGGGCAAAGCTGTCCCTGTTTTTAAATGTAAGATTGAGAGAGGAGAGCACTCTTAACCTCCAACATGAGGAATGGAGGCAAAGTTCAAGACAGAAGCAAATTCATCGGGAATGAACATATGTTTTTCTGGAGTGTGTGCTGTGTTTTTATTCTCAGGTGCTGTGTATTGTAGGTGTAATGCCCAAAGACAGGGAACATAGACTGATGTATTAAGGTAATCATTGACTTTAGGAAAGAGTATTACCTGTCTACTTATTTTTTATTTTCATTATAAAATCTCTTGGGGTGCATAGAGTAATTTACTTGTAAAGATTTTGATTTACAGATGAAGACCCTTTGAAAACATATCTAAAAGGGAAATACTTTATCAAATGTATGCATATATTTCTGAGATAATAGCAAATAGAATTGCTTATTCATTTTTAAATATATGGAGGGTTTTCAAGTAAAATAATGGAAGGTATTTAAAGTTGAAGACAATTAGCAAGTTAGAAATTCAGCAAGTTTGCAGAATATACTCACATGTAAAGTAAAAGATTAACTATGCTAAAATGAAGGTCAAGGCATGTGAAATGATATAATACAGTATATAATAAATTTGGCTGTATTCAAATAGACTTAGAATCAAATACCAATTGTTCTAAGTTTAAACTGTGTTCTTCCATAATTTACATACATTTTCTAAATCTCAATTTTTCAAGCTTAAAATAGGTTAAAATACCATTTCTAACTATAAGATAGGGAATGATTCAATGAAACAGTGCAAAGGAAAGTACAGAGAATAGAGTGGCTGGCACACAGTAGGTGCTTAATAAGTGCAGTGTATGATGATGGTGAGGAAGAGGAAGATGAGAAAGATGAAGAACAGGAAGACAAGTGAAGAGACAGATAACGGGATACACAACACATCCTTAACATGAGCCCCCCAAAGAGTCATTCACATCAAAGATCTTCTTGTTCTAAGCAAAAATCTAACAGCAACATTGGGGGAATAAAGTCCTTAAAAATAGAAAACAAAAATACAGATGTTCTAAACTCAACAGTGAACATGGTGAGTGAATCCTTTCCACTTACCATTTAATGACTTGTTAAATAATAGTTGATAACTGTTGTCTTTATCATCAAGATAATACTGCTTGAGCCTAGTAAAGTTCTTAAGTTTGTTTGTGGTCATTCTTTGGCTTCTAAGATTAACTGGTTTTGATTTACAGTTGCGCTTATTACCCATGGTTGCTTCAAGAGGCTGAAGAAAGGCTGCATCCACCAGTGAAGAAGCAAAACGTATGCTGAGACCAAGAGAATATAATTTGGGTTAAATATAAAAGTCAGTGATTATCCTAATTGAAAAATAAAGGACTACTCATCAGCTGAACATGTATCAAATGTTCAGGCATTTTTTTTTCACAAGGAGATAGAGCACATCAAAACAAAATGCACAGAATTAGTTCTTAATAGGGAGAGGAGCCAAGATGGCCGAATAGGAACAGCCCTGGTCTACAGCTCCCAGCCTGAGTGACGCAGAAGACGGGTGATTTCTGCATTTCCATCTGAGGTAACGGGTTCATCACACAAGGGAGTGCCAGACAGTGGGCTCAGGTCAGTGGGTGCATGAGCCAAAAAAGGGCGAGGCATTGCCTCACTCAGGAAGTGCAAGGGGTCAGGGAGTTCCCTTTCCTAGTCAAAGAAAGGGGTGACAGACGGCACCTGGAAAATCGGGTCACTCCCACCCAAATACTGCGCTTTTCCGACGGGCTTAAAAAACGGATCACCAGGATATTATATCCCACACGTGGCTCGGAGGGTCCTATGCCCACGGAATCTCGCTGATTGCTAGCACAGCAGTCTGAGCTCAAACTGCAAGGCAGCAGCGAGGCTGGGGAAGGGGCGCCCACCATTGCCCAGGCTTGCTTAGGTAAACAAAGCAGCCAGAAAGCTCGAACTGGGTGGAGCCCACCACAGCTCAAGGAGGCCTGCCTGCCTCTGTAGGCTCCACCTCTGGGGGCAGGGCACAGACAAACAAAAAGACAGCAGTAACCTCTGCAGACTTAAATGTCCCTGTCTGACAGCTTTGAAGAGAGCAGTGGTTCTCCCAGTACGCAGCTGGAGATCTGAGAACAGGCAGACTGCCTCCTCAAGTGGGTCCCTGACCCCTGACCCCCAAGCAGCCTAACTGGGAGGCACCCCCCAGCAGGGGCAGACTGACACCTCACAGGGCCGGGTACTCCAACAGACCTGCAGCTGAGGGTCCTGTTAGAAGGAAAACTAACAAACAGAAAGGACATCCGCACAAAAAACCCATCTGTACATCACCATCATCAAAGACCAAAAGCAGATAAAACACAAAGATGGGGAAAAAAACAGCGGAAAAACTGGAAACTCTAAAAAGCAGAGCGCCTCTCCTCCTCCAAAGGAACGCAGTCCCTCACCAGCAATGGAACAAAGCTGGACGGAGAATGACTTTGACGAGCTGAGAGAAGAAGGCTTCAGACGATCAAATTACTCTGAGCTACAGGAGGACATTCAAACCAAAGGCAAAGAAGTTGAAAACTTTGAAAAAAATTTAGAAGAATGTATAACTAGAATAACCAATACAGAGAAGTGCTTAAAGGAGCTGATGGAGCTGAAAACCAAGGCTTGAGAACTACATGAAGAATGCAGAAGCCTCAGGAGCCGATGCAATCAACTGGTAGAAAGGATATCAGTGATGGAAGATGAAATGAATGAAATGAAGCAAGAAGGGAAGTTTAGAGAAAAAAGAATAAAAAGAAACGAGTAAAGCCTTGAAGAAATATGGGACTATGTGAAAAGACCAAATCTACGTCTGATTGGTGTACCTGAAAGTGATGGGGAGAATGGAACCAAGTTGGAAAACACTATGCAGGATATTCTCCAGGAGAACTTCCCCAATCTAGCAAGGCAGGCCAACATTCAGATTCAGGAAATACAGAGAACACCACAAAGATACTCCTTGAGAAGAGCAACTCCAAGACACATAATTGTCAGATTCACCAAAGTTGAAATGGAGGAAAAAATGTTAAGGGCAGCCAGAGAGAAAGGTCGGGTTACCCTCAAAGGGAAGCCCATCAGACTAACAGCGGATCTCTTGGCAATAACTCTACAAGCCAGAAGAGAGTGGGGACCAATATTCAACATTCTTAAAGAAAAGAATTTTCAACCCAGAATTTCATATCCAGCCAAACTAAGCTTCATAAGTGAAGGACAAATAAAATACTTTACAGAGAAGCAAATGCTGAGAGATTTTGTCACCACCAGCCCTGCCCTAAAAGAGCTCCTGAATGAAGCGCTAAACATGGAAAGGAACAACCGCTACCAGCCACTGCAAAATCATGCCAAAATGTAAAGACCATCGAGACTAGGAAGAAACTGCATGAAATAATGAGCAAAATAACCAGCTAACATCATAACGACAGGATCAAATTCACAATTTGATATTAATTATTAACTTTAAATATTAACTTTAAATGTAAATGTTACATTTAAACAATATTAACTTTAAATGTAAATGGACTAAATGCTCCAATTAAAAGACACAAACTGACAAATTGGATAAAGAGTCAAGACCCATCAGTGTGCTGTATTCAGGAAACCTATCTCATGTGCAGAGACACACATAGGCTCAAAATAAAGGGATGGAGGAAGATCTACCAAGCAAATGGAAAACAAAGGCAGGGGTTGCAATCCTAGTCTCTGATAAAACAGACTTTAAACCAACAAAGATCAAAAGAGACAAAGAAGGCCATTACATAATGATAAAGGGATCAATTCAACAAGAAGAGCTAACTATCCTAAATATATATGCACCCAATACAGGAGCACCCAGATTCATAAAGCAAGTCCTGAGTGACCTACAAAGAGACTTAGACTCCCACACATTAATAATGGGAGACTTTAACACCCCACTGTCAACATTAGACAGATGAACGAGACAGAAAGTCAACAAGGATACCCAGGAATTGAACTCAGCTCTGCACCAAGTGGACCTAATAGACATCTACAGAACTCTCCACCCCAAATCAACAGAATATACATTTTTTTCAGCACCACACCACACCTATTCCAAAGTTGACCACATAGTTGGAAGTAAAGCTCTCCTCAGCAAATGTAAAAGAACAGAAATTATAACAAACTATCTCTCAGACCACAGTGCAATCAAACTAGAACTCAGGATTAAGAATCTCACTCAAAACCACTCAACTACATGGAAACTGAACAACCCGCTCCTGAATGACTACTGGGTACATAACGAAATGAAGGCAGAAATAAAGATGTTCTTTGAAACCAACAAGAACAAAGACACAACATACCAGAATCTCTGGGACGCATTCAAAGCAGTGTGTAGAGGGAAATTTATAGCACTAAATGCCCACAAGAGAAAGCAGGAAAGATCCAAAATTGACACCCTAACATCACAATTAAAAGAACTAGAAAAGCAAGAGCAAACACATTCAAAAGCTAACAGAAGGCAAGAAATAACTAAAATCAGAGCAGAACTGAAGGAAATAGAGACACAAAAAACCCTTCAAAAAATTAATGAATCCAGGAGCTGGTTTTTTGAAAGGATCAACAAAATTGATAGACTGCTAGCAAGACTAATAAAGAAAAAAAGAGAGAAGAATCAAATAGACGCAATAAAAAATGATAAAGGGGATATCACCACCTATCCCACAGAAATACAAACTACCATCAGAGAATACTACAAACACCTCTATGCAAATAAACTAGAAAATCTAGAAGAAATGGATAAATTCCTTGACACATACACTCTCCCAAGACTAAACCAGGAAGAAGTTGAATCTCAGAATAGACCAATAACAGGATCTGAAATTGTGGCAATAATCAATAGCTTACCAACCAAAAAGAGTCCAGGACCAGATGGATTCACAGCCGAATTCTACCAGAGATACAAGGAGGAACTGGTACCATTCCTTCTGAAATTATTCTAATCAATAGAAAAAGAGGGAATCATCCCTAACTCATTTTATGAGTCCAGCATCATTCTGATACCAAAGCTGGGCAGAGACACAACCAAAAAAGAGAATTTTAGACCAATATCCTTGATGAACATTGATGCAAAATCCTCAATAAAATACTGGCACACCGAATCCAGCAGCACATCAAAAAGCTTATCCACCATGATGAAGTGGGCTTCATCCCTGGGATGCAAGGCTGGTTCAATATACACAAATCAATAAATGTAATCCAGCATATAAACAGAGCCAAAGACAAAAACCACATGATTATCTCAATAGATGCAGAAAAGGCCTTTGACAAAATTCAACAACCTTTCATGCTAAAAACTCTCAATAAATTAGGTATTGATGGGACATATTTCAAAATAATAAGAGCTATCTATGACAAACCCACAGCCAATATCATACTGAATGGGCAAAAACTGGAAGCATTCCCTTTGAAAACTGGCACAAGACAGGGATGCCCTCTCTCACCACTCCTATTCAACATAGTGTTGGAAGTTCTGGCCAGGGCAATCAGGCAGGAGAAGGAAATAAAGGGTATTCAATTAGGAAAAGAGGAAGTCAAATTGTCCCTGTTTGCAGATGACATGACTGTATATCTAGAAAACCCCATTGTCTCAGCCCAAAATCTCCTTAAGCTGATAAGCAACTTCAGCAAAGTCTCAGGGTACAAAATCAATGTGCAAAAATCACAAGCATTCCTATACACCAACAACAGACAAACAGCCAAATCATGAGTGAACTCCCATTCACAATTGCTTGAAAGAGAATAAAATACCTAGGAATCCAATTTACAAGGGATGTGAAGGACCTCTTCAAGGAGAACTACAAACCACTGCTCAATGAAATCAAAGAGGATACAAACAAATGGAAGAACATTCCATGCTCGTGGGTAGGAAGAATCAATATCATGAAAATGGCCATACTGCCCAAGGTAATTTACAGATTCAATGCCGTCCCCATCAAGCTACCAATGCCTTTCTTCACAGAATTGGAAAAAACTACTTTAAAGTTCATATGGAACCAAAAAAGAGCCCGCATCGCCAAGTCAGTCCTAAGCCAAAAGAACAAAGCTGGAGGCATCACATTACCTGACTTCAAACTATACTACAAGGCTACAGTAACCAAAACAGCATGGTACTGGTACCAAAACAGAGATATAGATCAATGGAACAGAACAGAGCCCTCAGAAATAATGCCACATATCTACAACTATCTGATCTTTGACAAACCTGACAAAAACAAGCAATGGGGAAAGGATTCCCTATTTAATAAATGGTGCTGGGAAAACTGGCTAGCCATATGTAGAAAGCTGAAACTGGATCCCTTCCTTACACCTTATACAAAAATCAATTCAAGATGGATTAAAGACTTAAATGTTAGACCTAAAACCATAAAAACCCTAAAAGAAAACCTAGGCTTTACCGTTCAGGACATAGGCATGGGCAAGGACTTCATGTCTAAAACACCAAAAGCAATGGCAACAAAAGCCAAAATTGACAAATGGGACCTAATTAAACTAAAGAGCTTCTGCACAGCAAAAGAAACTACCTTCAGAGTGAACAGGCAACCTACAGAATGGGAGGAAATTTTTGCAACCTACTCATCTGACAAAGGGCTAATATCCAGAATCTACAATGAACTCCAACAAATTTACAAGAAAAAAACACACAACTCCATCAAAAAGTGGGCAAAGGACATGAACAGACACTTCTCAAAAGAAGACATTTATGCAGCCAAAAAACACATGAAAAAATGCTCACCATCACTGGCCATCAGATAAATGCAAATCAAAACCACAATGAGATACCATCTCACACCAGTTAGAATGGCAATCATTAAAAAGTCAGGAAACAACAGGTGCTGGAGAGCTTGTGGAGAAATAGGAACACTTTTACACTGTTGGTGGGACTGTAAACTAGTTCAACCACTGTGGAAGTCAGTGTGGCAATTCCTCAGGGATCTAGAACTAGCAATACCATTTGACCCAGCCATCCCATTACTGGGTATATACCCAAAGGACTATAAATCATGCTGCTATAAAGACACATGCACACCTATGTTTATTGCGGCATTATTCACAATAGCAAAGACTTGGAACCAAGCCAAATGTCCAACAACGATAGACTGGATTAAGAAAATGTGGCACATATACACCATGGAATACTATGCAGCCATAAAAAATGATGAGTTCATGTCCTTTGTAGGGACATGGATGAAACTGGAAATCATCATTCTCAGTAAACTATCGCAAGAACAAAAAACCAAACGCTGCATATTCTCACTCATAGGTGGGAATTGAACAATGAGAACACATGGACACAGGAAGGGGAACATCACACTCTGGGGCCTGTTGTGGGGTGCGAGGAGGGCAGAGGGATAGCATTGGGAGATATACCTAATGCTAGATGACGAGTTAGTGGGTGCAGCACACCAGCATGGCACATGTATACATATGTAACTAACCTGCACATTGTGCACATGTACCCTAAAACTTAAAGTATAATAATAAAAAAATAATAATAATAAAATAAAATAAAAAAGAATTAGTTCTTAATATCACTGTTCGGGAGAGCTGTCCAAACTGACCTAAGAATTAGTGTCTAGGTATTAAAAATTTTCATTCCAAATGATGAAAGGGAACACTGTCCCCCGACTCATGACAAGCAAGTTACTTTGTATTGCATGCATTTACCTCATAAATAAGTGTTTATGACAGTCCAGGACTGGGGCAGGAGCTAACAGGTCTCACAGTGCTGTAGGAGAGAGGGGGTTCCAATTCACGGTTCTTTGTGTTTTTTGTTTGTTTGTTTGTTTGTTTTGAGTTATAATTTACATACAACCAAAAGCACAGACCTTAAGTGTTTAGTTTGATGTGTTTTGGCAAGCGTGAACACTCAAGTAGCTACCTCCCAGTTAAGAAATAGCATGTTTCCTTTCTCCCACAGAACTCCTTCAGGACTGGTCCAGTCAATTCCCCCACCATGTGGCTCCTGCCACCCCATGTCAAGGCAGCCACTGATCAATTTCTCCTACTATGACTTAGCGTTGACTGCTTTAGAACTTTACATTAATGGAATCATATACTATGTAATCTTTTGTGGCTGGCTTCTTTTGCTTAACCTAATTTGTTTATTTTGAAGTTTATCCATGTTGTATATAAAACTGCGTATTTTCTTTTTATTGCTGAGTAATATTCCATGGATGAATACAGCATCATTTGTGTACCCAATCTTCCAATGGTAGTCCATGTACCCTGTTTCCCTGTATAACTATTATAAATAAAACATTCTTGTACAAATCTTTTTGTGGACAGATCCACTCATTTCTCTTAAATAAATACCTAGGAGTGGAATTGCAGTGCCACAGTATAGGTGTGTGGCTAGCCTCTGAAGAAAGTGTCAGTTTTCCAAAGTGCTCACCCTGTTTTAAACTCTCTGCAGTGATTATCAACTTACAGGAGTTCCAGTTGCCCTGCCTCTTTGTCAACACTTAGTATTGTCAGTCACATTTATTTTAGCCATTGTAGTGTGAGTCAAGGATTCCAATTGCCTTAATACTCATAAAAGCTTGGTCCTCAAATCTTTATACTGCAGTGAAAATGACTCTCCTCATGTCTCATACAATTGTGTGGGTGGCCCCAGTGCTGTGGGGATTCTGCAGAGGGTTTCCTCAACCAACTGTTGACAGCATACGTGTCACCCAGCATGAAGGAGTGATGCACCTATCTTAGGGTTAGTCATTTGTGAGCCCCACAATGGTTCTTTGATGATAGTAAGAATGTGCCACCAAGGTTTTGGTGAATTGAGAGGACAGGGAAGGGACCTGACAAATGCAATTTCTTCATTGTTAAAAAAAATGCATTTTGAACTTCAGAACAGTTTTTTTTAAACCATACTTTTATAATCTTTTTAGAAAATGATTCCCTGCTCAAATAAGTTTGGAATATTTTCCTCTCTCGGTGCTTGCTAGGCACATTGACCCATTCAAACCCCACCAAAATCCTGCAGTAAGGAACATATTTACTTTTATTTAAGCCATTGTCTCATAAATTTATTTTTCTGGGATTCCTTTTCTTTTTTAATTTTCCTTTCTTTCTTTTCTTTTTTTCTTTATTCCTTTCTTTCTTTCCTTTTTTTCTCTTTTTTTACACATCATCTATCAATATCCTTTCCTCACAACATATTTTGGGAAATGTTGGTATAAAACGGATGGCTAGCCTAAAGTCAGCATTCTTGGTTTCAATCAGTTTAGCAAAGCTTAACCAAGGAGAGCCTGTGAAACAAACATATTTTGAAGCAATTAAAATTTGGGTGGTAACTCATTCTTTTCTTATTTACAACAAGCCCACTGGAAAGAGGCCAAGAGCAATTCAATGCTTATTGCATCTCATTGCATATTATTGGTACTTAGTAAACATTAATTATTAGTGGGTAGTTGAATAAATGATAATGGTAATAAGGATCATGATAATGCTGTATTTTCAACTTTGCCATAAACCAAAACATTTGAGAAAAATCTTGAGACAGCTTGTAAAACCCAAACACAGCTGGGCTCTCTCATCTCCAGTGAGGATTTTTCACCCTGAAACAAACAACAGTTGCTACATAAAGAAAAACAGGTTGACTCGGGTCACTGAGAGACGGTTACTCAGCCCATCATGTACAATGACAAATCCACCTGTCAGAATTTTCTAAAATGTGCCCATGACGGGCAACGTCTCTTCTGTCCCTTTAGGAATTTCCAACATGTCACTGCCTCATTGCCTCCCGGGTCCTATAGGATCAAGTCCCTGCTGACCTGGGCCATCATCTGCTATAATCTCCAACATACCCATGGGCCAACCCACTTTTCTTCATTTATCTGTTCCCACAGTCATTCAACAAGCATTTATTGGGAGCAAATTGCTGATGAGGCCCTGGACTACAGTAACGGTGAGCAGCAAATGTGCCTCCTCTCTTCATGCAGCCTGCTGTTTGCTGCACGAACACCTCATTCTTGCTTTTCTCGTGATGCTTCCCTTAGTAGACTCTCCTCTCCCTTCCTCTTTGCTACTATGAATGACACTTTCCCGTTAGGACCCAGCTTGGGGTTTTCCTCCTCCAGGAAATATTCCCTGATCTTATTACCTGGCCAGATAGAGTCACAGAAATGCTTTGAGTTGGAAGATATCTCAGCAAGCTTGTAGCTGAGGACATTGAAGCTCAGGGCCATTAAGCAGTGGGCCTATGCACATCACTCACGATTGGCCATGATTCTTATCTTACTCAATCATAGTATTGCATTACTGCTTTCTAATATGCATTTTAGTTTTTCCTTCTCAATTTGATTACTTCTATGCCTTGAATATTTCTATCCATGTAGATAGGTTTAATTTACTCTATCCTCTCCTCACTGCTTACAAGATAAAATCCAAGTTTTTCTGCTGGATGTGCAGAGATCCAGTTGGCTCCAGCCTACCTTTGCAGCCACAGCTCCTGCCATGTGCCTCTTTGCATTTGATGCCTCAGCCACCCTGGGCCTCCCCAACCGCATGCCTATGCAGCTGCTTATGCTGCTCTCTGCCAGGAAAACCTGGTTCCTCTTTACCTGGAGAACACCTACCCTTCTAAGAGGCCTTGTGAAAATACAGTCTTGTGTGAAGCATTCTTTGATCACCTCCTGCCCTATAGACAAAGTAATCAAATAACTGAAATACCATACTACAGTACATGTCACTTAATGACAGGGATACTTCTGGGAAATGTGTTGAAGGCGGTGTCATTCTTGTGTGAACACCCTAGAGTGCACTTACACAAACCTAGATGGTACAGCCTACTATACACTAGGCTAGATGGCACAGCCTACTACACACTAGGCTAGATGGTATAGCCTATTGCTCCTAGGGTACAAATCTGTACTGAATACTGTAAGCAATTGGAACTGTAAAAATATAGCCTGAAAGATGAAAAGGTATACTTGTATAGGGTGCTTATCATGAATGGAGCTTGTAGGGCTGGAAGTTCCTCTGGGAGTCAGTGAGTGAGTGGTGAGTGAATGTGAAGGCCTGGGATATTACCATACTCCACACATAGGCTACACTAAATTTATTTTTGTTTAAATTTTTTCTTTAGTCATACATTAGTCTTATCTTACTCTAACAACTATTTTACTTTACCAACATAATTTTTTTAACTTTTTGACTTAGAAAATGTTTATTTTAAGTACAAAGAGGTATCATGGTTTTCATTGGGTAGATCCCTTGGATAATCCTTTCAAGGAAGATCACTTTGTCCATCTTAATGAAACCTGTATCCTTTCCATACTGATAGAAACACCAGTGGCACATAGGTCAGACCATGCTGGTTTGAGCAGAAGCGACAAGAACGAGAACCCTGTTGGAATTTTCGAGGGTGGCTCCAGGACAGCCAGCTGGTGACCAAACATGCTCTCAGGAGTGAAATGAGGTAAAAGGTCTTTTTGACTTTTTTGTAAGAATATTTAGCTCAAAACACAAACACATTATACAGCTGTACAAAAACATTTTCATTATATCCTTATTCCTTAAGCTTTTTCCAATTTTTAAAATGTATTATTATTTTATTTTTAAACTCTTTTTTTAAAAATTCAGACATAAACACACACATTAGCCTAGACCTACACAGGGTCAGGATCATCACTATCCCTGTCTTCCACCTCCACATCCCGCCCCGCTGGGAGGTCTTCAGGGGCAGTAACACACATGGAGCTGTCATCTCCTGTGATAACAATGCCTTCTTTGGGATCCCTCCTGAAGGACCTGTCTGAAGCTGTTTTACAGTTACCTTTTAAAAAATATATAAGTAAAAGGAGTATGATCTAAAATAATAGTAAAAAGTGTGGTATAGTAAATACAAAGACCAGTAACGATCGTTTATTGTCAAATATTTTCTGCTGTATGTAATTATACATGCTGGACTTTCACACAACTGGCAGTGCAAATGGTTGGGCTATACCAGTGTCACCAGGAACATATGAGTAAAGCATTGTGCTAAGACCTTAGGACAGCCGTGATGTCACTAGGCAACTGTGAGTTTTCAGCTCCTTTAGGATCCTATGGGACCACCGTTCTGTCTGTGGCCCATTATTATTATTATTATTATTTTATTATACTTTAAGTTCTGGGGTACATGTGCAGAATGTGCAGGTTTGTTACATAGGTATACATGTGACATGGTGGTTTGCTGCATCCATCCACCAATCATCTAGGTTTTAAGCCCCGCATGCATTAGGTATTTCTGCTCATGCTATTCCTCCCCTAGCCCTACACCCCCTGACAGGCCCCACTGTGTGATGTTCCCCTCCCAGTGTCCATGTGTTCTCATTGTTCAGCTCCCATTTATGAGTGAGAACATGCAGTGTTTGGTTTTCTGTTATTGTATTAGTTTGCTGAGAATGATGGTTTCCAGCTTCATCCATGTCCCTGCAAAGGACATGAACTCATCCTTTTTTACAGCTGCATAGTATTCCATGGTGTATATGTGCCACATTTTCTTTATCCAGTCTATCACTGATGGGCATTTGGGTTGGTTCCAAGTCTTTGCTATTGTGAACATTGTCTGTGGCCCATTATTGACATGAATATGCTGCTCATGACTGTGCCCTCTTCTCACCTCTCTTGTAGTTCCTTCTGCTTGCTATACTGTAATCTCTTTTGACAAGCTCAAGAGCACCTTGAAAATAGAAACTGCATCCTACTTATCAACACCTCTCCTGGAAATCACTTATTTTCCATACCCTGAAATCACTCTCCTGGTTCTCCTCCTACTTCACTGGAACTGCCATTGAGGTTTCTCTCAAAGGCGCTGCCTTTTCTCCCAATGTTTGCTTGGTGAAGAGCTCCAGGGCTCAGGCCTGGCCATCCTCTCTGGCTGCACTCACTTCTTGCTGGTATTACTGGGTGTCAGAGCCTTAAACGTGCTTTATACTCAAATGCCTTCCACGCTTCCATCTTCCGGCCTGACCTTTGCTTTGAAATGAAGAACCTCCAGCACGTTGGGAGGCCGAGGCGGGCGGATCGTGAGGTCAGGAGATCGAGACCAACCTGGCTAACACAGTGAAACCCCGTCTCTACTAAAAATACAAAAAAATTAGCCGGGTGTGGTGGCGGGCGCCTGTGGTCCCGGCTACTCGAGAGGCTGGGGCAGGAGGATGGCGTGAACCAGAGTTTGCAGTGAGCCGAGATCGTGCCACTGCACTCCAGCCTGGGTGACAGAGCGAGACTCTATCTCAAAAAAAAAGAAAAAAAAAAAAAAGAAATGAAGAACCTGTGTCTTCTCCCGTGTCTAAAGATGTTTCACGTTTGTCCTGTATATGCCAAATTCTCACTTTCCCCCTACAAACTGCCCTCTGTTTCCTTCATTTTGATAAAAGTCACTACATGTGCACAGGAACTCAGTTCAAAAGCCTCGGACTCACTTTTGAGTCCTCTCTTTCTCTCACACCCCAAATCCAATCTGTTAGCAAAGCCTGGCTTACCTTTAAGATAATTCCAGCTGCAACTCTTTCTCACCACGTGTATGCTCCCATGATGTTGAGGCCCGCACATCTCTCCCCAAGAATGACCTCAGCAACTCCTCACTGGCTTCCTGCCCTAACTTGTTCCCCTCGGTGTGCTCATCACGGGCCCTGGAGATTCATTCTTTTAAAGAGTGAGTCAGCTGATGTCCTTCTCCTGCTCCAAAAGCACTTACAGCTTCCCAACACACTAAGAATAAAATCCAAACTCCTTACAATGGCCTGGACTGCTCCATGTGCTCAGCCCTGTGGCTCTCCCTCATGCTCCAGCCCCATTGCTTATCTTCTAGGCACAGGGGTCCCCTTGCTCTTTCCCGAGAGTGCTCCTTGCTCAGACAGTGTGGATTCCCTCGGCTGGACAGCCTGCCTTCAGATACCTACTTGTTGCACGGACCACCTCATCTCAGTCAGGTCTCTGCTCAAATAACCCTTCCCCAGAGGGGCTCATGGTATATTAACTGGAATTCCACCCACTCACTCTCTTTCCCCTTCCCTTGTTTTATTTTTATTCATAGCATTAATCATTGCCTGAAACTATATTACATATTTAATTCATTCATTTATTCAACATATACATGCTAAGCCTTCGCTTTGAGCGAGGCACTGTTCTAGGGGTGGGGTCTACACCAATGGCCAAGATACACAAAGGTCCTGCTCACAAAGAGCTTACATCCTGGTGGAGGAGGGTGGATCTTCAGCAACTTGGCAAATGAAGGAATCATATGCTGGGACAGTAGGTGTTGGAAGACAAATTATGCAGTATAAAGGAAACTTGGAGATATCGTAGGAACTTGGAGATATTGTAGGTGGGGTTTGGGACATACCTAATTTTTTTTTTTTTTTTTTTTTTACTATCCAGTGAACAAAGAGAGTCTGACAGGTAAAGTGACATTTGAGTAGAGACACTGAAGTGAGTGAGAGCATGAGCCATTTGCACAGGGAGAGAAGGTCACAACCAGAGAAGGAGCAGGCAACTGGTGTGGCCAGGACATTAAGGGAGCCTGAGGCTTGACAGAGGGAATAAAGGAAGAGTATAAGAGGTGTCACCAGAAAGGTGACAATGGCCAGGACACATGGGGTTTTGAGACCCATGGTAAAGATTCTGGCCTTTACTGTGAGTGAAAAGGGAGGTCTTGGAGGGCTTGGAGCAAAAGGTGGGCATGACTGAGGGGCCCGCGAGGAGAAACAAAGGTAACAGTTAAGGGCCCTGCAAAACTGCAGGAGAGATGATAGATGCTGCACTGATGTGGTGGGGGTAGAGGTAGTGAGCTTCAGATTCTGACACAATCTGAAGGTAGAACCAGCAGGATCTGCTGATGTATGGGGTATAGGGCGCGAGAGAAAGAGTGGAATCAAGGATGACACCATTATTTTTTTACTTGAACAACTAAAAGAATGGAGTGTTGTTGTTGTCATTGTTGTTGTCGTTGTTGTTGTTGTTTTAACTGGGGGAGAATGAGGAAGAAACAGGTTGAGAAGGGGCCAGGAAATTCAGTTTGATTTGGGGCATAGTAAGCTTGAGAGGCCCAGTTTGGCTTCCTGTAGATAAATCAAGCAGGCAGTTGAATCTGTGACTCAGGAATTCAGAGGAGAGGTTTGAGCATCATCAGCAAATCAATAGCGTTTAAAAGCATGATATAGGATTTATTTATTGTCTTTCAGCCCTACCATGAGGGCAGGGGACTTTGTTTTGTGTTGTCCTATGTGTAATTTCCAGAAGAGTGCCTGGTGCACAGTAAATTGCTCAGTAAATATTTTGAATGAATGAATAAATGAACGCTTCAGTAGACAGCATCTAGCACCTGACAGGTACATTATAAATACTTGATGACTGAATGGATGATGGCCCTCCAGAGGGACTAGCACAGTACCTGGCATATAGTAGTTTCACAATAAATACTGGATGGATGATTGACACATTCAACGTGATTCAACATAGAACTAGATTGCCTGTTTCCAGGACCAGATGTGAGAACAAAGAAGCCATAAAAAGTAAATATTTCATGTCCGTCTTTTTCTGTGAGGCTAAATTGAGTGTGGTGGTGGAATCTCCAGCAAACCTTGGTGGATAGGAAGTTGGACCTGCTGGTAACTACACTTTTGCTGTAGAACTACGGTAGTGGTGGAAGATGCCATGACTGCCCTCAGTAGAATGAGCACAAAAGTAGAGCTCGGGAAGAGGGAAGAGAAGGGCTCCAGAAAGAAGCAACTTCCCTCCTCCCATCTGGAAAGCTGCTGAGATGCTCTTCCCTTTATATCCAGACAAGGAGGATATGTGCAAATGTTTTCCCAAAGGGAATGCAATTTCTACACTGATCCCCCAGGGTGTGTAATAAATATTTTAGAAGCATATGAATCTCTTGTTCTCTTATGATTTCCTTCTCCCTAGCTTTTAATCCAGGCTGCCTTCACCTCCTGCGTCTCTGTCCACGTCCCTTTATAGCTTTTATATTTCCCTCTCCCTTTCTGTGTCTGCTATCAGCTTTCTTTCCCCTCTCCTTCCTGGACTCCCATTTCTTTGTTCAAAAATGTTCCCAAAAAAGGAGAAGGGGAGAAAAGATGCACAGAGCATCCCAGTGGGAGAGAACTGAAGAAAAAGAATTGCCAATTTTGAAGAGCCTTTCCGTTTTTATTACAATGTTTTGTGCTTGCCCATATCAAATCTTTAAAGAAAACACTAACATTAATAATACATAGTTTGCTTTGTTCAACTCCATTTTATCCTGATCCAAATGCAAGGCATAGGAGCTTGTTTATCCCATGCTTCACAGTTGCCCCTACCCTGCTCCCATGTGCATCTTTTCTCATCTGTTTTGATTTCCGGGTGCAAAACAATTTCCGCTTGTTGTGGGAGCACGGGCAACCTCTGCTGGAGCTTCCTAAGAGCCATGTCCCAGCTGTTGCCAGCTGTGCTCCCTGTAGGGTGCCTTTCCCTGCCTGGCAAGGCCTTTGGCAGCCTTACAGGCCTTCTGATTTGCCAAACCACTTTATGATCTCTTGTTATGGTCACCTTCGACCCCAGAAATAATGGTCTCTGTTGTCAGATTCCATTCAAATCCAAGAAGTTGTTGTCAATAATACTTTTGTAAATGCAAGAAGGACAATGTCAGTTGAAACGTGTTGGGTTTGTCTTCCCATACTGCTGTGAATCATGCATATGCCTCATCTGCTGCTACTTATAATAAAACTGCGTAACAATTACCTCTTTAAAAATAGATGTTTTTCTTCTGTTTTCAGTAGTGTTCATGGTATTGGGCATTTTGAAAAAGTATGAAATAAAGTTTTTTTCTTTGCAAAGAGTGAGTTCAAGTAAAAACTGACCTAGTGTATTTATTTTTTCTTCTATTTTTGACAGGGGAAGAAAAACAGGGATTTCTTCCCTCCCTATCTCATGTTCTTTTCCTTCCTGCCTCTTTCCAGATTGATGTCTACAAAACCCTAATAATTCTCTAAAAAGATGGTTCTGCATGAAGAAGGCAGGCAAAAATCTCAACAATTATAGTGTCTTCAGTCATCAGAAGGAAAAAAAAGAACTCTAGAATTTTTATCTTGCAAGATTTCTATGATTTTTTAATTTAAATCCACTGGTGAGGACATGGCCATTCTGTAAGAGGGTGCCAAACAAATGGCCTATAATATTTTTTAAAAAACAAAACAAAAACTGAACATTTGTTGCAGAAACTTCCTTTCCTCCATGTCAACACAAACACCAGCTCCAGAGGTGTCCCATGGGAATGGAACATGACACCTGTAACTCTTCAAGACTCTTTGATGGTTTCCTTTAGAAGAAACAAGAGGAAGCTATTAATTGTCTTAAGACTCAATTTCTCACAACCTGTGCTTTGAGAATGAAGCTCAGACCCTACAGGGAATACATTTCGACTACAAAGGATTTTCTCTCTCAACAATTGTGGATGACTTTTTTTTTTTTTTTCCTGGAGTGCTTTTCTCAAAGTTTACATCATTGTCACCTCCTTTGAATCTCTCTTCTTTGTAGCTTATCTGGATATTCATTTTGCACTTAGATTATTCTAATTCATTTCATTTCTTCCATTGTAATCCCTTCTGTTCCATTTTACCCAAAAAACATTTATTGAGCCTTCATCCATTAGGACTCTGTCTCTGACTTTTAGGAGCTCTCAATTGAATAAGAGTGACAAGGGCAATGACATTTATACTGAAAACTGTAATAAGACAACTACAATCTCAGAATATTAACGTTTTAAAAGAGATGTTCGAAACATACCCTAGAGATAAAGGGGAGGAGGTTGAAACAACTATGCATTTGTTGGGGGAAGACATTTGCTCAGAAATCAAACTTGAAAGTGAAGGTTTAATCCAAGAACTACATCAAATTATAATATATGCCCATCAGTTCCCTTCAGGATAGCTTACCATGATTTTAGTTTCACATACCCACATTTTGCAAGGATACCCTCACACAGGACTGTAAAATTATTTGAGGCTTATATAGGATGAATATTGTATAGAGTGGTTTAAAATGTTTGCTCTTGGCCTGGCGCAGTGGCTCATGCCTATAATCCCAGCACTTTGGGAAGCCGAGGCAGGCAGATCACGAGGCCAGGAGATTGAGACCATCCTGGCTAACACAGTGAAAACCCGTCTCCACTAAAAATACAAAAACAAAATTAGCTGGGTGTAGTGGCGGGCGCCTGTGGTCCCGGCTACTCAGGAGGCTGAGGTGGGAGAATGGTGTGAACCCAGGAGGCAGAGCTTGCGCTGAGCCAAGATCACACCACTGCACTCCAGCCTGGGCAACAGAGTGAGACTCCATCTCAAAAAAAAAAAAAAAAAAGTTTGTTCTAAGTGATAGTTAAGCCAAGTTGATTCATTTCATGGAATTTTACTGATCATGGATTTTGTGCTACGACAGGTGCTAGAAGTAGCATCATAAAAATCAGAAGAATAAAAATCAGCCCATGTCCCTGAGGCATGGACAGTGTTGGGCAGGTCTTCTTAATCATCAACATGACCTGGAATAAAGACAAATCTGAATTCCCCCCACTGCAGTCCTGGCACAGAGGCTGTGCGTATCATACTCTTCAGAGCCTCAGTCAAGTGCAAGAGCGTGACCAGGCTGTCCTCCCTCTCTATGTTGTGAGATAGCATAAACGGATGGATGTGAAAGTGGTCTCAAGAGTAAAAGTGCTATATGTCTGAAGGGGGAGATGTTATTAAAATAAGTTCTAGAAGCATTTTATAGCATGCTGGTAATATGCACCCTTTGTAAAATGTGTTTTATTTACAGTCATATCTCTTAAAAGTGTCAGAATTATAGGAATACATATCTTACATTTTTCTGAAATTACTTCTAATGCTTTATGGTTCTTGTTAGGAAAATAATTTGGCTTCTCCTAGAACACTGCTCTTGTCCTCTTGAGCTATGGGAAAGCAAGATAAGACACAG
Organism: Homo sapiens; assembly: GCF_000001405.40. NCBI lineage: Eukaryota > Metazoa > Chordata > Mammalia > Primates > Hominidae > Homo > Homo sapiens. The sequence continues at coordinate 132,496,525 of NC_000011.10, forward strand.
CAGGTTGGCCTCCTGCCACTCTGGGCTTGGTCAGTCATGCATGCCCACTTCCTGGCTTGGGCCAAGGAGCTCTGAAATCTGATTCTGACAGAGCTCTCATCACTCAATAAATTCAAGGTCATGTAAACAAAATCAGGAAAAGATTTGTGGGCTTTGTTACACTCAAAATGTACTTGCATATAGAACAAAGTAGAACCAAGATTATAAAGTTCTACAAATCTAAGACTAAGAGAGTCTCAACCCAATATTACAAAATGCTACCAGGTTGCTCTCAGATAGATATAGAAAATTAAAGTTTTCTCTATAGGAAGAAGCAAAGAGAAGATCAGGATAGGTTTGACGATGCCCTACAGAGCCTTCCATAATGATGATCAGCTATCTTCTCCTCAATAATAACGATGAGCAGGTACCTTATATGCACTGCTTAATTTAAAAGCCTAACAATGATGCTGGAGAAAATATTCAGTGTGTGTCAGTATGTCTCTGTGTGTGTGAGTGATGGTGAAAAAAGTGATACCATGGAATACTATGCAGCCATAAAAAGGAATAAGATCATGTATTTTGCAGGGACATGGATGGAGCTGAAACCCATTATCCTCAGAAACGAACTCAGAAACAGAAAACCAAACACCACATGTTCTCACTTATAAGTGGGGGCTGAATACTGAGAACACATAGACACATGGCAAGGAACACTACACACTGGGGCCTGTCGGAGTGGGGAGTGGGGAGTGGGGAGAGAGAGCATCAGGAAGAATAGCTAATGGATGCTGGGCTTAATACTGAGGTGATGGGATGATCTGCGTAGCAAACCACCATGGCACACATTTACCTATATAACAAACCTGCATGCCTGGCACATGTACCCCTGAACTTAAAATAAAAGCTGAACAAAAAAAAAAAAAAGAAAAATGCTATGGAAAAATTAAAACAGGCTGTGGGTACAGGAAATGCCAGGGTGATGTGGAAAGGTTGCTGTTTTATGGGCGGTGATCAGAAAATGTCTCAGTGATTCGGAAGCCTTCTGGGCAGAGAGCAGAAAGAAGTATTGGAGTGATCCATGCATATTTCTGAAGAAAGAACATTCCAAGCAGAGGTAATAACCAATACCATGCCCTGAAGTGGGAGTATTTTCCCTATGGTAAAGAACAGAAAAGAGCCCTTTTGGTCTCAAGTGGACAGAGGGGAATAATGATAGAACAAGAGGTCAGGAAGGTGACCAGGCCAGGTGGCACTCAATGTTTCAGACCATTGTTAGACCTTTGGCTTCCACTCTGTCATTCCTTGAAGCAACTACCAAAGGTAGAGAAGAAAACCACAATGCTATATGAAAATGGGAGGCTACACTCTGTACTTTTTTAAATTTTTTTAAAAAACACTGATGCACAGCAGTTTGACATTTTTGTTTGCAGTCAATACTCATGAATAGATCTCTTCAAAAACTTTCAAAATATATTGACTAGGACTCCACCTCTTTAATCGAAAACTTCATGGTTTTAGACAACACGATAAATTATTTAGAAAACATGATGAATTATTTGTCTAAACATATTCTATATTTTTATAGATTTTAACTCTTGACTGCAAAATAAAGTGACCAAAGGAAGAGAAAAACACTCTATTTCAATAATTCCGTTTCAAATCAAAAGAAAAATGGTGGTAACATTACTTAAATTATGGCATAAAGTGATGTTACATAGCTTAGAGGTTCAAGGAGAAATAAAACTTGAAGATTTTACAGAGTTAATGGTCCAGCTGAAGTCCTACACATCAAGAACAAAGGCCATTGGTCATCTGTTTTTTCTTGTGATTCTCACAGCCCTAGTATATTTCCATAGGTTTCCATGCTCCCTATTTCATTTTAAATGGACTCTGACTATGCATTCATTATATTCAAGGAAACACACTGGTCACAACTCAAATTTTTGCCATGCAGCTACAGGTTCAGTATTATATCTATTCAATTTAAGACAGAAGAATCATACAACTTTTGAAGGAGAGACTGTCTAAAACCAATGTCTAAGGATGTTGGCATTTGTCAAGATTACTTGGCTTTATTTATACTCTACGACCCCTCCACAGAGGAAGTTTGAATTTTCCTCTACAATTCCTCTGTAGTGGAAGTTTGAATTTTCATGTTTAGTAGTTTGAGGGCGAATTTGAATTCCTGGCTCTTAGGCATATAGGATCCGAAGAACCCAAGTCCTGATGTTTTAAAATATGGCTCTTAGGCATATAGGACCCGAAGAACCCAAGTCCTGATGGTTTTAAAATAATGTGTATCAAGACACAGTGCATGACTTTATTGAAATGGGACACTGTAGATTTGAAGAGGAATGAACATTTATATTTTGCAAAAATGTGGTTGCTCCAAATCTCAAAAAAAATGAAAGCCAGAAGAAGTGGTACGTGCTACACAAATGGATTTGAATTCAAATGTGGGTACAATTCCTATGGAGATACTATTTTAGGCTTTCTGCGTCTCAGGCAAAAGCCATGCTCTCAGAATTCTGTGAGTGTGCTTCCCCGTGCATGGTAGCACACCTTGAAATTCAGCCAGAAAGTAGATCCGGGCTAGTCAGGTGGAGAAGGAACAAGAACCAAAACTGGACAAGGCCCCTAGGGACTAATGGTAGATATGTGATGATTCCAGGTGCAGGGAGCTGAGGAAAGGGTCCCTCTGCCAGCCCTAAGACAGCATAGGAATAGGAACGGCACCATGCAAAGAGCAGAGGAGCAGTCTGCAAAGACAATCTAAGCTCCATTGACATGAGGGGCCAAGAGCAGCAGAGCTGGGCATGGCTGCTCATGCCTGTTACGCTGCCTCCCTCAGAAGAGCTAAGATTGAGGGCTTGTCAGCAGCTGGAGGGGTCTTGCCTCATCACTATGCCGTAGGTTTCCTTGTTAGGCCTGGCACAATATGAGATATCCAAGAGCAAAAGGACATCAGTTGTCTGCAGAGGGCAGAACCAGCTCAAGCTGAAAACCACTCATTTCACATAGATGGGAAAAGCATGGTGATGGAGCATCGCAGAGGAGGCAGAGAAATTCCATGTTTAAAAGCTCAAAGTCTGGAACTTGCATGCCTGGGATTGAATCCTATTCTGATTCTCACTGCCTCTCTGATCTTAGACAATTGATTTCCTCTCTATGCCTCAGCATCCTTAACTGGAAAACAGAGATGTGCATTAGAACTATGTCATAGAGTTGTCCTGAGGATGCAAGGAATAATTACTTTCAAGGACATGCTGGCAACTGAGGAAGAGCACAGCTCATGTCCGTGACTATGTTAACTGCAGGAAGTTAACATCACGGTATGTTCTGCCAACAGGGAACACTACTCAAATCTAAGCCAACATTCGAGGACAATATGCTAGTTCCTGGCTCTTAGGCATATAGTACATGAAGAACCCAAGTATAGGCCTATTTATCTTGTCTGTGGCTTAAAGTCACATTTCAAGAAGCAGTGAAGAGGAAGGTAATAGGTTGTGAAATGCAGATCTGGAGTGGCTTAATCACCTCATACATCAAATCAGGATTGAGTCGGGACACTGATGTTAAAGTAAGTCTAACAGTGTGAAAACTACGTGACTCTTTGGCATCCTCAGGGAAACTAAGTCATCAGTAGACCATCATGCCTTAATGGCAGTGTCTTGTCTCGGTCTTATCAAGGCCCCCCTGCAAGTGAAATTGTTCAGCTCCTCTAAGAGTTAGTATTTATCAATCATGCCTCATTGTTGGATTAAATATATTAATATAATCCTCATCCAATTTGATAGGTCTGGGGTGGGACATGAAATATATAATTTTTACCAGAACCTGAAAAATTTCCATAATCAGGAAAATTTAGTCAAAATTTGGAAACACTACTCCAAGAGGATATGTAACTCCTGAACTTAACCTTGGGTCCAGGGAACAGCTTCCCAAGCCAACTTCCAGTAGGAGCCAGAGGGCATTGAAGCAGTTGTCCATATGGTCCTTTGTCTTGTTTTCTGGTGTCTTTACATGCTGTAAATCCACATGGTTCCCTTTATTTATTATTTATTTTGTTTTACTTTAAGTTCTGGGATACACGTGCAGAAGGTGCAGATTTGTTACATAGGTGTACATGTGCCATGGTGGTTTGCTGCACCTATCAACCCATGCATTAGCTATTTGTCCTAATGCTCTCTCTCTCCTTGCCCCCCACCCCCTGACAGGCCCTAGTGTGTGATGTTCCCCTCTCTGTGTCCACGTGTTCTCATTGTTCATCTCCCACTTATGAGTGAGAACATGTGGTGTTTGGTTTTCTGTTCATGTGTTAGTTTGATGAGAATGATGGTTTCCAGCTTCATCTATGTCCCTGCAAAGGACATGAACTTATTCTTTTTTATGGCTGCATAGTATTCCGTGGTGTATATGTGCCACATTTTCTTTATCCAGTCTACAATTGATGGGCATTTGGATTGGTTCCAAGTCTTTGCTATTGTGAATAGTGCTGCAATAAACATGCATGTGCATGTGTCTTTATAGTAGAATGATTTATAATCCTTTGGGTATATACCCAGTAATGGGATTGCTGGGCCAAATGGTATTTCTGCTTCTATATCCTTGAGGAATCACCACACTGTCTTCCTATTTAACAAATGGTGCTGGGAAAACTGGCTACCCATATGCAGAAAACAGAAACTGGACCCTTTCCTTACACCTTATACAAAAATTAACCCAAGATGGATCAAAGACTTAAATGTAAAACCTAAAACCATAAAAACCCTCGAAGAAAAACCTAGGCAATACCATTCAGGACGTAGGCATGAGCAAAGGTTTCATAACTAGAACACCAAAAGCAATTGCAACAGAAGCCAAAATTGACAAATGGGATGGTTCCCTTTATCTAAGTGGATTCCTGGTCCCGGGTGCCATAGCGCTGGGGCCTGTACTTCAATGGCAAAATTTCTTCTTTACCTCTCCCTTTGGGAACTATCATTTGCCAGTTGGTCTTGATTTGCTGAACATTTTTGCTTTTTCCAGCCTATATCTGCCCAAGGAGCTGTACACAGACAGATGGACAGTCTTGCATGCCAAGAGGCATGGTTGTCATGATAACTATGGTAGAAATAATCACCATAATAGTCATATGGTTGCACTAACTCCTAACGTGGGCTATGCTTCTCACCTTCTACCATTATCAAGGGCTGATTTTCTCCATCAACATAGAATTTTTTAAATAGGTAACGTGTTTCATGAACCAAATAAGCAAAGGAAGATACAGGGTAAATGATTTTAACAAATTTCTAGCTAATTGTAGACAAATTCCTAGTTAGTATGGTCTTAGCGATGGGGAAGGGGAGAGGAAGAATAGACCCTCCTATCTGCTATATCTTGAAGTTATACAAATGCTTTCAGATGAATCTGTTTCTGAGTCATGTTTCTGTGCGAACTATAAGGAAGAAAAGCAAGATCTAAAAGAGAGGATATGGGGCACACCTGCATTGTTAAATGATACCATAAAACCCTATTCAGGAAAGTGGATAGATACTCAAGACCAAAAGACATGCTTTCTGATGACAATCTCTACATGTTCATGTATTATAGACATGTTTTATGAAGCTGTACAAGAATTTCCCAGAGGATCTGTCACCTTTACCCACCACCCTCTGCTCTGCTGACACGGGCAGTTTCTCTCCTGAGCCACCTGCTTCTTAAAGACACAGCATCACCCTCACTGTGAGTTCTACAGGCTTCTCTCCACCCATCTTGTTGTCTTTGGTCCTTTCCTTCCCTTCCATTTTTACTTTCTCTTTTTTCTGGTACTTTTTATTTATTTATCAGGCTCTCCCTTCTTCACCCTTGCATCCTCTTTTTAAGCATTAATAGTGCCTCCTGGCCAGCACCAATGTGCCAGTTCTCCCATCACAGTTCCTTCTGTGTTTGCCTTTGTTGTCCCCAGTTACACATCACATCTCCTCCTCCTTCTCTTAAGCTCCTGCTCTCCTTGCACCCTTCCTGGTTGCTTTCCTCAGAACACACAGGCTGACAGAATGGGGCCACGGAATACAGTTGCAATAATGTCAGCAGCTCAGGGGACAAAAATGAAAAGGGGAGAAAAGGAAAAAGATGGTTTTAATTAGATATCCATGCCACTGACTCACACTTAATATGCAAATTTTTAGCCCTTCCATTGTTAAGTGAAACAAGAGTTTTATTTAAATGTGAAAATGGCTGGGAGATGAGAAGGGGTAATTAAGTAGCAGTAAAATGTAAACCCTGGTTCACAGTGCCTGTAATAACATATGGAAGCACAGGAATCCTGCTCACTGGAGAGAGTGGGGCGCCTTGGCTTAACAATCCTCTCTCACGATGACGATGATAACACACATACTTTTAAGTGCCTCTAGTGGATTCTGGTTCAAAAGCAGTTTCGCATCCCTTATAGCTGATCCTCACAGCAATATTCACAGGAGTTCAGGGGTGACTGATGGGCTCCATTTTACAGATGAGAACTAGAGGCTCAAAAATGGTAGGTGACTTATTCAAGGTCCCCTGGCAGCAGAGTCACCTGGGGTCTTCCCCCGCTATTCTACACTGCCAGTGCAGAAGCTAGCACTACGCTTGGGATATAGGCACTAAGGAAACTGGTTGATTACAAAGGCAATGTTGAAGAACCTGAGTTTAACAATATTTTTGCATCTCCGTTGGCTGGTGATGTTTTATTGGAACTTTGAGGCTACACTTTTTTCCTGAGGTGTCAGGAAAATTGCTACCCTATCTCAAAGGTTCTCCTTGGTGCCATTATTAGTACCTAGAACCAACACAGTACTTGGAAAACTGAAATTCACAGCAGTCAGTGCACGTAGTAATTACCACAACTTCTACTGATAGAAGGTATTGATCACTTATGCATTGTCAGGCAGCATACATTTTCCTGTCCCCACTATTGCATTTGGTGCTTTACCTACAAGAATACAATTCTATTAGCAAATAAAATCTAACAATGCATTAAAAATATGGTGTGTCTGAAACTAATGCCAAGAATGAAAAAAAGTATCAATATTATAACTGAGGAACTCTAAAAATTTAAAAAACAATGAGTTTAATAAAACTTAAACATTTATTTATAATATCTCAATAAGTGAGATCTTGAAAATAGAAACTAGCATTATAACTAGTACAAAAACCACTAGAGGCAATTTGATGATAACAGAATGAAGACAAAGGATGCTAGTTATAATTATTAATATTGAATATTTTTCAGAAATTTAGCCAATGCAATGAGGTCAGAAAAAATGAAGGAATACATAAAGAAAAAGAAGAAAAATCATCTTTATTTAAAATAGATATGGTTTTCTACCTCAATGATCCAAGGACTGTATATTTTATCTCGTTTGCAAAATTGAAGAAAATACAGATGTGGTAGCTATCTCTTAGAGTAACCTAGCATATTAAAGATATAATGGTATCTTTTATGCACCTTTGTTAAAAGCAAGGAGAGATATCTGCTTCAAAATTGTATTGAAATAGAAGACCCAAATGCATCTCTCAGCTTCTCACTAAGATAACTTGCAAAAACTTGGAAATAAATGATACTCATATTTTTGGGAAAAGTAAGATTGAAGAATAATCTAGTTCCTAAAATCAATCAAACAATACTAATAAGGAAGATAGACTTGATTTAATTAATAGAGACAATGCTCAAATCATGGCATGCCTTATCTTTATGAAACAAAGATTTCAAAGAAGACAAGAAGTAAGTACACGCCTCCATAGCTATCTTTACCCTTATGCAGATAATAAAGCTTCAAAAAGGGAGGCCGAGCAGCCATTAACAATACAAGCGCTGACTTGGATGGACGCATTCGCTATTTACTGCTGACTAAAAAGTCACCTCAAAAATTAGTGGCTCCAAGCAATGCATATTTATTATCTCACACTATATCTGTGGGTCAGGAATTCAGAGCTGTGTCTCTTTTGGTCCAGGCTTTCTCATGAGGGTGCAGTCATGATATCACTTGGTGCTGCAGTCATTTGAATGTTGACCCAGGCTGGAGGATCCACTTGGAAGTGGAAGATGCACTTCCCAGGCGGCTTGCAGGCTCCAGGCTCCAGGCTGGCAGGTTAAATGTAGGTTGTTGGCAGGAGTTTCTCACCACAAGAACTCTCGGTGTCGTCAGGGCATGGCATGGCAGCTGGCTGCTCTCAGAATGACTTGTCGGGAGAGAGAGGGTAAGACACAGGGTAAGCGTGGCCTTTATGACTTGGCTGGGGAGCCACGAGCTATTGTGTGGCTGTATGCTATGGTCATGCAGACCAGCACTGATGCAACACGGTGAAGAGTGCTCAAGGGTGTGAATATCAGGAGGCGGGGTCACTGAGGTCCCCCTGGAGTCTACCCTCATAGACTTTCTAAGCAATCACAATGGGCTTGCAATACCAATGCAGCTTCAAACCAGAGGAGTCAATGAGTGCCCCCCAAGCCCTAAATTATTCAAATTCTTCAACCATTACCATGCATCAGAGATCTCAGAGGACAAGAAAAAAAGTACCATTTCATAAAGAGAAGTATAACAGGTGGAAGCTAGAGACTGTGAAATAAACCAGAAGCTCTGCAGCCTAATAAATATTTGAAGAGTAGAATTAAAACAGGACTCAAAATTTACTCAAAAGGCAGAGAATAGGGGCAAGGCACCATCCACTTACCACACAGATCACACCAATTTCGAGAATGAGTATTGAGAAAATACTGTGGAAAAAGGAAAATAAAGACTAGTCACAAAAATTCCAGGAAGACCGTGCTTTAATAAATGACTTCTATTGTACAGCAGTGTGAATGTACTCAATTCATGTGATCGAGCCGTACACTTAAAAAGGTTAAAGTGGTAAGTTTTATGCTATGTGCACCATATCACAATAAAAAAATCGGCTTCCAGAACCCTAATTAAAATTGTAGACAGCCACCTGACAACCTCCACAGAAGCAGAAAAGTACAGCCTTCAGGAAAAGGCTGCTTAAGGGGCAAAAGATGGAAAAGAATGACATAGACCAGAGCCGAAGAAGAAAAGTTGTTGAGATGAACGAAAACGTCCAATTAGTTAGATATGGAGAGCAAGCAAGTGACCTTAAAACAGCAACAAAATTTAAATCTCCATCAGAAGTAAAACATATCAGATGTGAGGCTTCAAAAAATCAAATCAACAGAGTGAATTTCAAACCTGAGCAGCTCTCCCGGGATACAGAAGAAAAGACAGAAGGAGATTAAGAAAGCAAGAGAAAGACAAAAGATCTGAAGGAAACAGAAGAAAGAGCCAACACACGTGGAACTAAGTTTCCTTAGAACGAGCTACAACAGAACCAACCATTAAATATTTAACACATGCCCACTTTCTGCGAAAAAAAAAAAAAATCTATGTGTGTGCCTAATAACAGACTTACTGCATATTAGGAGAATTCAGAAGAGACACATCACATCTCCCGGAAAGAATTTTCAACCTCACAGATAAAGGCATATCTTCTTATCTTCACACAGAAAATGGATTACTCATACAATTACAACTATCAGAAAAGAAGACCTCAGCTTGCTCTACTTCATCACTAAATGCCAAATATAATGAAGGGGTAACCACAGGAGTTTTAAGGGTAAAGATTGTGACCTTTGGATTTTATGCTCAGGAAATACTCCAATTGCATTTGACAGCAACAAAAAAATCTTCATAGGTAAACACTTCTTGAGGGATAGTCTGTGTTATGATTGTATCTCTAGCACCTAGTCCAGCTATTATTGCAAAACAGGTTTTCAATAAATGTTTATCACCTGAAGGAAGACATATCCTAAGAATCAGAAAATACAACAATCACACATCTTTTTAGTAAAACGTCTTGAAATGTATTCCAATGAACTTAAGATGAAGCAAAGGGAAAAGCTAACTAGTGTCACCTACAAAGGAATCATAATACGAAAGAATGAGGTGGAAGAATTGTTATAAATCTGATAATTAAGCTAAATGAAAATGCCAATGTCTCAACATGTAAACGCGGATTGTGACTTCAAAAGGTGATTTTGATAGTCTGAGAAACACAGTGCCAAGATAGGAAGGAGGATGAAAGGAGGCTGCCGCAATTCTTACCTCCCATAGAGGAAGTGAGGAAACATTTACTCAGCTTGAATAATAAGACTCACACAGGCTGCAAATGCTCCTGGAAAATATAAATCTAACCACCACTATAAAAAATCAAATATTTATTTCAAAAAACTATAGAGGATAAAATCAAAGAAAATTTGTTTCAAATAGCACAAGATACAAAACATGAAAGCTACTAGACAGAACAAAAAGAGGAAAACAAAAAGCTGACGAGAAACAAACACATCAGTTTTAATACCTGCAAGTGGGTTAAACTCCCCATTATAATGAAAAAAAGGCTTCAGTTGGATTAAAAAAAAGATAACAGAATATATTTCTGCTCTGTTTACAAAAGCTATATCTAAATCAGACTAATACAAATCTTTTTTAAAAGGCTGAGCAAATGTACATTTAGTATTAACAAAATCAAAGTAGGAAATACAATCTTAAAGTTAGATAAGGTTAACTGTAAGCCTAAAACATTAAATTGTAAAAAAAAAAAAAATTATACTGATAAAAGAAGCAATTCATATTAAAGCTCTAATTACTTTTGAATTTTATGTGTAAAATACAAAAATAAAGCAAAAAGTATTAAAATGCATAGATAAGCTGAAAACACTTTATTAAAATCCGGTATTACTCATTTTTGCTTTCATAAAGTTTAGAGAAGCAAACAATGCAATATGGCTATGCACAATCTGAATAACAGAATTCTCTCTCAGTCTGGATGTTTATGTTTAATATTTATCTTGTACTGTAGTATTAATGAAGTATTTTATACCATATGAATTATATATAACTATAGGTATATTCAATTACATATACTTTGTACAATGTTTATATAATGTATACTATTGTGTGCTCATACATTAACATAAATATCTATAAACTTGACAACTATCGAACAGTTATCAAAATTGAACCTATACATTTCCGAAATTAATTCAAAGGTAAAATTTCTGAATTAAAAACAACAAAAATTTTTTTTAAAATTGCCAAAAAATACTCACAAACTAGGTTTGAACCTGAATAACTATAGAGACAATTTTTCTCTAACATTTAAGGAATATAATTTTTAATTATATTTTAAACAATTCATAGTTCAAATAGAGGATCTATCAATTAATTTGAGTATGGTGTTGTAAACAAAACTTACAGACATGTTTCTTAAAAATATGATAAACTAGAGATATTCCTAGTTATAACTACTAAAGCAAAAACAGTAAATATGGAGTAAAAAAGAATGTTTTCACATTAAAAAATAAACATCATTTTAAAATCATACATATGGCTGAAAGGGAAAAAATAATATGACTATTTTTGTAACTTATCTAAGAAGAAAATTTGATAACACCTATCTTTTCCTGACTAAACATTTTATTGAAATGGGAAAAGGGGTATTCTTCTTTAAGTGGTAAAGGAGCTCTCTGAAACCATCATCATACCTAATAGAAAACACTAGAAATATTGCTATTACAATAATAAAAATGGCAAAGTAACCGTTAACCATTAATATTATTAAATACTGCTTTGGAATACGTTGATATCAGTTATTTTTAAACTCTTTCAGAAAATAAATAAAGGGAAAACATGTCCCAACTCATTTTATGAGGCCAGAATTACTGATACCAAAACCAGTCAGTAACATTACAGACCAATTGCCCTCATGAACAAAACAGATGGAAAATCAGTAACAAAATATTGACAAAGTTAATCAACTAATGCAAAAAAGGATAGTATGAGTATGTCATGACCACACCAGATTTATTCTTGGTTGCAAGGTTGGTCTACCATTAAAAAATCATTTCACATAATTAATCATATAATCATTTCAATGGATGCCAAAAAAAACATTGGACAAAATGGAAGATCTAGTCACACACACACACTCTGTTATGGTTTGGCCATGTCCCAACCTAAATCTCATCTTGCATTGTATCTCCCAGAATTCCCATGTGTTGTGGGAGGGACCCAGGGGGAGGTAATTGAAGCATGGGGGTCTTTCCCATGCTATTCTCGTGATAGTGAATAGGTCTTATGAGATCTAATGGGCAATTATTAGGGGTTTCCGCTTTTGCTTTTTCCTCATTTTCTCTTGTCACCACCATGTAAGAAGTGCCTTTGCCTCCCACCATGATTCTAAGGCCTCCCCAGACATGTGGAACTTAAGTCCAATTAAACCTCTTTTTCTTCCCAGTCTTGGGTATGTCTTTATCAGCAGCGTGAAAATGGACTAATACAGTAAATTGGTACCAGAAGTGGGATGCTGCTGAAAAGATACATGAAAATGTGGAAGTGACTTTGTAACTGGGTAACAGGCAGATGTTGGAACAGTTTGGAGGTCTCAGAAGAAGACAGGAACATGTGGAAAAGTTTGGACCTCCCTAAATACTTGTCAATGGTTTTGACCAAAGTGCCAATAATGATATGAATAATAAGGTCCAGGCTGAGGTAGTCTCAGATGGAGATGAGGAACTTGTTGGGAAGTGGAGCAAAGGTGACTCTTGGTATGTTTCAGCAAAGACACTGGTGGCATTTTGTCCTTGTCCTACAGATTTGTGGAACTTTGAAGTTGAGAGAGATGATTTTGGGTATCTGGCAGAAGAAATTTATAAGCAGCAAAGCATTCAAGAGGTGACTGTTAAAGAGTACTGTTAAAGGCATTCAGTTTTAAAAGGGAAACAGAGCATAAATGTTCAGAAAATTTGCAGCCTGACTACGTGATAGAAAAAAAAAAATTTCTAGGGAGAAATTCACGCCAGCTGCAGAAATTTGAGCAAGTAGCAAGGAGCCTAATGTTAATTCCCAAGACCATGGGGGAAATGTCTCCAGGATGTCAGAGACCTTGATAGCAGCCCCTCCCATCACAGGCTCAGAGGCCCAGGAGGAAAAAGTGATTTTGTGGGCCAGGCCCAGGGTCCTCGTATTGTGTGCAGCCTAGGGACTTGGTGCCCTGTGTCGCAGCTGAGCCACTGTGGCTGAAAGGGGCACATGTACAGCGCAGGCTGTGGCTTCAGAGGGTGGAAATCCCAAGGCTTGGCAGCTTCCATGTGATGTTGAGCCTGCAGGTGCACAGAAGTCAAGAATTAAGGTTTGAGGACTTTCACCTAGATTTCAGAAGATGTATGGAAATGCTTGGATGCCCAGGCAAAAGTTTGCTGCAGGGGTGGGGCCCTCATGGAGAACCTCTGCTAGGGCAGTGCAGAAGGGATATGTGGGGTGGGAGCTCCCACCTAGAGTCCCTACTGGGGCACTGCCTAGTTGAGCTGTGAGAAGAGGGCTACTGTCCTTCAGACTGCAGAATGGTAGATCTACCAACAGCTTGCACTGTGTGCATGGAAAAACCACAGATACTCAATGCCTGCTCGTGAAAGCAGTTGGGAGGGAAGCTGTACCCTGTAAACCCACAGAGGCAGAGCTGCCCAAGACCATGGGAACCCACCTCTTGCATCAGCATGACCTGGAAATGAGACCTGGAGTCAAAGGAGATCATTTTGGAGCTTTAAAATTTGACCACAATGTTGGATTTTGGACTTGCATGGTCCCTGTAATCCCTTTGTTTTGGCCAATTTCTCCCTTTTGGAATGACTATATTTACCCAGTATCTGTACCCCCATCGTATCTAGGAAGTAACTAGCTTGCTTTTGATTTTACAGGCTCATAGGTGGAAGGGACTTGTCTTGTCTCAGATGAGACTTTGGACTGTGGACTTTTGGGTTAATGTTGAAATGAGTTAAGACTTTGGGGGACTGTTGGGAAGGCATGATTGGTTTTGAAATGTGAGGACATGAGATTTGGAGGGGCCAGGGGCAGAGTAATATTATTTGGCTTTGTCCCCACCCAAATCTCATCTTGAATTGTATCTCCCAGAATTCCCGTATGTTCTGGGAAAGACCCAGGGTGAGGTAATTGAATCATGGGGCCCAGTCTTTCCTGTGCTATTATTTTGATAGTGATATTAAGTCTCACAAGATCTGATGGGTTTATCAGGGCTTTCCACTTTTGCTTCTTCCTCATTTTCTCTTGCTGCCACCATGTAAGAAATACCTTTTGCCTCTTGCCATGATTCTGAGGCTTCCCCAGCCATGTGGAACTGTTAAGTCCAATTAAACCTCTTTTTGTTCCTATGTCTTTATCAGCAGCATGAAAACGGACTAATAAACACACATACACACAAATCAGCTACTAGGAATAGAAAATAACTTCTCAATCTGATAAAGATCATCTGTAAAAAACCTACAGATAATATTATTCTTAATGGGAAAAATAAAGTGTTTTTCCTCTAATCAGAAATTAGACAAGGATGTCAGTATTACAATGTATTTTTAATATCATGTTACTGGAGAACTGAGCCAGTATAATAAGACAAGAAAAATTAATAAGAGGCATACTGACTGGTATGAAAGAGTAAAACTATCTCCTCATAGAGGACATATCATTTATGTAAAAAATCTTAAGTATCTAAAAAAAGTACTAGAATCAAGGAATACATTTAGCTGTCACAGTAGGCAAGGTCAATATAAAAAAGTCAATTGTATCTCTGTGTATTTTCAATGAACAATTGAGATTTTTAAAATTTCCTTTATAATCATTCAAAAATATGACATAATTTGGAACCACACACTGAAAGCCATAAAACACTGTTGAGAAAAATTAGCCAAGACTTAATAAAGGGAAGAATATATTTTAAGGCTTGGAAAAACTCAATACTATTAAATGTCAACTGTTCCAAAATTAACATATAATTTAAATGCATTCCCAATCAAAATCTTAACATCTTTTTGGTAAATATTGTCAAACCGATTATAAAATTATATGAAAATACAAAGGACATAGATTGGCCACTATTTTGAAAAAAACAAGTTTGGCAATCTACATTGTCTGATTTCAAAACATTAACAGTGATTGTAATCAAAACAGTATGGTTCAGGCATAAGAATAGACATATAGATGAATAGAAAATAAGAGAGATTCCCAGAAAGAAATCAGTCAATTGATTTTCAACAAAGAAACTAAGGTAATTCATTAGAAAAAGGATTATGTTTTCCACAGATGCTTTTGGATTAACTGTAGAGCTGTATGGAAAAAAAATGAATCTCAAATGTTAGCTCATACCATGCACATAAACTAACTCACATGGATCTTACAGCTAAACAAAAAAGTTACAGTTCTAAAACATCTAGAAAAAAAACATAGAATATAACGTTTTTAACCTCCATTAAGTGTGAAATATTGATAAATTGGACTTCATCCAAATGTAAAACTGAATTCCTTTACAAGATTCCTTTAGAAGCACCATTAAGAAAATGAGAAGGCAAAGCATAGGCTAAGAGAAATTATTCCGAATACATATAGCTGACATAAGACATGTATCTAGAATATATAAATTATGACTCCATAATAAAAGATAAACAGCCCAATTAGAAACAGTCAGAAGATTTCAACCACTACTTCACAAAATTAGATATACCAATGGCCAATGACCATGTGAAAAATATGCCCAAACTCATTAATCCTCAAAGAAAAACAACTCAAAACCAAATATGTTTTAGCCTACACAGTTATTAGAATAGATAATATTTCAAAGACAGGATACTATACAATGACAAGCCTGTGGAACAGCTATAGTGCTTATAGGAATACAAATTGGTACAACCATTTTGGAAAATAGTTTGGTGGCTTTTTGTAACGTTAAGTATAAACTTACTATACGACTTACCAATTCTGCTCCTAAGTATTTACTCAAGAAAATTGTAAATATATGTCCAGAAAAAGGCCTGTACATACGTGTTTATAGCAGCTTTACTCATAATAGCCAAAAAGTAGAAACAACCAAATGTCCACCCAACTGGCAAATGAGTAAACAAACAGTGGTACAATCATATAATAGAATGCCACTTAGCAATAAAAAAACCACACACAACATGAATAAAACTCAAAAGGTGAGTGAAGAAATCCAGAAACAAGAGTATATGTTCTAAAATTATACAAGATTTTACATTTTTTTCAGAGTGTAGATATGTGTGTAGGGTGCAATATATAGTTCATATACACATGTTTTAAATATATATTTGTGTCATGTAGATTATATATACATATAGAATGCATATACATATTTTGCTAAATATATACATGTAATATATATATATTAAACTCTAAAAAAGTCTAATATATAACAGCAGAAAACATATCAGTGTTTGCCTCAAGTTGAAAGTGGGGATAGGTTTTGGGAAGAATAAGAAACAGGGAAGCTTTTGAGGTAATGGTAATATGCTGTATCTTGATTAGGATAGTGATTATATAGATATATAAATTTGTCAAAACTCACCAAAAGCTGCGGTAATTTAAATTATGACCGCAAGATTTTTTTAAATAAAAAGCCCTTGTTCTTCCCTTATGTTCACTGTCTGTTTAGCCATTCATGATTCACTCTTCATGTACTTCTCAAACCTCATTACATATCAAGGTATAGATGTTTTCTTGATTTGTAGCCCTAATGTTAAGCAGAACAATGGTTAGTGCTGCTTAATGAAGAAGTTAAGAGAAGAAGCCTATTTGGTTTATGTTAGAAATCTGAGAAAATTATTATGGAAAGAGGAAAGCAGATAAGGGAAGAAAGTAGAGATCTGGGTAGCATAGAATTCTCATGGAATGTGGAAGGGAAAGAGAAAAGATTGCCAAACTGTGAGTGAAATAGAAAGACTGGCAAAAAAGCAACATTCAACTATTTTACTACCTGTTATGGAAAACATTTGTCCTTTGGGGACCCCTTTGAAGATTTGAATACAGATTTTGCTTACATTAATTTTTGTTTTTGTTTTCTTAGCGGGTGTGATCAAACTTGTTTCCATGGAAAGCAGTGTCATAATGGGACCATCAACAAATGAGTTCAACTTTATTTGGATTACAACAAGTTCATACTTTATGCTTCAATAAGAAAAAATGAATTTTATCCTTCTAAGTATACCATGCAATTTCCCATTTTCATGTCTCTTCTCTTATCTCCATTGCCTAGAATATTTCTCTTTGCCTCTACCTCACCCATTTCATTTTCCTTCTTTTGAATAACTCTGAATCTATGTTTACAGCCAGATTAGCAGTCACCTCTTCCAGGATGCCATCCCTGATTCTTTCACATTTAACAACTGGAGTTAAATGATCCTCTCCTGTGAACCTACAACATGATGAATATATCACTAATGCACCCACTTTTATTGTACTATAATTAAATGCTATTATGTCTGAGCCTTTCACTAAACTTTGAGCTTCCTGGAGAAAACTATAATTTTATTTATTCTTCTGTTTCAAACACAGTACATAACACGTAGAAGGCACCCACTAATTCATTCTTGAATGACTGAACAAGTGCATGAATAAATAAATAATTGAAGGAATGTTGTTTCCAGATGCAATACATTTAGCCAAAGTCTCCATTTCCTTCTGTGTAAAGTGTGTATGGTAGTCTCTGTCTATATGCTATTTTTAAGTACTTGCTTATTTATTTTTGTCTGCCTTTTGACAGAAGACCTTTTTGAAAACCAAGATTAAGTCAAAGTGGCATGTCAATAAATTTAAAGGATGATTTTGGTGATAATGATGATGACAATGAGGACATGCCATGGCATGGTTTTATGATATTGACTTATAGTCAAAGCATGCAAAAAATCAGAAGTTGAGACAGTCCAGCAAGCATGGGAGGCTTGAAAGTCGCCCACAACCAGAAACAGCAATGGACAAAGGCCAGTGCGACAGAGCTTGAAGGATCAGTAGCTCTTAAGAATGAAGGCAGGTAAGGAGAGAAGGAGTATCAGGATGAGGTGATTTGAGATAGCAACACTAGGGGATAAGGATGTACAGTCAAGCCCTATGCTTCAGCAGAGTCTGCTTTTCTTTGTGGATTCCTGCTGGGTTCTGGAGGGCCTGGGCTCTCGGGAGTATAATTCCAGCTACACGCAGCCTCTGAAGCTTCTTTACTCCTTAGACAGAATCAGAGGTGCAGTAATATCAGGAGAGTCTTAAAATATGACTCAATATTTTTTTGCCAAACTGCCTTTGTTCCAACTGCTTTCATGCCTTCTGGGACAGAAAATCCTGCCAAAAAGATACAAAGTGTGGTAGGAAGTTTGGGGCTGGGTCAGGAGTAAAAAGAAGAAGAGTGCAGAGTAGGGGAGAGAAAGAGGAGTGGGTAGGGTTCCAAACATCTTGCTGTCTGACATCCCAGAGCACCACGGCCCTATGATGCCCTACAAAAGTGGCTCAGATCTTCACCAGCAGCACTGGCAACGTCCTGAGTGCCCAAGGGAGACAAACCCTTTCACCACAGCTGTAATTACTGCACCAGGCTCCAGTTGTGCAGGGACAAATAAGCATGGGCTAAGTGGAGCAGGAGGAGGTCCTGGAGAGGCCCAGGATGAAAGCATTTAGACTGCAATGGTGTGAAGAGCAGAGGTGAGCTGAGCAGAGCTTGTTGGGAAAAGGAAGAGAATTGGAAAAGCAGGGGACTAGTGGCTCTGTTTATATCAATGACTTTACTAAATCTTTCTCTTAGGAAGCAAAATCATCTAAGGTATCATTAAAACCAAACTATTTTCAGCACCCCAGGAGGATTACTCTCACCATTAAGGGATTCTGGAGTGGGAAAATTTGATAGAATAAGAAAAATAACACAAGGAAGGGGACAGGAAAGGAAAAACAAAAGACAGGCAGAAAGGACTTCATTGATCTCCTTCTTTGATTAAGGAGGCTTCCCACTTTGCAGGCTACAAGGAGGGAAATAGGGTAGGGAGAGTTGGGCTATACTTTAGGTGTTCTGTGGGAGATCAAATTCCCTCACCTCCTCACTCAACCCCAGTCCTTGTTATTGTGTGAGTCAATCACAGCCTTCAGCTGTGAAGCCCAGGTTCGAAGTGAAAATCAACTGCTTTTACTTCATGAGATCACCTCCTCTTGACCCTATTCATCTCCAGTGGAGGTTCCCTATCCAAGGCTGGAACATTTGTGAGACTGGAGAGCCCACTCTAGTTAAAATCCTCTAAGCAATGTTAGTTGGTTTTCTTCCCCTTTTCCTCCTTCTTCTGAATCTCATACAGAGAAACAGCTTATTAACCATGATTACTACCTTTAAACTGGGGAGGAATGATCTTCTTCACACTACCATCATTTCTAGAGTCATTCTTCAACCTCGGACATGTGGGAGCTAAGACCCAGCATAGTTGAAGTTTATGATTTCAGGTGCTCTTGGAAGAAAGCAGGAAGAAAAGAGCCTGCAGAGACAGGGAAGGTCAAAATTCTGGTGTCACACAGAGAACTGGATGGCGTAAGATGGTAAGATCACTCACCAATTTGTAAAAATCAAATTGTATCTGTTGAGGTAAGTCATCCCAACTCTTGTTATGCATCTTCTTGGTAAAGGCAATGAGTTTTCCAGCACAAGTCATAGGTCTCCAGTAAAAAAAAGTGATTGGACACGAATTGAAAAATATCTTCCAGATCACAGATCACCGTGTCTAGAAGCCTAAACTAGGATAGCCTCACTATTTGGTTAAAACTTAATATAATTAAAACGTCAGCAGTAAGCTCACTCGTCATCCAGGGCTAATAGTTATAGTGGGGGAAATGGAAGAAAAATGCTTGGGAGATAAGTCTGCAACTTCCTGCAGGCTCCTAATACAGCTAGGACTTGAAGTGCCTTCTCCAAACATCCTTCACTCTGTACATCAGATTTCCCCTTCACTGTACAGACAGAGTGCTTCCTGCATCTGGGAACTTGTCTTTGCAAATCTCCACTGTCTTCCCCTTTTTTTTCTCTGGCACGCTACAGGATCGATATACGATGGATACATGTGTGTGTACCCATTCAATAGTCACTTTTTGATCGCCTGCAAAATGTAAGTCATTTGTGTTCTTCTGAATATGTAAGCCCCAGGTACCATACCTGCTCTCAAATAACCTAAGGACAGAGAGATGCAAGGGATACTTTCTGGCCAGGGTGGAGCATATCATCCCAAGGAAAGGTTAGTGAATCAATTGATGGAAACAAACTAATTGCTCTTCATAAAGTTTTTCCAGAGTAATGAGAGGTTGATCATGACAGAGAGGCTGAGTTTCAGTCACTCAAGGTGGTATCCTCAACACCTTTCTCATGGTAGGCATGCGTGCATTAAATAAACATTGTGCGCTTGGTGCACTCAGTCGGTGATGACCCCCTGGTGTTAATTACTCTATGACTCAGACCCACAGCCAAGGTGTCTTTCTCAGACTGACTCTAGCTGATTTAGATGTCGAACCTCTTCTGCTGCCCACCCAGAGTTCTAAATCCAGCCACAAGTTCTTCAACCCATGGTGGAGACAGTGGGCTTGAAAAGTTAATCAATGACTCCAGGCCGCCACCTCTCTATCTCTTCTACATATGAAAGAGGTCTTTTCACAGCTGGTTAGGCCCCAGTCACCTTGTGGTACCATGTACGTGTCTCCCCATTCTACACGGCTCTCAGTTTAGAGCAGGGATTATGTTCTACTTGGCTCAGTTAGATACTGCCCTCTACATGGCATGTGAATTTAATCAGAGCTACTTTGGCTCTAAGTGATGGAAACCTAATTTAAAACAGCTTAAGCAAGAAAAGGTGACTTATAGGAATTTTACCCTAGGGATGTAGAGATTTTTAGAAAGAAGTATAAATGGCTTTGAAAAGGGAACACCAAGGGTGGTAGGTGCACAGAGCTGGACCCAGAGGTCTTTCAAATGTACTATCAAGGGTGCTCATCCAGGAGGGAAGGAGGAAACAAACCTTTCTAAGATTCCTTCAACATCTGGCCAGATGAAGGAGCTCAGTGTCTAAATTAAAGTGCATTATCTCCAGAGGTGGCTGCAGTATGTTAGTATGGAACCAGGCTGCTTATTATTTTCTATTGAAGCCCACATTTTTTGTTCAGCAGCAAGAGTCACTGTGGACCCACTGCTGAGGCCAATTAGATCTACAGAACTTGTAAAGTCGGTCTCAATTTTATCAGTGTCTGACTGATTTCAATAGCATAATTTGATATAGCAATTGCATAGAGAAGGCTTTACAACATACAGCAGGCAGCAATGGGTGCCTTTCCAATTGTAATTTTACTTTTGAGTTAGTTGGGCTTTTCATTTGCTATGATACATGTTAATATTCATTCTCATATTATAATGTAGAAAGTATTCAGAATAGATACTATCAGAATCCATCCTCCATTCCTCCATATGTAAAGCATATTATTACTAATTAGTTTCTGGTTTCTAGGTGGGGAAATAGACAGAGGTTTAGTCAACTGCAGATTTACATAGAGAATGAGTAGATCAGAAATGAGATGTTCTTAGTTAAATCCAGACAATGAACATCTTACTTCCAAGCTCTCTTACTTGAAACTCTTTTGCTATTTCCAAGTGCTATCAGAATAAAGACAAAACTTTTTTAAAAAATTATTTTCTTTACTTTAAGTTCCAGGATACATTTGCAGAACATGCAGCCTTGTTAGATAGGTATACATGTGCCATAGTTGTTTGCTGCGCCTATCAACCCATCACCTAGGTTTTAAGACCCGCATGCATTAGCTATTTATCTTGATGCTCTCCCTCCCATTGCCCCCACCCCCGACAGGCCCCAGTGTGTGTTGTTCCCTTCACTGTGCCCATGTATTCTCATTGTTCAACACCCACTTATGAGTGAGAACATGCAGTGTTTGGTTTTCTGTTCCTGTGTTAGTTTGCTGAGGATGATGGCTTCCAGCTTCATCCATGTCCTTGCAAAGGACCTAACTCTTTAAAGGGCTGTAGGCAATCTGGTCTATGAGTATCCCATCTCAGGCCATTGTCTCACCTGCTTTCTATGCATTCAAGACACAGCTCTTTTTAACTTGAAGAGCCAGCTCCAGCACACCTCGGGACATTTGGATGTGCTGTTCCCTGCCTTGAAGGCTTCTACTCAGCCCAGCCTCAATACATGCACTCATTCCAGTTCCCCTCCTCCCTGACTTCTGTTAATCTTCAGGTGTCTGTTCAAATGTCACTATCTCAGGGAAAAGTTACCCTAGGCTATACCACACTTTTTCCCATCCTCACAGCAGCTACCACACTGTGAGATGCCATGGCCTTGATCACCTGATAAATAGCTATCTCTCCCACTAGACCATAGGCTCCAGACCGGCAGGAACAACGTCTATCTTACACATCATTGTTGCTAAAGGGAAAGCAAATAGTCTTAATGCATTAAATGAGTGAATGAATGAGGGCATAAGAGACAAAGATAGACAGCTTTACAACAGACGGTAGGCAGGATTTCCAGTTCCAATTTTACATTTAAGTTAGTTGGGTTTTTCACTAGATATGATACAAGTGATATCCATTCTCATATTTATTCTCTAAAATGCCCAGTGAAGAATCTAAGCATCATTTCTGTGCAAGCCTAATTTCCAGCTGTCCCATTTCTGACATGCATAGTTTCTCAATTCAGTGTGAGGAGTATTAAGTAGAAAGTGTGGTCACCTATCAAGAACCACAGCTTAAAGACATCATAATTGTTTGTTGTAAGATGTGTTAATTCACCTGGGACTTTAGAAAGAGAACCCTAGGTAATTACTACTTATTTCTTAGTGAGGGTTTTCCACCTTGGGGAGGGAAGGTGGGGGTCAATGTGAAGGCATTATGAATCTACATTTCTGAGACTTCCAGTGTTAGGTTAGCACTCCGGAGTTTGGGTCAGGGCCATCAGCTGCACAGTGACGCTTGCTGAAGGCATCCCTCTGCTAGGATAGATTGCTCTGCCATCCTCCCGCTTGCACAAAAGAACTTCAGCCTCCCAAGAAGGAGATTCTCAGGAATTTATGACTCAATCAACTCACCCAAAAGGAGCATAAATGGGATTAGTTTTAATATTGTTAAGTTGCAAAAATACAGGCATATGTGCATGCCAAAGCGAAAATGTACGCAAGCAAAGGGGGAAAACATATGGGTACCCATATGGCGAAAAGCACATTGCTAGACCTTCACACACTTCTCATTTACAACAAGAACCAAAGTTAGTGAACATAAATTTGCTTTGCAAAAATGTGAGAGGAACAGCTTGTTTGCCCATAACTGTTCCACTGAGCAAGATATGTATAACCTTGATTTCTCATCTCAGACACCTCTTTCTCACACTCCAGGGATTAATTAGGCTCTAAACATGACTTCAGATTAGAAACAAGGCTCCTAGCTGCCTTGGAGAGAGACAAAGAAGTAGTAGCAAGACTGGATGATGCAGCAGGTCAACTAATAGGCAATTCCTATTAGTGGCTGGAACTGTTACCTGGGATGGCTTAGAAGAGAAATGACGTTGGGAAGTCTCAGCAGGTTTATTTTAATTGACACAGAGGAACAACAGGGACCTACAGCGGACAATGGCATGAATGTGGCTTTGATTTGGAGGCTGTGCTTTTGTTAGAACAATACTGAGTGGAAGCTAGAAAGAGACTAGACATAGGAAGGTAGGTGTGGACTTAGGAAAGGCAAGGCAAGAGTATGGGTGATGTTCAAAGCTAGTGAGCACCCTTGGGTGCCCCAGATAACAAGCAGAATTTGATTCAATATATCATTTTACATTATACCTATTCCAACCTCAAGCTATGGAAGCCATCTTTGTATAATATAAAGAGCTCCAGACTTGAAAATCAGGAACTAGGTTCTTTTCATAAAGCTACCATTTTAGTTAGCTGTGATTCATTTGTCATTACTTAACCTTTCCATCTGTTTCCCTCCCTGTGAAATAGACAAATTATTCTTTCTCTGACCTATTTTAGGGAGCTGCTATAAACCCACTTGAGATGATTCATGTGAAAATATTTTAGAAACAACAAATTCTTATATAAGCATATATAGGAATAGGTTGTTAATGGAATACTAGAGACTCATTTTCCTTGTATTTCTATTTTTTTAATTGTTTCATTGGAAATAATTGTCGATCCACAGGAAGTTGCAAAAATGGTAGAGATAGGTACCCAGTACTATCACCCATCTCCCCCAATGGTGTCATCTTATGTAACTAAATATATATGTGTGTGTGTGTGTGTGTGTGTGTGTGTATGCATATAGTATTATATATAAAGTTGTATTTATAAAGTTGTATGTGACACATTTTCTTTATCCAGTCTATCATTGATGGGCATTTGGGTTGGTTCCAAGTCTTTGCTATTGTAAATAGTGCTGCAATAAACATATGTGTGGATGTGTCTTTATAGTAGAATGATTTATAATCCTTTAGGTATATACCAAATACCATTACCCAGTAATGAGATTGCTGGGTCAAATGGTATTCCTGGTTCCAGATCCTTGAGGAATCGCCATGGTCTTCCACAATGGTTGAACTAATTAATACTCCCACCAACAGTGTGAAAGCATTCCTATTTCTCCACAACCATTCATTGTTTCCTGAATTTTTAATAATTGCCATTCTGACTGGCATGAGATGGTATCTCATTGTGATTTTGATTTGCATTTCTCTAGTGATCTGTGATGATGAGCTTTTTTTCATGTTTTTTGGCCACATAAATGTCTTCTTTTCAGAAGTATCTGTTCATATCCTTTGCCCACTTTTTGATAGGACTGTTTTTTTATCTTGTAAATTTCTTTAAGTTCCTTATAGATTCCTGATATTTGATCTTTGTCAGATGAGTAGATTGCAAAAAGTTTCTCCCATTCTGTAGATTGCCTGTTCACTCTGATGCTGGTTTATTTTGCTGTGCAGAAGCTCTTTAGTTTAATTAGATCCCATTTGTCAATTTTGGCTTTTCTTTCAATTGCTTTTGGTGTTTTAGTACACCACAGAATACTATGCAGCCATAAAAAAGAATGAGATCATGTCCTTTGCAGGGACATGGATGAAGCTGGAAGCCATCATTCTCAGCAAACTAACACAGGAACAGAAAACCAAATACTGCATGTTCTCTGGACACAGGGAGGAGAACAATACACACTGGGGCTTGTCGGGGTGTGAGGGGGAAGGGGAGCGTGAGCATTAAGACAAATACCTAATGCATGCTGGGCTCAAAACCTAGATGATGGGTTGATAGGTGCAGCAAACCACCATGGCACAAGTATACCTATGTAACAAACCTGCACATCCTGCACATTCCAGAACTTAAAGTAAATTAAAATTAAAATTAAAAATTAAAAATAAATAAAGTTATGAATAATTGCACTGTGGAGTTTACTTGGATTTCACTAGTTTTTGCATGTACTTATTTTTATGTCTTTGTGTATAGTTCGGCAACATTCAGTCACACATATAGAGTCATATAGGTACCATAACAATCAAGATACAGTACAGCTCCATCAACCCAAGGCAACTGCCTTCTGCTTCCCTTTCCTTTTGCCACTCTCACCACTGGCAACTGCTGGCCTGTTGTGCATATTTACAATTTTGACAACTCAAGAATGTTATAAAAGTGTAATCATACAATATGCAACCTTTTGAGACCAACTCTTCTTATTCATCACAATGCCTTTCAGGTCCATCCAAGTTGTCAAATGTAACAATAGTTCATTCCTTTGTATTGCTGTGTAGTATTTCATGGTGTGATTGTACCACAGTTTAACCATATACCCAATGAAGGACATTTGCCTTTTTGCCTATCACAAATAAAACTGCTATATCATTCCCACTCTACACTCAGGCCAAAGAAATGAATCAAAGACCTCTGGACTGTCAAGGAATAAGAGACAAAGACAAGAGGTAATAAAATAGTAAAAATTATCACTTTTCTCCCAAGGCTGCTGGCACATTCAATGAGTTAAAAC
Source organism: Homo sapiens (assembly GCF_000001405.40). Classification (NCBI taxonomy): domain Eukaryota; kingdom Metazoa; phylum Chordata; class Mammalia; order Primates; family Hominidae; genus Homo; species Homo sapiens. The sequence goes on from NC_000011.10 coordinate 132,522,418, forward strand.
ACAAAAAATGTACAAAACAGGGCTGGGCATGCAGTATGCACTCATCATAATACCATCATAACAAGTACCCAGGCTATCTGTATGCTACATGGATTCAAAGAATGCATTCAAATGCAAATATGGCACAACTACAGTTCAGAAATAACTGTTGAGTTAGGATTCAACACTATTACCTGCTTTCCATTCATTCTCTCTTTTGATTCCTAAAATAAACTGATAAAGTTGTTCCCATTTTGCAGTAAAGGGTTTTGAGGATCAGTGAGATAAATCGACATTTCGAAAGTCACTCAGGGCGTTAACAACTCAGTCCAGATCTCATGCTTAGGTTGATAAGACTCTGAAGTCCATGTTCTGCCAATGGGCTAACACCACCATCCAACAGGGATCGATACCTATACACAAGTGCGGGTCAGTGCATCTTTTATTTGGAGTGCTAAGAACTTGGTGATTCCTTCTAAAACTTTCTCTTTAGGAATTTCTAGCATGAAAAATGAACGCTGTAGCAGAAACAGTCATGGATCAGTACTTTTTTGTTTGAGACAGAGTTTCGCTTTTATCACCCGGGTTGCAGTGAAATGGCCTGATCTCGGCTCACTGCAACCTCCGCCTCCTGGGTTCAAGCGATTCTCCTGCGTCAGCCTCCTGAGCAGTTGCAACTACAGGCGTGGTTGTAGAGATGGGGTTTCACCCTGCTGGCCAAGCTGATCTTGAACTCCTGACCTCAGGTGATCCGCCCATCTCAGCCTCCCAAAGTGCTCTGATTAAAGGCATGAGCCACCGCGCTCAGCTGATCAGTACATTTCTAACCTGAACATCTACCAGAGTGACTAGAAGACAAAACTGCCTAACCAGGTGATAACCATAGGTGGTGATTTTGCTAGTATTAGCTCTTTACTTCCATGGAATTCACTCATTTATCATCCTCATATATCTAGAACAAAGCCAAACATTATTTCCCCCAGACAGGTGTCATCAGTGCCATTGATCACATTCCTGAAAGCTAATGCCCTATACTCAGAGAAGGCCCTTTCCCACCACTAGTTCTTATTTAGGACTAATCAACTTAGTTTTATGGATTCTTGCTCAAGACAAATTAGAAGCAGATCAGAAGAAATGCGGCTGCTAAAAGACAGGTGCACTGACTTTAGGAAGAACTGACAAGTCTGATTGAATGGAAGAAAGAAAAAATACAGTAGCTATTTTTAAAAAGACACAAGAATTTAAACAGTATTGACAGTATTAAAGGGTCATATTCCTAGTTATCCCAGTCCCCAAATGCCAAGATACAATCGATATGTATAATCTTGATGTTACAATATAAAGATGAGGCTAAATGGCATTCACTAGACACAAATACACAAAGTACAACCTAATTCATGTTTTAAATGCTTTCATTAGAAATAACTTGAGTAAATGCATAAAAGAGTCAGCTTTGGTTACCTGGAAAATTCACTTGTATGAAATAGCTCATGCACTTGCTCCCTGAGATGTTACTGTATCTGAGTAGACTCCATGAGCAACTCATAGGTGAAGAGTTGTCATCTTAAAATCTCAGTGGAGGGGAGACAGGAAGGAAGCCTTTGTTATTTTTCCCAAACATCTAGCCTTTCCAAATATGTCATGGCAATGGAGCCAGGTGTGTGAGGCATCGCAGTGGACGACTATGGCATTGCAAGAGGGGACGACTACCCTCCTTAGAACACAACAGACTCCAGGATCTTCTGCCACTCCCATCCCTGCAACTTTTTCACATTACTCATGTGCCTAGAAGAGCCTGCCAGTTTATGCTGGCCCAGCTTCCCTTCTCTTGTCTTTCAGGAACGGGAAAGGAAGTAATTCTTGAAGTGCAGCTGATTCACAATGTATTCCAATACACCTTGCTTGCTTGTTTTGGGACCTGACTTTTTCCTTTGGAAAATTATTTGAGGCAGCAGCCTGTGTGATTCCATCATCATCCTACTTCCTGGGCCATGGGTCACTAAGTACAGATTTCCATATGTGTGAAGGCTGCTACACAAGTACCATACCCTCTAGCAGATCTATATAAATATTTTTAATAAGCCATTGGCTGCTATTGAAAAAATTAAGTATAGATTTTTGTATCTAAAGATCAAGAATGAATACACAGTCAAAAGTTCAGCAGTTTGCATAGAAACAGCAAAACCCCAAAGGGACGTTTGCATAGTGCTTTTCGTTATGTTCACAACACTTAATCATGATCCTGGTAACATCCAGCTTTCCTCAAAAGTGAGGCATGTGTCCTCAGAAAATGCCCAGGTTCTGGGAATCCTGGTACACTTTAAGTACTGCCAAGGAGATGAGAGGTCGACAGGGCTCCAGCAGCTTACGCAGTCTACAGAGTAGAAAAGCTGGGATGTCTTGGGATCCACCTTTGGAAACTTGGGGATGCTTCAAAACTTTTACCCTCCTTTGGTAAGAAGGATATGTCTTTGGTTTGTTTGTTTTTGTGAAACAAATATACCTGAAAAGCAAAGTTACTTCAAAGGGGTTCCCCAGAAACATCAATGATGGGAGTATTTACACCACCAACATGGGCAGAGGCTACCCAGACTCCTCTCATTCCCTTGCCTCCTCCCACTCCAATCAACTTTACTCACTTACCAGTGCAGCACTACCTGAAACCTTCACTCTTCAACCATTATCATCTCAGGTAGAGATCGCATTTCTGTATTTTGAGCTGTATTTTTTCCTTCATTATATCTGTCTACTTTTTATATTTCAGAGAATCCTCATAGTTTCTGATCCATCAAAGCTTACTATTATTTTTCTCCAATGTGATAATGGATTTATTTATTCATTTATTTTTACCTCTTTTCTGTAATTGTAAGGGGTGAACAGCATGTACTCATATTGCCATCTTAAACTGTAAGTGTGATTGTTACTATTTTTAATTTTTAATAACTGCTCATTAAAATATTTTTCTTAAATGAAGGCTGATTTACTTGTCCCTGTTTATAGATCCCCAAATTTAAATCATATATTTCAAATATTGCATTAGCTAACTCCTCCACCATAATCCTACTGGAATTTGAAAGAAAATGTCATTGCAACCTTTATTTCTTATTCTTCCATGTTGAATCCATCAACAAATTTTTCCAAAAAAATGCTGTTTGATGTTCAAGTTTTATTGAATGTACTTCTAATCTTTTAGAACAACTCCCTAATTGCAAGTGAGAAGGAGCATCCTTCTGAAAATAAATATTGGCAGTCACCCTGCAGATGCAAATTTTAAACTTACAAATACTTCATGTTCCAGAGCTTTTCTTTTTTATTATTATATTTTAAGTTCTGGGATACATGTGCAGAACATGCAGTTTTGTTACATAGGTATACACGTGCCATGGTGGTTTGCTGCACCCATCAACCCGTCACCTACATTAGGTATAAAATTGGAACGATACAGAGAAGATTAGCATGGCCCGTGCGCTTTTCAAAGGAAACAATTTTTTGGAGTTCAAATGCTTAAATGTCATTGAGAGAGGGAAGGGGGAAGACAATAGTGAAAATTAAGGATAACAAAGTTAAGGCCAAGCCTATGAGAAAACAAAGGCAACTTCAAAGTACAGCACAGCCTGTGAGATTTAAAGAAGAGAGGGATCATTTAAATTTAGGATTTTCCAGTGAGGCTAAATTGCAACTATTACACTCTGTAAAAGATTGGGAATATGAATGAATCTCCCTTATTTTAAAAGGAAAATCTTACCAGTGTACCATTATAATGAATTGTTTCAGGACATTTACACAAAGTTAAAATGCCTTTTAAATGATTTCCAAGCTTAGAGAACTGTGTGTTTAGGATCAAATAACTACATTCTGGGATTTCAAGCATTTATAAAGACATTTGATTTTACCAAATATATAAAAGTTAGACATAGTTTTGTATATAATATAAATCCAAAATTATCTCTAACTTTAGGCAAAATTATCATGGAACCCATGTCTTGGGGAACATTATTGCTCTGTTTATATTAAATTTGAGTTTTGCGATATCCCTTACATATACTTTAATACTCTCATTAATTTTACTTTATGATATAGAGACATTCTAGGTTTTAATAGCTGAGGTCTTTATACCAAGAATATTAGGCTAATTTATTAGCATTATCTTTCCCTATAACAAGGCAGGAGCAAAAATACGTGTTCTCAGTCCACAAAGTAAAAAGCAGCAAAAGATTGAATGATGCTCCTGGTAAAAGATCCAGTCTCTTATTTGATAAGTGCAATGACATAAATAATGTTCCAAATTAAGAAAAAAATTCAGATCATTATTGTCTACATTTCGGTATATTTATACTTCAAATTTAATTGCAATATAATTACCTACAATAAAATGCACTTTTTTTTACAGTTTTATTAGTTTTGACTAATTTTGACACCAACATAACCTTCAAGATACAGAACTTTTCCAACATCCCCCAGAATTTCTTGTGGCCCTTTGCCGTCACTTCTCCCCTAATCCCTACCCTAGGTAACCACTGACTTGACTTCTGCCATTCTAGATTAGTTTTTCCTATTATAGGATTTCATGCAAACAAATTCATACAGCATGTATTTTTTAATTTTTAGCTTAACTTCCTCAGCATGCCGTTTTTGAGATTTATCCATTTTGTTATGTGCACCAGTGGTTTGTTCCTGTTAATTGCTGAGTAGCAATCTGTTGTTAGAATATTCCACAATTAATCTATTTGCCTGTCAATGGTTATTTGGGTTATTCGTCGTTTACAGCTATTATTAATGAAGCTGCTAAAAACATTTGTGTACAATGTACATTTGTGAGCATATGCTTTCATTTATCTTGAATAAATGCCTAGGAGTGGAATTGCTGGGTCGTACGCTAAGTGTATGTTTAACTTTATAACAAAATGTGAAATTGTTTCCTATAGGGCTTATATGTTTTCACAGTTGCAGAGTTAATATATAAAGCTTCAGTTGATCCACATCCTCACCAACACTCGATATTATCAGCCTTTATAATTTTAGTCTTCCTAGGGATTATATAACGGTATCTCATCTTGGTTTGATTTTTATTTATATGATGAAGATGTTAGTCATATTTTTGTGTACTTATTTGCCATTCATATACTGTATCTTCTTTTGGAATTGCCCATTTTTTTTTTCAGTTTGAAGTGGAGTGTTAGAATTGTGTTGGAAGAATTCTTCATATACACTAGATGTAAATTTTTTGTCAAATATATGTACAAGAAATGTTTTTATCCAGTCTGTGTCTCCACCGAAGGTTTTTAATTTTGATGAAGGCTATGACGAGTTAAGTTACAAGCCTATAAAAATGATACCTTGAATTCCTAACCCCTGATTCCTCAGAATGTGACCTTATTTAGGAATAGGGTCTTTACAGAGGTAATCAAGTTAAAACGAAGTTACTCGTGTGGACACTGATATATTATGGCTTATATCCTTATTAAAAGGAACAACTTGGACACAGATGCATCTAGGAAGAGGGCCATGTGAAGATGAAGGCAGAGATCAGGGTAATATATTTACAAGTCAAGCAATGCCAGTGATTACCAGCAAACCATCAGCATCTAGGGGAAAGACGTGGAATGGATTCTCCCTCAGACTCTTGAAAGGAACCAACCCTGCTGATTCCTTGATCTCAGACATCTAGCCTCCAGAGAAGTGAGGAGATAAATTTCTGTTATTTAAATCACACAGTTTTGAGTATTTCAGTATTAATATGAATTTATCACTTTTCTTCTGTTACGGTTAGGGCTTTTCTTGTCCTGGCAAAGCTTTGTCTTTCTCAATATTACTAAGATTTACTCTTAAACTTTCTTGTAGATCAATATTATTTTTGAATGTTATGTAGCCATATTCCATACATTTTTCCTGCTTACTTGGTTTCATGTTTGAATGTTTAATGCCTGAGGAAGCTCTTGTTTCTTGTATAATTCCTAGACTTAATCACAGCTTTTAGTAACAGTGTAAATATTTCAAGTGGCTCTGTGCCCACCTCTTCAAGTTTGACTTGGGGCAAGTTTTATTTCCAAGAGGGCAAGCCCCACTGTCCTTCTGGTTCCCTTGCTATTAAGTTGGAAATGGTTTTAACTGATGTTTTCATACCAATTATTGAATGCTCAGCACAGTCATGCCCAAATGCACTTAACCATTTCCATCATCCTTCTTCCACTCAAGGTGAACTATTTATGGACATGTCAGACATGTGTGGCTCTGGATAAATGTCCTAAAAGTGCTGAAGCAAGGAGATCCTTTTACTCCTGGACGCACAATAATGCCAAAGTTCTCCATGGCCACGCTAATACTCTTGCACTCTACTTCCAGGAAGAACAAACCACCAACTGACCCACCTCTACTTTCAGAAATTCACATCTTCATTGGAAGTTATTCTTATGTCCTTTGTTCTTCATAGTTTGGAAAACAAAAGCCATCTAAGGCCATAAAAATGACTGACACCATCATTTAGCAAATTTCCTCTATGAATCCTTCTTTTGAAATGAAATAGCCAGCAATTGGTGCATATTGCCTGTTTGATTTTCTATGACTGGATTACAAAATGTTTTCTGATTCCTGAAGCTCTGTTGTGCATAAGAGCCAAGACTTTAACATACTACCTCTGAAAACGTCCTCCAGGTCAGCACCTTACCCTTGACTGACAGGTGTCTCCATGTCACAGTTGGCTCTGGTCTGCCAATAGCAAGACACAGCAGGGTCACACTGCTTCCCTCATTCACAGTGATGTCTGAGGAGATATTCATGATCTGAGGAGGAACTGTAAGGAAACAGGATAGAAGAAATACCTGAGAATAATTCTTTGCACTTAAAAGGAGGTGTTAGCCTACAAATTTTTGTATAGCATGTTTTTATAATAAATATTGTTTGCAGTAATAAATTTCAAGTTGCTTGATTTGCCAAGGATATGGCCATATACATTTACCTTGTATTTATGGTAGAAGGAGCTCTATATTATACCTTGGCGATAGCAGGAGGCAGATGTGGGAAGAGCGGTGGGAAGCAGAGGAATTGAGAGATGGTGTGACTGTTGATTGAAAGGCAAAATCAAAAATATTCACAAAGCCTTCCAAGAGCTCCTGTTTATCCCCATGTCTACTGTTTTTAGTGGAATCAGTGGCATAAGCTGATAACCATTAGGGAGCCCTGTCCTCAGCCTCAAGCCTTCCCCAACATTGCACTCAAAATGCTGATAACGCTGAGTTAGTTACTATTTTCTGAGTATCCCAGACCCTTTTAAAATCTTTGACCTTGAACAGGTTGTTCCATTGTGGAACTCTTTTATTTCTCACTTATTTTAACCTGAAAATCCCCAATCATCCCTTAAGACACATCCTTTAAAACTCAGTGAAATTTTCTGACTCTCTTGATAGAGTTGGAAAATCCTGGATCCAACCAGCAATGTGTGGGTGTCCTTACTGTTACTGTAACCATGAGATTGTACTCCAAATTGTATTTTTTAAATGGCATCATATCCTACTGGTTAGGAGCAGGGCTCTGGATTCAGATAGACCAGTGTTTTAATCAGTTTAATTCCTCACCTGCTACATGACCGTTAGCAAGGTGACCTGCCTTTGTCCCTTTGAGCTTTATTCTTCTCACTCAGGAAATGTGGATGATAATGGTAGCTAAACTCACTGTATTGTGAGGTTTAGGTGAAATAATGGCTTAGCAGAGTGACTGATATAAAGTAAGCACTCAATAAATGTTAGCTCCTAAGATGATGATGACAATGATCATGATGATGACAGAAAAAACATATTTCACAAACAACAGTTTTCCTCTCATGGGCCAGGACCATGCCCATGTACCCACAGCACTACAAAGCCTAAAATGACACTTGGTCTTACTCTCTCACCTCCAGGCCTTGATGCTCTTCAACTTAAAGGTCAGTATTGGAAAACTCCTAGATTCCTTCTCACCTCTTATTTATCATCACCACTGTCCTGGTTGTTTCTCACCAATTTTCACGGAGATAATTGCAATAGCCTCCCACCGTGAACCTTCCACCTGGTCTCTTTCCATTTTGGGGTCCCTCCAATCTATTCCCTACATGTAACCAGAGCAGTCTTTCCAAGTAATCATGGAAGCAAACTGCTGTCCTCCTTACTCCTTCACCCCAGAATGGCCTACCATGTTTGACAAACAAACCCTTCTGCATGACCTGAGCTCTCTGGAGTCGAACGCCCAAAACCACCGATGAACCTCATCTCAGGCCCCGTTTCCTCTAACACAGCACATGGCACACACTCTACCAGGTTTAACAAGCAAACAAACCCTTCTGCATGACCTGAGCTCTCTGGAGTCGAACCCCCAAACCCACTGACAAACCTCATCTCAGGCCCTGTTTCCTCTAACACAGTACATGGCACACACTGGCCCCTTGTCCTCTCCCAAATATTTTAAAAGCATCAGCACTCCTATAACTTTTCTATTCCTTGACTGTCTTTTCTTGATTCCCTACCTGAACAGATATGACTCATCTTTCAAAGGGTACCCCAACATCCTCTCTCCTCTGCCATTTGCCCTGACCTCTCCCCACATCCTGAAAGCAGAAGCAGCCATCTCTTCTGCTGCATTTTGTTTAGACCTGTCTCAGGAAGGGTATTGAACATGCTCTGTGTATGGCAGTTTATTGTCTTCTGACTGTCTTTGCACCTAGAGGATGAGGAGCTGGAGGGCAAGTGTGGAATCACACACATCTCTACTCCTCAGTGTAAATCACACAGGCTGACAATGGTACATGCTTAATTTCTCTTTGAAAGAAAGATCCAAAACAGATTGAAAAGAAGTCCCAAAACTAAGGGAGGTAAAGCTTTGAATGGAAGACTTTAGATACTCAAACCTTTCTTTCTAATTTTCTTTCAGATCCTCAAATAAAAGGAAGATAACACAGAGAGTGGAGGCTCCAAGCCTGCAGACATGCTGATTTATTTGTACTGCCAATTTAATTGTGAATTATTAATTACCAAACAGGTACAGTGCAAGTCAATTCCAAACCAACCTGAGTTGATGTCAAAGGAGAATTATGGCAAATGCTGAATTCAGACGATTTTGCAGCTTGGAGTTTTACGCTGCTGAGACCTTACAGGTAAGTCTTTTCAAGGAGAAGCCAAGAGTAAAAAGTAGAACATTTGAGCTCTTAAGGGAATCTACATTAGCAAATAAATAAAAATTGCCTAGCTTATAAATCTGCCATATTTGGGATTATTTCTGCATTAGGATTTGGCCTGAAATTTCAGTGCACATATTTTACCCAAATACATGCTGGGAAAAAAATAGTGTACATTCTAGCTACACTGCATTCTCTTGAGAAACATGTTCTACCCGTTTTTTTTTTTTCCTATATTTTCTAGCTTGTTAAAAAATAGTTCTGGGCTTAGAAATGTCAATACTTTTTTCACTTCTGTAAAGCAACAACTCGAGTGCAACTTCCAAAATATTCTCAGAATAACGTCGCTTCAGCTGGAAGTGTTCGGCCATCTGAAGTTTTTTGTCTTAATTTTTTTTCAGATCCTAGAGGCTCCCTGATAGTAAGTTACACACAGCTGGGGAAAGCACAGTCAGTGAATGGAGACAGCTATGGTGCCTCAGGATAGAACTCAGCACAGCCACCAACTCAGAACTGTTCTTTCCACAGACATCGTATCTCATGCGATAGTGTGAAGGATGCTGGATTAAGAGATATGTAAAATTCCATGGATGCTTAGCATGTCATCCTCATTGCTCAGGCGCTCAGTCAATGTCACCCATTAGGAAAGAGCTTCCTGAAGTGGGATCGCGAAGACTAACCAAGATGTTCCCTCTAAGCCCAGGTAGTGTTGTCTGCTTTCCTCTGTAGCTCCGTCATGTTCTCTGTCATTGTCTCCAAGGAGGAAAGATAAGTACAGTTTTAGGGTGTGGATCGCCAGCAGAAAAGGAAGTGCAGAGGATGAATTGGCAGAAAGGGAAGTTCTTTTCTTCTTAATTATGATATCCTTAGAAACTAACATTAATATGCAACTTTGTTGTTTTCAAATTGCTTGTTTATGGAGAGAAGATCCTTACAAATGGTGAGATAAATAGAATAAATATTCTCACTATTAATATTGAAGAAACTGAGGCATGGGGAGATAAATGGATCAAAATTACAGGGTTAGTAAATGAGAGCTCATCTCACTGCATTATGATTCCTCTTTGTTTATTGTTGATCAATTCCCCAAACACAGTATTTCCATCCAGAAGCGTTCATGCATTTGTGTGCTCTGCTTCAAATGCCTTCCCAGAGCATCTCCCCTCCCAGTACCTGCCATGAGGAACAAAACCATCCCATTCAAGTCAGCGCCCCTTGCACACTGCGGACCACAACAGGAGAAGCCCATCTTCACCGTCCTTGTTTCCCCAGGGCCATGCATGCTGCTTGCCAAGGAAGGTATTCAATACTTTTAACGTAAATTTAAATCTGAATTGAATTGGCAATATCACTACAACTCCACCCTTGTTTCCATGATGACTTTGTGAAGAAAGGAACACTTGGGGATAGCTTTTAAGTGCTTCTCCGTATTTTGGCAGATCTTTGTTTAATTTTTAGACAAGTATCTGTAGCAAATGAATCTATACATATTGCTACTGCTTGTAAATATACACATAAACATTAAGAAATGAATAATAACCTTATCTGAAATGCCCAAATTACTCAAAGAAAATGATAAGACCCACAGAGTTTAACTAAAGGATAATAAGTAGCACAGTGTGTTATCTGTGCAGACGCTATTGAGCCTTCCCTGCTGGTGCTGCAGGTATCTGCTTATCTTTCACTGATGGTGGTGTTTTACAATAGGGCCTTTGCATAGATTGTGCAGAGGGTTCAATGCACAACTACGGTAACTTCAAAATGTGGTCATTTTGGATAGATGACAGATGGGTAATAGCTAGGCAGAAGAAAGATCAATATAGATAGAAATATAGCAAGACAGATGATACATTGACAGAGGTTGGGTAAGTAGGTGGGTAGCTAGAAAGAGATAGATGATAGATAGATAAACGGACAGATAGACGGATAGACAAATAGATGACCAATAGACAGAGGTAGAAATACCACAGTTATCTTTTAAATATCTTGCTTCTGCCTAAAACCTCCAACATCTGCCCCTTGCTAAAGACGGAAGGTCTAAAACTTCTTAGCAGGATTTACAAAACCATTTGTTTTGCAGTCTGTCCAAAACATAACTTCTAGGCCCTTCTCTAAAGCCTCTCCCCAGAGCTCCATCACCCTCTCAGCTTTGTACCTTTACTTGTATATTTACCTGTACCTTTATTTGTACCTTTAATTGTACATACAATTCCCTCTGCTTGGAAAACCCATTCCCACACCTATGCCATCTGATCCACCCACTCTCCAGTTCTCAACTCACATTCAGAGCTTATTTGTGATGCCTGAATTGCTCTTTCTCTTCTTCCCAAGACAATCTTGTTTATGCCTTTATCACACCATTTATCTTTGCAACTGAGCTATCCCATGGACAAGATCTGTGATAGGTATCCTCACATTCCTATTATACACACAATGACTGACATGCAGTAACATCTTCTTTATCCCTATAAACATAATGTATGAGTGCATGGGTTTCTAAATTCAGCATCTTTTAATGTGTCAAGTGTTTCCCATCCTAGAGATTGACATTTGCTCTATCCTCTCCCTGAAATCCTCACCATCCTATTCTTCACATGTGTAATTTTTTTTTCTGGGCTCAGTTTTAATGTCACGTCCTCAGAGAAGTCTTTGCTAATGACCCCAGTCTCCCACCCTCAATAACTACTTCAGGTCCTCTTGTTACAATCTCTCCTCAACCTTTACATTTTCTTGTATAAAACATACATAGTTTTGTGCTTTTATATCCATTTATATGATTATTTGTTTAACATCTCTCTGGCCCACTAAACTATCTGCTTTATAAACCACTACACTCCCAGTAATTAGAACTGTGCTTGCCACATAATATTTAATAGATGCTTAATAAAAACTTGTTAAATAAATAAATGACTACTCTGTATACTGTTTTACTCAAACGATTGTGTACTTGTGAGAGAGAAGACTTGAGCTGGAAAAGGCTTTCCCAAAGATGAAACATGTCTTTCTGTAAAGTTAGTTGGGATTGAAATGTGTGATTTTGCACATATCAGCCCCACCCTGCATAAAGTTGATATGATGTGGTGGAAACGGAAGTGAGAGGCCAGGGAACATGCCTCCAGTTCTGAAGTCCAATAGACCTGCTTGGCATTGGACAACTTTTATTTACTGAGTCTAAGCCCATGGCTCCTCATCTGTACAATGGGGATGAAAAACTTGTCTCTTCAGGTTGTTGCAAGAACTAAATATAAATGTATTCAACAGAGGAGCACAGTGCCTGGAAATAAGTGAGTACCTGGTAAATGTTAGCTGTTATTAGCCTTTGTATATACTCATTGTTGATATTGTTCATGCCATTTAGAATCAGAGAAATGGCTTAATCTGTGCCTAATTGCTCATTTCCTAAATCTTAGTTTCCAACTTTAAGTTGGGACTTATAAATAAATAAAGCTTACCTTGGAGATATACACACACACATATATATATATATTTAAATACATTATATGATATGTTATATATAATAATATGGTATAATATATTGTATATTATATTTAATAATATAGTATAACATTACTATATATTTCATATCTACATAGAGTATATGTAGAGTATGTATGTGCATAAACACTCTAGCTACCAGAGTAAAAAGTGCATAAACTCTCTAGCTACCAGAGTAAAAAGTGCATATTCAATAACTAACCATCAATTTCCTCCTCTTAAACTGAGCTATTGGGCCTAAGCAAATGCACAGGGAAAATCTCACATGTGTATGAAGAAATTGGCTTTTAAAATGTTTTCTTTTAGGGGGTGTCTGTTTCTAGAAGGAACAGGGTACAGGACATCAGCACCATGTCCTGCCCAGCCAGGACCCAGACCTCATCTCAGCTGAGAGGCAGAAGAAAAGTGGGCCTGGGACCAGATGCAGAGGTGGCTGCTGCTGCTCCCTACCTCAGCCTTGCCCACACCCTTAGCAATGCAATAAGTAATGATACCTCGTATGTGATGGGTGTTTGGGGCTTTATTATCTAATTTGTTCTTGACAACAGCTCTGAGGTAGACAGGACAAGATAAAGGAACTGACGTGTGCCCATAAGACAGGATGCTGGGACACAGTCTTAACCCTCAGGGCCAGACCCAGTGAGAGGGGTTCAGGTCACCAGGACAGCACTGGCCTTGGGGTCACACAGCTCCAGACTCTGGTCCTGGCCTCTCTTCAGCTGGATGCCTGTGTGCAGGTGAGTTCTGGATCTTGCGGTTTCCTCCCCTAGGAGGAGTGTTCATGACACCTGCTTATGGTTTGGGTGAAGGTATGGGTAAAACTCTGAGCTCAATCCTTGGCCAAAAGTAGGTGCTTATTGAAGGCTGCTTCCTCATTCTCTCCACATTGTCAAGAACTCCCACGTTGTCAAGAACTCTCTGGGAATTTTTTTTTAATTGCAGATTATTAGAGCTGAATCAGAACAGGAAGCAATAGTGTCAGAAAGTCCTCAAGGTGAATTTGGCATGCAGCCAAGATTAGGAGTCATTGCTACACCCCCGCAAGGGGCACCTGTTCTGTCTGGTCCTCTCCCAGTCACCCAGAGCTGCCCAGCTTCCATTACATCCCTCAGCATCCTGTCCCTCCAGGGCCTGCTCTCCATTAGAGATGGCTCCACAAGGTAACTGCAAGGGCAGCCTTTCCCTCCATCACAACTCTGCCCTGTCTCTGACCAGTCACAATATTTGGTTGTCTAGTTTTAACTGTTTTATTTAAGACTGTATGTCAGAGTTAGAAAAAGAAATCTTGGGATTTGGAGTCACAGGGGCTAAGGTTTGAACACAATTTTTTTCCTACTATTTTCTGTGTGATTTTTGTACACAAGCCATTAAGTTTCAGCTTCCTCTACTGTGAAATGGGCATAAAAATATTTGCATCACAGAGATATGGAGATTAGATTAGTGATAATTATTTCAAAATGGCTTAAAAATCTATTATTATTGTTTTTACTTTATTGTTGTTATTATTATCAGGGAATAACAAAATATTAAGAGACCATGTGAAAGCTAATATAAATGTGAAATACTTTTCATTACAGTTTTAAACACTCAAGGCTATTTTACAAAAATAATACCGAAAAGACTTTTAAGGATCCAATGTTTTATCCTTCTGGGGCTACCTTTTTGCATTTTAATAGAAATGTTTATTTCTTAAACCAGAAGCAAATTGAGAATTATGGCATTTATCTAGGCTAGGTTATGTGATATTCTGTATACTCAAATAGTATAATATTTTGCAAAAAGCACTGCATGAAGTGTAAGGAGGAGCAGATTCTGAATATTTTCCTTCTGTAGCTCTGTGACATTTTTCTAATCATTTAATGTATCTGGCTAGAGCTGTATGTGCACTTGTGTGCTCATATGTTTGTGTGTGTGCATTGTTGTTAATTTGTTTTGGTTAATTTTAGAATGGAGGCATTGGATTGTAAATCCCCAGGTCTGTTCTGGTCTAAAACCCTGGGAGCCGATGGTCTTTCAGCAACAAGTTGGGTCTTATCAGTGAGCTCCTCCTGGGAACAGAGTAATAACACCACCAGCAGCAACAACAAAATAGTTCATGTTTATTTCTTGAAGCCTAGCATTAAGTGCTGTATATACATTGCTTCCTTTAATTCCCAACACATTCTTAGAAAATATGCACAATTAAAAATCAGCATAAGGATAGGCATATACATCAATGGAATAGAATTGAGAATCCAAAAATATATCCACATTTTATGGTCAGTTCATTTCCAACAAGGTGCCAAGTCAATTCAATGAGGAATGAATAGTGTTTTCAATGAATGGTACTGAGACAAGTGGCTATCCCCTTGCAAGACAGTGAAGTTGGACCCCTACTTCATACCATATACAAAAATTAACTCAAAACATTAATAGATCAAAGACCTAAATGTAAGGGCTAAAACTTAGAAGAAAACACAAGAAAAACTATGTAGCCTTTGATTAGGTGATGAATCCTTAGCTATACCACAAGAAGCACAAGCAACAGCAGAAAAAATAGATAAACCGGACTTCATTCAAATTAAAAGTGTTTGTGCTTCAAAACACACTATCAAGCAAGTGAAAAGAAAATCCACAAAATAAGACAAAGTATTTGAAAATCATATATCTAATAACGGACTACTGTCAAAATATGTAAAAGCAATAAAATGTCAAATAATCCAATTTAAAAATGAACAAAGGAGTTGCATAAATAATTCTCCAAAGAAGATATACTAATCGCCAATAAGCACATAAGAAGATGTTTAGCACCATTATTTACCAGAAAAATGCAAATCAAAACCACAATGAGATATCACTTCACACCCACTATGATGACTTTAATCAAAAAGAGAGACAAAAACAAGTTTGGCAAGGATGTGGAGAATTAATAGACTAATACAGTTGGTGGGAATGTAAAACAGCACAGCCACCTTGGAGGACAGTCTGTAAGTTCTTCAAAAGGCTAAATATAAAGTATCCTATGGATCAGCAATTCTACTCTAGCTATATACCTATGAGAAATGAAGGCATATACCCACACAACAGCTTGTGCATGAATGTTTGAGGCAGCATTGGTCATAATAGACAAAATTTTAAAACAAGTCAAATATCTATCAAGAGATGAATGGATAAACAAAATGTGATACACCAATACAATGGAATATTATATAAGCATACAAAGAAACAAAGTACTGATATATGACCCAATGTGAATGAACCATGAAAATACTAAGTGAAAGAAGCGAAACACAAAAGACCACATATTGTATGATTCCATTCATGTAGGATATCCAGAATAGTAAAATCCATAAAGATAAAAAATGCATTGGTGGTTGCCAGGAGCTAGGGAGAGAGATAAATGAGAAGTGACTATTGATGGAGGTGGAGCTTCCTATTGGAATTATAAAGATATTCTAGAATTAGATAGTGGTGACTAGTGTACAACCTGTGCATATTCTAAAAGCTCTGAACTGTTCTCTTAATAAAGGACTAATTTTATAGTACGTGAATTGTATCTGCATAAAACGTTTATAAAAACATCAATCACGGCCAATCATCTCTTATGAGGTCTTGTATTACAAGGAGAGACGACACCCCAACACATGTGACTTCTCAGAAAATATTCTTTTCATTTATTGATAGTTCTTTGAATAATGCTGCATAATGTCTGCTTAACTCCCCATTTCTCATTACTTGCCCACTGTTTCCTCTTTTCTTTCCAAGACAACTCGCATTGCCCTAGTCACATCAGCCCATTTGGCAATGTTCCAAATACCTCATGTTAATTCATGATTCCACACTTTTGCATGTGCTGTTCCTTCTGCCCATGTGCCATATTCCCCATTCATCCATATGCTGAACTCTTACTCATACTTGAAAACTGGTATTGAGATAGAATACCTTCTCTCCATCAGTTCCCTCATTCTACAGATAAATGTATGTCTGTGTTCCATGACAACATATGTATAACGATGTAATATATTCATTGAAAACATTTTTTGAGTTCCCACTATGAGCCAGACGTTACATTGGAGGTAGAATAGCAAATAGACAAGGTCCTTTTCTCATGTAAATTATGGAGCTTAGTGTATAGAGGAGAACACTGACGCTGAAAAGTCATCATGAGAATCTATGTGTGATTTCACTCTGGCTATGCTATGAAGTGGTGCAAAGCTCCATGATAGCCCATACTAGGGATTTTTTACTGGTCAGTGAGTTTGGTGAAGGGTTTGTTGTGGGCAGAGCTGGGCAGATGGATCAGCCTGTGCAAAGGATCTACAAAACAGAGAGCATGATGAGCTTCAGTGACTGTGGATGAAGTGAAAATAGTGAATCTCAGGAACTAAGGCTGAAAGCGCAGGTAGAGCCCAGAACTTACAGATTCTTTGAATAAACCCTGAGATTTTCAATCTTTTTGTAACAGCAGTTGGGCTATACATTAAAATGTTTAAAGACATGCTGCTGCTGCTGCTGCTGCTGATGATGATGATGATGAAGATCATGGTACTGATGATAAAGGTGGTGATAAACATAGTGATGGTGATAGATGATGATGGTGATAGTGATAATAACGGTGATGATGATGATGACAAAGATGGTAAAGATAGTGATGGTGATTATGGTGATGGTGGTAATGGTGATGTTGATGATAATGGTTATGGTGATGATGATGGTGATAATGATGGTGATGGTGATGATAATGGTGATGATGATAACGACAGTGATGACAATAGTAATGACGGTAATGATGATGGTGATAGATGCTGACGGTGATGATGATGTTGAGGGTAATAAGGGTGGTGAAGATAGTGATGGTGATCATGGTGATGATGGTGGTGGTGATGGTAATGCTGATGATGACGATAGTGGTGATGTTGGTGATGATGATTGTGGTAGTGATGATGATGATGATGATAATGATGATAATGGCAAGTGATGCAGGCATGACACATTTCCACTGGGAATTGTTCACTCCTGGCTGCAGTGTGGAGAATAGACTGAAGTTGAGCAAGTGAAAATGAAACTGGCTAGGGAGTTGTCCAAAAGTGAAATGGCAGAAGGTTAGACAAGTGCAGTAATAGGAGAGAGATGAGCTGAAAGAGAGAGATTTGAGTGACATTTGGGAGTAAAATAAACAGAGCTTGGTGAATGGCAGGATATGTGGTTAGTGTCACAGCACTTTTCACACTGTTCTATTGTTTTCTATGTCTCTCTCACTCACTCGACCGGGGATCCTTATAATTAAGGACTGTCATTTGTTCATCTCAGTATTCCAGGTGCCTCTCAGCACAATGCCTGGTATCTGGTAGGTGCTCAATCAATATGTGCTAAATGTAATTGCTAATGCCAGGAGATTTTCAGAAAAATACAACCTCTCAGGATCCAGTGGGGCAGCCAGCAAATTGGAACTAGGTGAGTTGTGTGAAGTCACATCCAATTATTTGAGGCAGGGCCAGATCCATGTTATTTGGTCTTATATACTCTGAGTGTGAATGAGACTCCCTCCATGTCCTGGTGTGATATGGTTTTATTTTGTGCTGCAGATAGACCCAGTCCATTCTGATTGCTATTCTCCTCTGGGCTCTATTTTGATGAGAGAAATGATAGGGAATGAGAACAAATGGTTCTGAATAACACATACATGAATACATGCCAGGGGCTGGGTGACATCACAAACCTCTCAGGCTATGCTAAGTTCATTTGTGATGGTTGTCTCCACAGTGTCTCTTACAGAAGTTATTTATAGACTCAGACACACACTTCCTATTTTTAATTTGCACAATTCAGACAACTGACCATGATCAGAGGAACTGAATGCAGCAAAAGAGTCTTTCTTGTCGAGTTCTCTTCTTTCTGGAGCATGGAGGTGCCCTCCCTCTGGGAGTCTCCTTTTGTTCCTTTCCCCCCCGACTTGTAGGCTCCCTGGAGAGTTCTTCTGGCCACACACACACTTAGGATCACAGGGTTTAATTTACATCACAGAATTTTCAAGTCAAAATAGACGTTAGGGATGCCCCTCGCTCTACCTTCCCATTTTGCCCATGAGGAAGTACTTTGGTTCCAGTCCCAGTTCTGTCAAGCATTTGCTGTGAGGTGGTGGCCAAGCCCATGACCTCTGTCAATCCAAGTCTCTCTCTCACAGGAAGGCCCCCTGAGTATTTCCGGCCTTCCTGGAGCGAGTTTCAGACCTCTCTCTTTCTCTACCTTCCTCTTTAACATGGTCATGGCAGTCTCTTGTTACAACAACCTGAGCTCCCTCCCTCTTATTCACAGTGTGACCTTGAGCAAGTTGTGTGACTTCTCTAATCTCAGTTTCTCAAACTGCAGAACAGCATAGTGATCATAAGTAACTTATAGGGTCATTGGGAGGAATAAATGATAAATGAATATAAAAGGGTTTTTGTCACAGTGTCTGGCACATAGTAAATGCCAATGTTATGGGCTCTTTATTCTATATCCAGATTTTTTTTTTTTTTTTGCCAGCAACTCTCATTTATTGAGAACTTAATAAGTGTCAAGTGACACTGTGCAAAGTTTGCCACACATCACTTATTTCATCTTATGGAAACCCTACATGGCAGTTTTACTACTACTTTACATTTTAAGGATTAGGTACTAGAAGCAGAGAGGGGTTAAATAACTTGCTAAATTTCACACAGCCTGGAAGAGGAGAGGCTGAGATGTGTCTCCCATTGACTGACTGCAGAACCCAAGGTTTCAGCTACAGCCAGCCCACAGCTTGAGGTGATCCAATGTGCCTGGCTTCAAAGGCCAGCATCTCTCCACTCTTGCTGGCAGGGCTTTTGGTTTGGACACAGTGAGATGGGTAGAAGAGAAGTCTTGCAAGGTTTGGAACAGAAGTGGCCCTCACTTTGATGATCTGAGAAGTAGGTCATACCAAAAGCACCTGTTGCACTGAGTAGGAGGAAAACCAAATGAGGCAATGCAGGGGAAGTCCAGCATCTTCTCATTCTCTGCTTTAATTCCTAGACCTGTCATTTAGTGATCCTTGGTTACAGATGATCAGTGCGGAGTGTGAGCAGGGACATTCCTGGCCCAGATCAACCAGCCTGTACTCCTCAGCTTCTCACCAATGGTCCCTGATGCCTCCAGTCTTCCGCCTCAGTCCTGTCACATTTTAAGCCACTCCTGGCTGGGGAAGGCAGACGTGGAAAGATGCCTGGGCTGAGAATTAGGCCAGATGCATCCACACCTAGGATTTCATGCCCCTCCTTGTCTCCATCAGCTCCTGGCCTTCCTGATTTTGTCACTGTCCAGCAGATCTTTCTGCTGTGGCTTTCTGAAACTACTTTTGCATGTCCATCTTGTCCCCCATCCTAAATCTTTGAGGGGAAATGTGGTTTCTTCCATGACCCTTCTTCTAAGTTTATTCTAGAACCCTGCATAGCACCCAGTCTCTATCCAGGTCTGGAGCACAGCCTTTGGAAGCCACATCAGCAGGACAGATTCACCCAACCTCTCTGAGCCTCCTTGGTTTGCTCCATATTGCAACCTGGCACCTGGCGACTTGGGAGTATTGACAGACTCCTGCCCTGCTCTGCACCATGAACATCCACCCTCACCCCCCACACCCAGAGCTTTCCAATGATGAATGGGCTGCAGGTCTCTGTTGTGTTTTGCTCACATGAGTAGCAATGCTGGGGCCCAGGGGGTGTCTCAACTGAGCTGGCTGCCCCTTGGGATGCAGCCTCACCCTCAGGCCATCTATCTGGAATCAGCCTAGGTACACTTCCCAGTAAATTTCCTGCCTGTGACTGAACACCCACGCCTCTTCCCTTCTCCCACCAGCTTTGTGCTGCCAAGATTAGATCACTGTGCCTCACCCCTGCACCCAAGTTGTGGTCATTGTGTGTTCAAGTCTGCGACAGAATTGAAGAAGGAAATTCTCTGGGAACAGATACAGAAACTCTTTATCTTGGGAGGAAGATGGGATTTGGAAAATGTTTAAGAAATGGGCAGTTGTCCATCATCTTGTCTATTGTGGGAAGAGGGGAAAGGGTCTGAGCTCAGGGATCATTCTTCCATTGGGTAATTTTATTAAAATAAGCAGTATTTGGTGGCATGCAGATGATAGAGCTATCTTCAGAAGGTTCTAGCTGTGAATAAATGATATGATAAAAGTAAATATAATTTTTAAACTATAAAATGGTATAGAACCAGGAGTGGTGGCTCACACATGTAATCCCAACACTTTCAGAGGCTAATGTGGAAGGATTGCTTGAGACCAGGAGTTTTAGACCAGCCTGGGCAATGTAGCAAGTCCCTGTCTCTTTAAAATGCACACACACACAGCCAGGCATGGTGGCATGCGCTTATAGTCCTGATTACTCGGGAGACTGAGGCAGGAGAACTGCTTGAACCCAAGAGTTCAAGGCTATGGTTAGCTGTGATTGTGCCACTGTACTCCAGCCTGGAGTACGGTGTCTCCAAGTGTCTCTAAAAAAGAAAAAAAATTAAACAAAAATAAAAACAAAAAAATAGTATAGAATAGACCATTAATTTAGTATTTCCACTAAAAAAAATTAAAAACTACATTTTGAGTTCTTAGGGATTCCACTGGTTCTAAACACAATAGGTTTTGACTCTGTTCTCTGTGGACCAGGGCTTGGGTGTAGCATACACAGTAATGGTTCTTTATAATATAGAAAGTACAACACATAAGCCAAGTTTAGCCATATATACCGCCACGTTTTTTCCCCCACTCACTATCATGCTGGATCCACAAAAGACATTACTTATAATTCTTGGATTTCTAAGCATGAAGAAGTCAGCAATTAGCTTCCCAAATAATTATTATATAAGCCTTTTTTCAAATCTTTAAAACCTTCCTCAATTCCAACAAACCTGGAGAGTCTGGAAATGAGGATTATATCCACATTTTCTTACTCTTGAAAAAGGCAGGGGGGTCTGTGACTGAATATTGCTGATAAAAACATGATAACTGAGTCTCATTACAGCCAAAGACAAGTCTCATATTTTAGCATTTTTATTAAAGCTTTTTAAATTACTGAGTGTCTGGTATATTCAATACCGGCCTAAGTGATTTATATTAGTCTATCCCTAGATACTCCATCTAATAAATAACTTGGCAATCTCCTTACCCATAAATATCCCTGGCTCCAGCAAAAAGCAATTAAAGCACGTGAAAAAAAAAATGGCTTCCCAGTACTCCAGACCATAACGTCACCGGAAGCTTCCAAAGGAATAATTCACACCGTTTACTGGGGAGGGGTCAGATCTCCTTACTCACCACCTGCCCACCAGGAACTAAGGCTCCCATTCCCTTGAAAGGTGAGACATACACAAAATTATCTTTAAAATGTTTAACATGTCACAATGCTGCAGGGATTTTATCATGGAAAATATTATTCCCAGCAACAAGTGTTCTATAATATTTTAGACAGCTTAGGCTGAAATTATTGGGCAAATCTTTTTGGAAAGCAGTCCTGCCAAAAATGTTTAAAACACATTAAGTACAGAGGCAGCCGACTAAAAAGTTATTAGAGGCTCCAGTGTCACCAGCCCAGAAAATATTTCAGGTTAATAAGGTTCACCAGCATGCCAGGTAAAAAGCCATTGATATTTATGATAGTGGCCTCAAGTTCAGTGCTTTCAACTACAAAAGAAGGCCACTTTTGCTGAAAAACCTCTTCGCTGGCCTTCCCTGGGCCTCCAGGGTCAGTGAAGGAGGACAAGCTGGGTCGTCATTTCCCACTTGTATAAATCAGTATCCTCTGCATTGCACACACCATGCCACCTCCAGGCAGGTGAGGAAGGAGCCACACACTAACATTTCTCGCTGTACTCAGGGAAGCTGGTAGGAGCATGGCCTTGAGAAGGAAAGGACCGCCCCATTCCAGTTTTATAGGGATTCTCCAAATCACAATCCCAGTTAGCCCATGGCATACTCATCATACATTCCAGAGTCTTAATTTGATTCATCTCCAAATAATACTTTTAATTGTTTCATTAAACATTGTCTATTTTTATGTACCTCTCTTTGCAGGTAATTGTCACGTACATATGATTGGGGGAGGGTAACAATTGCTTGTTTTAATTTCACAGGAGCCAAATACCCACTATGCACTAGTCTTGCAGCTCCAGGATACATTAAGCAGGTATATAGTGGTAATGTCACTACACTTGAACATGATTATGGAGCTGTGAAGTGGCGAGATTTGGAAAGAATATTTTTTCTTCATTTATTATTATGAGGAAGGAACAATAACCAAGTTTACTTTCATAGCCTGGTATCAGAGTATCTGGGGCATATGGTGACAGGTTTGATGGAGAACATTTATTTTTGCATAGCGAAATATTTTTCTCTTTCCCAGTAAATAGGAAACTTGCTACAACCAGGTACTCAGCCTTCCCCACAATTCTGCAAGCTACATAATATCTTGTTTTCAAATTATTTAATTTAATCTTTTCAAAAGTTGATACATTAACATAATTCAAACACCAATCTACTTTCAAAAATATATTCAGAAAAATTTTACTCCTAACTTTATCATTTCCATCCCTTTATTCCTACAGATTTGTATAACTTTGTATTTTGTTTATCCATCCAATGTGTACTTAGGTAAAACAAGCAAATAAGAAAATATATTATCATCATCCTTCCTAAGACAAAGGTAGCAGAGTATATATACTGTTGTTCTCATATTTAAAGAAATACACCTTATACATTTTTCAGAGCTGTGTAGTATTCCTTGGCATAAATGTATCATAGTTTATCTAACTAGTGCCCTATCCACAGAATGTGAGTTGATTTCAATATTCAACATTTTGCTATTACAATTTCCCACAAGACTTGTAAAGTGTGTATTTGCTACAGAGACATAGAATAAGTACTGGCTTAAAATGTAAATGCATCTGTCTGTATTTTGATGATTGCTGATAGATTTCCTTTCATGAGGGTCTTACCATTGTTCCAATCCACTAAAAACCTGTGAGATAACCTGTTTCCCCAGAAGTCTTCTCAGAAGCTTATATAACTAAATTTTTAAACGTTTTCCAATTCAATAAGTGAGAAATGGTATTTCTGCATGGTTTTGATTACATCATGTCACCTTTGTGAGGGTAATTCCTACTGTCTTCGGTGAACTCTCTGTTTATGTCTTTTGCCCAGGGACTTCCCAGTGAGAAGTTGCTGGGCTTGCCAGACTTCCCAACATCCCTTTTAAAAAGTGTTTATTTATTTATTTCTATTTTTTAATTTCCATAGGTTTTGGGGGGGAACAGGTGGTGTTTGGTTACATGAATAAGTTCTTTAGTGACTTCTGAGATTCTGGTGTACCCATCACCCAAGTAGTATACACTGCACCCAATGTGTAGTCTTTTCTCCTTCACCCTTCTCCCACCCTTTCCCCCGTGTCCCCAAAGTCCATTGTATCATTCTTATGCCTTTGCATCCTCATAGCTTAGCTCCCACTTATGAGTGAGAATGTATGATCCAACATCCTTTTTAGTAAATCATCTTTCCACATATGTCAATTAAAGTTCATTTACTCTATTGTTTAGAGTCTGGCCTCTGGAGAGAGAGAGCCAGGTCTGTTTCCTGGCTCTACCATTTATTTCCCAGCTGTGTGACCTTGGAGAGTTTCTTAAGCTATTCGTACTTCACCTTTTTGCATCTATAACATAGGCATATAATTAGTACCTACAAAGTAGGACTGTTGTGAGGATTAAATGAGTCAGTACATATAAAGCAGTAAGCACAGTGCCGGGGGTGGTGGCAGGTGGACAGTGCTCAAATATGACTGCTCTCATACACTGCACATTGCATATTTCCGCAGGTGCTCTCTGCTGCCTCACAGATGGGACACATTAGGGAAAGGAAAGCCTGTGTGGCCCTACCTTCCACTGCTGTAGACAGAGAACAATCATTTCAAAAGAGTCAGCCTAATAATTAGTCTCTGCAAACAAACACATCTGTGGACTGGCACTTCTCATAAACTTGGGTGCAAACATAAAGGCCACTTTAAAAATATGTCACCAGAGAAAATGTCAAAGGCTTTTGGGACACAGCAAGATGACAAGGGCAAAAACCATGCTTGGCACATACTCAGTGGGGAAGCAGGCACTCACTTTATTTGAATTAAAATTGATGAAATACCTTCTTCCCTCTTTGAAAAGTGCTGGGAAATTCTACAGTTTAACTGGGGGAGATGCCATAAGTCAAGGCAGAAAAGTGGGGTGAGAAAGCTGACCTTGAGGCATAGGCATTCATTGTTTCTCAACTATTCATTTGTCTATCCCTAAGACAAAGAGGGTGGGCGAATCAAGAGTAAATGGCATGCAGGCATCTTGGAGAAAGGGAAGAGCAGACCCATGCTGAAGACCGTTGGTGGAGCTTTAGGCAAGTTAAAGTAGGAGGAGAAGAAGGCTATGACTAGATTTTTAGAAAGGGTAGAGGCAGAGTCTGGAAAAGTGAACAGCCAGGTTCCAAACCCAATAGACAGCAATGTGCTACTTCTAGAGAACTTACAAATCTCACTCCAAGTATAGTGGCAAAGCCCTCATCAGATTTATTATCTTTGAAGAAGGCCAGCATGCTAGCATACCACTCATTTTATTGGAAGTTATTTTTTTCTTTTAGTCCTTAAATTAGGTATCTCCTAACTTTTTTGAAGTGGGTAAGTTAACACCTCCATCAAGGGGGTGGAGGGGAAAAAAAAGTCTCCATCAAGAATGTTGTCTGCCACTTGCCATCTCTCTGAACGTGACATCATGTTTATCCTTGAACACATGCATTACTGGTGACAGTGTCAAGCAGCGTGCATTGGTGGAAAGTGAAGGAGAGAGACCCAAAGGAGCTCTCCAACAATGCAAGATTAATTCCCAATGGATATCACTGCTCCTAAGGGTGTAAAAATGAGAGCTTAGACCTGGTGCCTACTGTGGTCCTTCTGAAGGTGATGAAAACTCATTATAGTTAGACACTGTACTATGGAGAGTGCCTGAAGCAGAAACAGCATTTGGGAGGATTCAAAGCAAGAGAGTTTAAATTATAAATGGGCTGTGTGTGCCTGTGGAGACTCAGAATGGTTAAACCATCTTTCCCTCTCCAACACTGATCAAGACTTATGAGCCAGCCAAGCTTACCTGGGGAAGGCATAGGAGCTTGGTGGGCAGGGTGCAGAGAGTAAAAGGATAATGGGACTAAAGAGACTAGAAGAAGAAAGTAGGCTCTAAAGGAAGTAGGGCAGAAAGGAAAGTGGAAATTTTGAAGAATTTGCCCTAGCTTAGAAATGTGTACAGAATTCATGTTCTCCCTGGCACCTGCCCCCCTATATCTGCCCCAGAACAAAGGAGAATGGAGATAATGGTGACCCTCCTGGCCCTGGGAGGATGGGCCTAGGGCAGGGGTGTTACTCTTATCCACCACAGCTCACTTTCGTTCATCTGCTCATTTCCCTCTCAATTAAATGGCATTTAAAAGTTAGATAAGACAACAAGCAGGTGTTAACACTGTCGTATAAAATAACAATATTAGCACAATGGCAACAGAGCAGAGCCAGCGAGGAATAAGCTCTCCTCTACCCCATTAAATGTTAAAAAGTGAAGAGACAGCAGGGGATCTCCCGGTTTGGGAGAGACACCTAACTCCCAAAAACCAAGTGAACTACTTGAAGGCTGGACCCAAGTTAAATTCAAGCTAAAGCCTGTAACCAACTCTCATGGTGACAGATAGGTGCCTCCTTGACATATCTGTAACCACGTCACTTTCTCCTTTTCTTTCCTTTTCCTTTCTCCATCTTCAACCCTCTGCTTCATGTAATGGCTAATGTAACTGGAATACAGACATATTGTAAAATATATGTAAATTGTATACAAAGAGACAATATTATCCTCACTCCCATGAACTTGATCAATAAATGCCACCCAGGATTGTCAGAAGATTGGAACCAGAGTGACTCCATCTTGGACATGGGCTGGGTAAAATGTGGTCGAGACCTCCTGGGCTGCATTCCCAGGAGGTTAGGCATTCTTAGACACAGGATGAGATAAGAGGTCCTGACACAGTTCATAAAGATCACGCCGATAAAACAGGATGTGGTAAAGACGCCGGCCAAAACTCACCAAAACCAAGATGGCGAAGAAAGTGACCTCTGGTCACCCTCACTGCTCATTATACACTAATTATAATGCATTAGCATGCTAAAAGACACTCTGGCCAGCGCCTTGGTAATTTACAAATGCTATGGCAATGTCAGGAAGTTACCCTATGTGGTCTAAAAGGGGGAGGAACCCTCAGTTCCAGGAAATCCTCACCACTTTTTAAGAAAACTCATGAATAATCCACCCCTTGCTTAGCATATAATCAAGAAATAACCATAAGTATATTCAGTCAAACATCCCATGCTGCTGCTCTGCCAATGGAGTGGTCACTCTTTTATTCCTTTACATTCGTAATACACTTACTTTTGATACAGGAGTTAAGAAGAAATCACTTAGGCAGATAGCGAGGGTATGGGAGTCCTTGGGAAGGCTTTTCTTTTTCATGAAAAGCAGCCCCAAATCATTTTCTAACAAAGAGTAGCCTGTAAAGTCGAGCTGCAGACATAGACAAGCAAGCTGGGAGCTTGCACGCGTGAATGCGGCCCTTCTCTTTGATCAGCCAAGTGTACTGTAAGAAGCAGACAAGATGGCGCCAATTAACTGGAAAACCTATTTGCAGAATAAGATTAGGGTGGAGTGACCAGCCTTCCCCATGTGCTATATAAACATCATACCTGAAGGAACCAGTCTGTGAGTCCTATGTAAATCAGAGCCCACCTCCTCAAACCTGACTATAAAATTTGGCACATTTGCCACCTGCTGGCCCTTTCAGCTCAGAGACCCCCTTCTCCTAAGTGCCTCCTGTGTGTCCGTGTCCTACATTTTCCTGGTGCTCGATAACAAACCCCAGGGTATATACCCCAGACAACATAGCTGCTTCACTTTCACTTTACTCTGTGTACTTGCCCTGAATTCTTTCTTGCATGAGGTCCAAGAACCCTCCCTTGGGGTTTGGATAGGGAACTCTTTCTGGTAACATGACAGCTGAGATCATATAAACACAAACTCACCTTATACACACAAATGGCTCCTAGGAACAATTAAGATCTGAAGCTAATGTAATCTGTGACATTAAGGGGGTGATAATAGTGTATATATTTGTCCCTGCCCAAATCTCATGTTGAATTGTAATCCCCAGTGTTGGAGGTGGGGCCTGGTGGGCGGTGACTGGATCATGGGGGTGGATTTCTCATGAATAGTTTAGCGCCATTCCCTCGGTGCTGTCCTCATGATAGTGAGTGAGTTCTCACGAGATCTGGTTGTACAAAAGTGTGTGACTCCCTCTGTCTCTCTCTTGCTCCTGCTCTGGCCACGTGAAGTGCTCGGGCTTTGCCTTCCCCCATGAGTAAAAGCTCTCTGAGGCCTCCCCAAAAAGCAAGCAATGTCAATGCCATACTCCCTGCACAGCCTGCAGAACCATCAACCAACTAAACTTCTTTTCTTTATAAATTACCAAGTCTCAGGCATTTCTTTATAGCAACACAAGAATGGCCTAAGAGGGCATCTCTAATAAAGCCTGACTCAGTCTGTTAGCAGGGAATCTATCTGGAAGCACAGAGCATGTGTCTGAGAAGAGGAAGGGACGGTTTTCACCCACTACTGCCAGAGGAACCTGAGTCCCCAACTCTACACTCCACCTGCCTGGTTTCTATGGCAGAAAGAATATTTGTGAACTGGGTGGATTATGCCATAATATGTGCATGCCAGGAAACATTTGAACAGGACCATGATGTCCCCTTTGCCTGAATTCTGCTACCTTCTAGTTAAAATTTATTTTTTGATTTAGACTTTGGATGGGAAGGAAATGGACCAATGGAGGAACTCCTGGGCTATCATGCAGTGAATCTGGCTCATTTACAAATCAGTAAAGCACCACTGAATTTCCATGTTTATTTCCTGGATGCGCCTTACCCTGAGGCTTCCAGAGAGATGGGCCCTTTCTCAGTGCAGCACAAAATAGAGTTCTGTGAGTTACTCTTTCTCTATTGCAATTCCCCTGTCTTGAACTTTCAGAACCAAGGGCCACCCCAGCAACACTAAGAAGCTGTCTGTGCCCCGATGTGATTGGTCAGCCAGACCACGTACGCTAGAATTAGGAAATAGGGTGGAGTTGAAACCGTCATTGCAAAATTGTAATTGAGACAGTGAAAGAGATCTAACCTAAGCAACTCCATCTGGCTTCTAACCTCCAAGCTGTCCTTGTTCATGCCTGGGCATAGGCTGAACTAACTTGGGGAGGGGCTTAGTTTATAGTTGAAAACAAAGATGATAACAGGCCTTTCCCAGGGCAAATCCCTTTCTTGCCTGGGGACTAGACTGCCTTTGTAGTACTAACAAATTAGCCACAAGATTAGAAATTATGGTTTAGGAGTCTCACGGCTGGAGGCTACAAGATTCTGACCCTCCCTAAACTGCTCTTAAGATCAGTGCTTTAGATATTTTGCAAACCCTGCATTTGATGGATCAGCTGGCACCACCCAGTTTGATCAGCTGGCTCATCTGATCTTGTAGCCCCTCCACCCAGGAACTGACTCAGCGCAAGAAGACAGTTTTAATTCCCTATGATTTCATCTTCGACACAATTTGTCAGCACTCTCAACTCACTGGCCTTCTCCCACCCACCAAATTATCCTTAAAAACTCTGATCCCTGAATGCCTGAGGAGACCGATTTGAGTAATAATAAAACTCTGGTTTCCTGCACAGCCGGCTCTGCGTGAATTACTCTTTCTCTCTTGCAATTCCCCTGTCTTGATAAATTGGCTCTGTCTAGGCAGTGGGCAAGGGGAACCCATTGGGCAGTTACAGAGTGGCAACAAATATCTTTGTCTGTGCTCCCCTCAATTCCGATTTTGATTTTTCAGGGTTTCCATCTGAGTCTGGGTCCCATTCTCTATGTTGTCAGAGCACTTGTTCGCAAATGTGAGTGAGCTTCTCAGTCACTAGAAGAGCTGTAAAAACAGATTACAAGGCCCTGCCTCAGTTTCTAACTTTAGTAGGTTTTTAGTGGGGCCTGGTTATTTCCATTTCTATGTTCCCAAGTAATGCTGATGCTGCCGTTTTGGGAACCACCTTTTGAAAACCACTTTATTAAAATAAATCAATAAATAAAGTAAGCAGCAAGGTGCACCCTTGTTAAGACTGGTAAGACATTACATGAGACCTCTCCCCCATTCATGTGACAGACTTTGCCACCGGAGAAGGAAACAGGACACTGAAAAGTGAAAATGTTCTTCCTTTATGGAGTTGATCCCTCTTTCCTTCTCCAGTGTTCCCCATATTTATCTGTAGGTTGGTACTGAGTAACAACTTCAATCACTTGCTTTTATTTTCACAAAACAAGAAGTTCTGTTGTTATTGTTTGTTTGTTTTGTTTGACGTTTTTTGAAGGCAACAAATAATGCCATCACCCAATGCATGTGTTTATTTCTCAGAGACATATGGAGATAACCTTCAGTATTCCTAAACTTATGGACATAGCTATTATTCCCTGCGTCTAGAACATATTTATCTACTTTCTTTCCACTTAGGAAACTCCTATTCATCCTGTTAAACCTGTTTTAGGTATCGTTTCCTGTCTAAAGCATCTTGGACCTTCTCTAGTCAAACTAAATTAAACACTACTCTTTTTTTTTTTTTTTTGAGACCGAGTGGAGTCTCGCTCTGTCTCCCAGGCTGGAGTGCAGTGGCACGATCTTGGCTCACTGCAAGCTCCACCTCCCAGTTCACACCATTCTCCTGCCTCAGCCTCCCGAGTAACTGGGACTACAGGTGCCCGCCACCATGCCTGGCTAATTTTTGTATTTTTAGTAGATACGGTGTTTCACAGTGTTAGCCAGGATGGTCTCAATCTCCTGACCTCGTGATCCACCCACCTTGGCCTCCCAAAGTGCTGGGATTACAGTCATGAGCCACTACGCGCAGCCGAATTAAACACTATTCTTCTTCTCCACCCTGTGCTTTCCGCTATTGATGTGCTTCACACAATGAATTCAACTTACGGTCTTTACCCAAATGACAGCCCTGATAAATGGGAAGCATCAGTCATCTCCCATAATGGGGGATAACCACTCAAGGGCACTTTTTATAATCCCAGGTACCAAGCACAGCATCTTCACTTAACAGATGGATCGTGGCTTATGGATCAGAACTGAATGGTGGACTTAGAATCATGTAGGAAATAAAGTTGCTGATTTAATAGGCATGGCTGTTTGCCTTTCCCTGGAGACAGCCATTTACTCCTAAGTCGGTGTGTACAAAAGATTAGAAAAAGAAAGGGAGAGTGTGCTATAAGCCCCAGTGTACCGACAAGTGACCCCCACAAGGAAGAGTGTGCATGCACACCAGGAGAAAGAGCTTGGAACTGCTGGGCCACAGAAGGGCATAGCTGAGTGCATCTCTGTGAGGCAGAGAAATAAAATTAATTTCTCTTTAAAATAGGATAAGTAGGCAAGATATGGCTAATTATAATCAGGTATTCTAGGCAGAGATTCTTATAACACTTTTAACAAAATACATAAATATATTCTAAAATGTAGAGGAAGTTTGAATGTTTAGAAAGGAAGATTCAGTTATCTAGAATATTCACTCATTCGGAACATCTCATTATCTGATAATGCGGAATGAATAATGCATTCCTGTACGTTTTCCCCGGATTCCCCCATATTCTCCCTTCCCAAACTCTGCCAATCTGACTTCACAGATGAAAGTGCCTGAAGCTGAATTGGATCTACTGTGTTTGGTTTTGAATGCAAAATGAGAAGAGAAAAGATATTAATTTGGAAACCATGAGCCAAAGCCTCCTTCCCTTCTTTCCCAATTTTGTGCCCTTTATCATCTTTGCTGAACCCCAGGAGTGATGAGGAGCTGGCCAATGGAAAGCCTGCCTGCCAGGGACCTTTCTGGGAAATGCTCTGCCTGCCTGGAAATTCCTGGGGCCTGCAGAAGTTAGAGCAAAGGAGAACACGCTGGGACCTGAGATTTAGATCATTAAACGTGAGGATGAGACTGCTCCCCTCTTCCACTCTGACAGACAAATTATCAGGCAAATTCCGATTTCCTTCACCCCATGTCAGTCTGCTGTTCCACAGCCATCAAACTGTGTTTATAAAGTTTATCTGGTTTTAATTTGAGTGCAGACTGTAGGCCAAAACTACAAAATCTTTAGTTGGCTCCCACATCGCCCTAAAGGCCTCAGCCCCTGGCACAAGCCTGGTATTTGCCCTTCTATACTGTGTCAAATCAAAGTCTGTCAGGGACAGAATGGGTCTCAGGGCAGGAGAAAATGAAACCATTTCCAGCAAGTTTTTGCCAAAGCATTCAGAAGCCAGCTAGCTGCTGAGCATCAGGGACACACTTGTAAATCTTCCCTTTGTCAGAAGAGCCATGACTGGTCACAAAACAAGTTGGCCTGGATGAGCTTTGCTGAGGACAGTGGGGACATTCTCAGCTCTGCAGGTACCACCCCACCTGCTGGGGTGTCTCAGCTCATGGTGCCCTGTCTCCAGTCTACCAGGCCAGAGCTTTCACTGTCACATTGAGGTTTGCAATTCACTAGGCTTTCCAATGTTCTGAGCCTTAGCTTAGGAGTTTGCCTAATACAAAGGAGGACCCTATGAAGGCTCTTTCCATGTGTTTATGTTATTAACTCACAGAGCTTTTCTTTCATTGCAAATAGCATCCACTGAAAATAAAAAGTAAATAAAAGCCATGGGAATGGGGTAAAGTTTTTTTTTTTTTTTTTTTTTTTTTTTTCATTAGCTCTATGGTTAGATAGACCTAGATCTGAGACGTAGAGTTTCTGAAAGTTTCTGTTTGGGGCATTTTCTCTGATGAGAACACTATCCTAAAAAGTCCTTAGGATGCACACTTAGAGAGTCCATAATGTCAAGAGATCCATGGGAAAATGGCGGGAGCACTGCGTGATGAAGACCAGCATGATTCCCTCTGAGACAGTAGGGGAAGGATGCTGCAACCACAAGGGAAAATCATGTCTGATAAGTCTGTTAGATTTCCTAGAGAGAAACATGCATTTTTTTGATTAAGGGTGTATTCATCTGTTTCATGCTGTTGATAAAGACAGACTCAAGACTGGGTGATTTATAAAGAAAAAGAGGTTTAATGGACTCAGTTCCACATGGCTGGGGAGGCCTCACAATCATGGCAGTAGGAAAAGGCACATCTTACACGGCAGCAGGTGAGAGAGAATGAGAACATGGAAGCAGATGAGAGAGAATGAGAACCAAGTGAAAGGGGTTTCTCCTTATAAAACCATCAGATCCCATGAGACTTATTCACTACCACAAAAACAATATGGGAGAAACTGCTCCCATAATTCAATTATCTCCCACCAGGTCCCTCCCACAACACATGGGAATTATGGGAGCTACAATTCAAGATGAGATTTGGGTGGGGTCATAGCCAAACCATATCAAAGGGGAACCAGCCAATCTAAATTAATTTAGATTCATTTTCAGAGATTTTTCAGTCTCTGGAATGGCTTGACAAACCCTCAAGTCTGAAGAAAGGAGGGGATGAATGAAGGCGCGTAGACTTCTGAGGATGAGATAGTGAGCAACCATGCCCCCTTCATCCATTTTGCTCACTGTTAATCAGAATTCTGGGCCCATGTAGCACTGGTCTGAACAAATAATGGCTTTTGTGATCTTAACATGAACTCTGTACCTGTGTGTAAGGTCACAGAGCACTTGTGAAGTGAGATCAACAAAGGATGATCTCTTTACAAAGAGAGTATAAAGAACTTCAAAGGATTATATCAAAACGTTTCTTGTTTCAATAAAAATTTTGGATTTTTTTTTTGAGACAGGGTCTCCTTCTGTCACCAAGGCTGGAGTGAAGTGGTGTGATCATGGCCCACTGCAGCCTCGACCTCCTGGGCTCAAGTAATCCTCCTGCCTCAGCCTCTGAAGTAGCTGCGTCTACAGGTGTGCACGAACACACCCAGCTAATTTAGAAAAAAAAATTTTGTAGAGATAGGATATTGCTGTGTTGCCCAGGCTGGTCTCAAACTTCTGGGCTCAAGCAATCCTCCTGCCTTGGCCTCCCAAAGTGTTGGGATCACAAGTGTGAGCCACTGTGCCTGACCAAAAATTGTTGTTCTTTATAGTAAGGGAACCAGAACATATTAATTCTAAGATGAACTTAAGATCATTTATAAGAAATAGGGGTCTATCTTACTTGATTTTTTTCTCCTGGAATGGCAAGCCTACCCAAAGATCTTCAAAACATTCAGGGTGTTTGCTTCTAATTATGGAATCATAAAATTTTAGAGCTACAAGAGACGTTAGAATTTGCCTCATGACACAACTTCCTCATCCTACAAATGAGGAAATTGGGGTCCAGAGAGAAGACACTTTCCAAAGGTCACACAAACAGGAGAGTGTGTGGAATCTCAGCTCATCAAGTAGCTTCTGGCAGCTTGCAGAAACTTCCTAGGAATGTGAGAGTGAAACAGGTCTTCCAATTCATGCAAACAGACTTGAAGTTCACAGCATACGTTTCCCACTGCATTAAGAGGAGGTCAGAGAGGCTGCCACTTTCTCCTTCCAGAACACTCACCCTCGGCTGGCCTGGTGCACACTGTACCCTCTGCTATATGATGGCTGTTATAGCCTCCACTTCCTCTCCAAACCTACTCCTGATATTACACTTACCTGCACCAAGTACTGCAGGAAAAGAGAAGTGTGACTCTAGTTGGGCCTGGACTCTCCTAGGCGGATATTAAACTCCACTTTGTCTTCCAAAGTACCCTGAACCTGGAATTTTATCATTTTGAAACCCATGAGGAAGAGAGTTCTGACTCTTTCTCACAAAATATGTGTGTACTTAGGCCCGTGTTCCTGGCTGAAAATGAGTTTCCAATTTTATGTGTGAAATTGCTTTTATGGAGCAGGATATTACAAGAAAAAAATCTTATTCTTACCCTAGTTGACTGGGTATCTATGAAAAGAATGGAGACAAAGTAATAATAAAATAACAATACCATTTTTACCTCTTTTATTGCCTTTGCAACTGTTGTTATTAAATACAGTGCTCAGGGAAAGTGCCAGATTATGTCCGTGGGAGCCAGAAACCAATTTAGATTCTGTACCCAGAGCCGATTGACAGTGGTGGATTCCAAGGTCCTTTCTCCTCAGTCGTAGAGGGAGTCAGAGGTATCACGTCCCTTAGAAATAAGTGAAAGAGGTATTTCTGTTCGCTCAGTTGAGAATTAGGATATTACGACTTGGTTTTCTTTCTTCCTTGATTAACCCTGCAGTTGGAAGGGGAGAAGCCTTACTCTGTCGGTGCCCAACCCCCCTGCTCTGGAAAATGGGATGCTTGAGGATGCCTGGGCTACCATGATATCTTTAGTGGGCTGTCCAATGAAGGGCCATGGCTCCCATGCCTATTTGAATCCCGTCCTTTCCTTTATTAATAATCCATTCCAAAGTTCGCCTCTTCAAGAAAGCTTTCTTAGTTAACATTGCCTGATTCATGACACTCATTAAATTGTGTCTTTATTCAAAAAACAGTACCTGAGCACTTCCCTATATTCTAGGCACTTTGCCAGGCACTGAAGTAATAAAGACGAATAAGGTTCAACACCGGCATTGAGTTGCACTATCTGCATGAGAAGGTGATAAGTACACACAGGGTGATGGGCAAAATAGCAGGGGTGGATGGGCACCAGGAGAGTCAGAAAAGGCTCTGCAGAAGATGCAACATTGTGGTCTTTTAGAGGTATTTATAGATAATGTGCTTTAATTTATTTTAAAATCTTCTCTTACTCATCTTTTGAAAAAACAATGTCTTCTATCAGGTGGAACAAATGAGACAAAAAGGAAGACACACATGCTCACACATACACACACGGTGTTACTTAGTCCCTACTATGTGTAGGGCATGTGAGTAGTTAGAGGAGATGCATTGAAGAGTGGGTACCAGCCTCTTTCATCTTCCCTGATAGGAGAGTTCTTTCTCCCTTTCCTATATTTAGACCTTCATCTCTTCATACCCAGCTTCAGTTTTCCCCTTCTCCATAAAAATTCTGATTTCTTCTTCTTCCTCTTTTCCTTTCTCTTTTTCTTCTTCCTCTTTTTCTTCTTCTTCTTCTTCCTCTTCCTTCTCCTCTTCTTCACCTTCTTCCTCTTCCTCTTCTCCCCTCCTCCTCTCCCCCTCCTCCCCTCTCCCCCCCTCCTCCTCTCCCCCTCCTCCCCTCTCCCCCTCCTCCTCCTCTTCCCCTCCTCCCCTCTCCCCCTCCTCCTCTTCCCCTTCTCCCCTCCTCCTCCTCCCCTCCTCCCCTCCTCTTCCCCTACTCGTCCTCCCCATCCTGTCCTCCTCCACTCCTCCTCCTCCCCTCCTCCCCCCGCCCCGTTTTCTTCTTCTCTTCTTCTTCGTCTTCGTCTTTGTCTTCTTGTGGATATTAAGCCAGTAACAAGAACAACAAGTTTACCTCTGTGGAATACAAGTTCATCTATATGAACCATCCTGTTTGAGTTTTGTATTCTCATAATACCTCTTTTATGATTGTATCCTCCTCATTTAACAGACTAAAATACAAATACAGCTGATCTAACCATAAGTGATCATTCTAAATGGCATAGCAGTGGCTGCCAGGAACAAAAGTCCCATCTTTACAATCCTAACCTATTCTTTACCCTGATTCTGTTGATGATTGCATAATTGTTGACCGTTCAATTTTTTCAGCCAGAATCTTGATTTCTATGTGGGTGATATGGGCAAGGGCACTCTTCTAGACTCTTGATGTTATTCCATTCATGTGCCCCCATCCCAACCAGAGCACAGCTCATGGCTGACCACCAGCAAGCGCTCAATTAATATTTTCAACTATTTGATTGGGAATTGTCAATTCAGTTCCAATCAGTGATCCATAGAATGATGACTTCCATGTATATTTAGTTTGAGAAATGGGAGAAAGAACAAACTAAAAAAAATAAGAAAGAGGCAAGGGGAGAGAGAAAAAGGACAAAGAAGAAAAGAGTGAGAGGGAGAGAGAAGCAAGAAGGGGAGGGGAAAGAGAGGGAGAGAGGAGCCAAAGGGAGGAAGGAGAACATGCAGCATTCTCGGTCTCCCACTGTCAAATCTATCTTGGGCCCTTAAAGGAAGCAGGTCTGCAGAAAACCAAGCAAATGCTACAAGGTTATGGGTAATAATTGATGTTTTTGTGGGGCAAAAGGGAAAAGGAGGGGTGGAAGATGAAAGAAGTCAGGAGGGAGATGGAAAAGTTTTCAGGGTCACAGGATACATTTATCAGAAGCTTTTAAGGAAGTGTTTAAGAGCAGCTAAGCTGTTGCTATGGAAATAGGTAAAAGCTAATCCATTATCTGCAACCTCTGGACGCCACCAGCTTGCCGCTGGGGGGCATTCTGCTTTTTATTAGTACTTCTTTTTCTTTTTTCTCTTCAATTTTTTCCACTCCAAACACATCACTGGAATTATGAGAAACAAATTAATAAAAATGGAATGAAAGGGAACTCTACTCCTTCAGAGATTACATTAACACATGAGGGAAACTTCACCCCATGTGTCAACTCGTAAAGAGAGAAGAGATTATTTCAAGAAGATAAGACGAAAAGAAAACAACAATATATGACCACCTGGAGGGATAAATGTCCTGTTCCTCCTAGTGCCACTCTCGTCCTTGGCTGCAGCTCTGAAGTTTGTGCTAAAACCCACAGAAGACAGCATATGCCTCCTGGTTTTAAAACCAGACTGTGACCTTTGATTGGAGCCATTTAAGAGGCTTTGAAGCTTCAGGAAAGAATTGGCAAAAGCTATTTTACAAGTATCCCTCACTTTATATAAAAGCCATAATTTATCTATAGCCTCACTCTGTGTGAGTAAAAAATTTATGTGAACTTAGTCATTTCCCACAAATTATACATGTATAAAATATAGATTTGAATCAATTGATACTTTGTATGTGCCTATTGTGGGAAATGTTAAAATGTCAATGCCAATATTACCATTGTTCTCAGATCTTCCCTTTTTGCCATTCCCTAGGTAATAGAAATCTCTACCATGACTTGGGGTCAGTAATTGTGACTCCACACATGCAACTTTCAGGACTTGGTTATCTTTTTCCATTTGTCTATAAAGTTACAGGTCTCACAGTTATATCAAATTCTTAGTAATATCAAAAATCAAAATCTAATAGTTTTCCACACACCCCAGTATCTAATTACTTATTTTTAAAACTTACTTTTTATTTCAATATGTTTTTGGGTAACAGGTGATGTTTGGTTATATGAACAAGTTCTTTAGTGATCATTTCTGAGATTTTGGTGCATCCATCACCCAAGCAGTGTGCACAGTACCCAATGTGTAGTCTTTTATTCCTCACCTGGACACCACCCTTTCCCACAAGTCCCCAAAGTCCATTGTATCATTCATACATCTTTGTTTTCTCATAGTTTAGCTCCCATTTATGAGTGAGAACAAAGGATTTTTGATTATGGCCATTCTTGTAGGAGTAAGGTGGTATCACATTGTGGTTTTGATTTACATTTCCCTGATCGTTAGTGACGTGGAGCATTTTTCCATATGCTTGGTGGCCATTTGTATATCTTCCCTTGAGAACTGTCTATTCATGTTCTTAGCCCACTTTTTGATGGGATTGTTTTTTTCTTGAGTTCTTTGTACATTCTGGTTGTTAGTTGTTTGTCAGATGTATACATTGTGAAGATTTTCTCCCACTCTGTGGGTTGTCTGTTAACTTTGCTGATTATTTCTTTTGCTGTGCAGAAGCTGTTGCGTTTAATTAAGTCCTATCTATTTATCTTTGTTTTTGTTGCATTTGCCTTTGGGTTCTTGGTCATGAAGACTTTGCATAAGCCAGTGTCTAGAAGAGTTTTTCTGATGTTATCTCCTAGAATTGTTGTGGTTCCAGGCCCTTCTCACTCAAATCTGAAACTTGGAAGTCAATTTAGACTTCTCCTAACTTAATACCAACACTCAAAAAGTCACTACTTCTTGACAATATTCATTATCTGAAATGACGTGTATGTCCCCATTCCACTTCATCTTCACTATGATGATCTTCATTTTGGCTCTTACCCTGTCTTAAGTGAACTACTCCAACTACCTGCTACCTGGCTTGCTGCCTTGAGATCCCTCTACTCCATCTTCCACATTGATGAGAAAGCCCTATTTCTAAGCCACTATTAAGTTGTGCTTCTTAAAATCCTTTCCTGGGTCCTCATCTCCTCCATAGGCTCTTTAGGATGATAAAACCCTTTCCAGTTGGCCCCTGCCTGTCTCCACTGACTCATCAGCTGCTCTGCTCCCACATGTGCCCCTGACACCATGTTTGTCTGCCATCCCCACTCAGTGTGGGCTCCTTGACGGTGTGGTCTTTTCAGGGCCTGGTCCAGGGCCTGGGACAAGAGGCCCTCAATAAATGCCTATTGTTGGCCAGTAGCTGAGATTCATTAGCACACAATGCTGGGGGACCATATGGCTGCTGCTCCAATCCACTGTGAAAATCATTCAACTTTAGGGCTTCACTGTAAAATGAATTCATGTCATACTTAATCATTTCTGTGAATTTAAATTCTGAATGATGAGCTTACTTAGAAAGAGACATAACTGTTAAACATCACTTGTAACTCAGTGGACAACGATGGCACAGGAGAACAGGCCTGTGAGCAACCAAATACATGTGTTGACATTAATGTTTAAACCAAATTATGATCCAGTTTGCAGCAGATTCACCTTTCCAATTGAACTTTCTAGGCTGTGGAGCCTCTAGCCTAGTGTCCATACAGCCACATTCTCAGCAATTCTTTGACAGAAGGAGAGTTACAAAAGAGCCATACTTGTATTAGACCGAACTGAAGGCTTCCAGGGTTAAAGATAATTCTTGAAGGAGTTTGCAGTAAATTTCCTTTCTCCCTAGTTATGCATGAGTTGAAAGCACTGACTGAGCAGAGTCAGAGAGGAATGTATTTGAGTTGTAATATGTGTTCTTGTTTGAGAACAGATGATTAGCACTCCAAAATGAGGGCCTGGCAACACAGGTCCCGCCAAATTAAAGAACTGAGGCACTAGAAACTGGTGTTTTCAGAGCAAGATCTATAATTACTTAAAGCTTCTACAAAAATGATAGATTAAAAAAGTAGAGGCACATAGGTCTCCTGTAAAGCACTATTTGGAAAGTAGGGGTCTCAGGAAAAAAAAAAAGTCTAGTATGAAAAAATCAGGGGTATAACCCAGAGGAGTCGTTTGTTGGCATTTGGGTAGCTTCAAGTAGAGTGGCTCTTGACATTTTTATGACTAAGAGGGAATCTGTGAACCAAACTGAAGAAATTTCTTTTCTACTAGTCCAGAACAATGAAAAACAAGCTCTGGGTTAGAATTATAAAGCAGAACTGCAACTGATGGCAAAGCCAAAACTACATGCCTATGCTATTTTTGATTTATATATAGGTTACATCTCAAGATTATCTTGTGTGTTTAATACCCCAGTGTGCCTGAGGATATATGAGGGAGAAATAAAGAGGACTGAGAGGAAGGAAACCATGACCTACACAGCAGGAACTTTTGATGTGGGTGGGTCCTGGCAGGAAGTTATCCAAGCAGAACGATGCTATCTGGGAGACCTTTGGGTTGGGGGGTGCATTTCATCATAGGGCTAATAACTTGACTCAGGCTGAGCAAATTTAAACAAATTGGCTAACATTAAAATAAAAAGCAGGCAAAGCTCAAATGCCACCAGTGATGTACACTGATGTATACACTGGAAATGCCTCTAGAATCTCTGAACGTACACTGAGCTCAGCAAGTGTAGATAGAGGTCAGTAAGACATTAATAGGCAATGTTACTCCATAAACCTTGTTGTGTTCTGTATTCACTTTGCTGCTTTTCAGTAGTATAGAGAAAACATCTACCTCTCCTCTTCAGTGGCACACAGTCCACCTTTTGTTGGTCATAGCTAATTTTTTCTGTTCATTAAGATAAATGCTTATGCACATTATTAATTTAAGCCATCGTTAACACCCCTGAGATATATGTTATTACCCTCATGCTAGAGATGAGGCTTATGCAGCCAGTCAATAATGGACTTAGGATCTGCAGCCAGGGAGTTTGACCTCAGAGTGTGTGCTTATTATCACTCTGTTATGCTGTGGGACAAGACAGTGCTGTGATACTTGGAGTATAAAGACTCCATGTTAAATTTGCATCTATAAGTGTGAGTGAGAAAGAGGTGTGTGTATGTTTCTGTATTTGGGTGCCTTACTTCTCCCCGAATGTCTCTGGGTTTGTTGCTGTTGACTCTTGCACAATTCACCTTCTCTTTGGGGAGAAGCTCATTCATGGGAATGGGCTTTTGGACGGGCTGATGGAAATGTTTTGCAACTAGATAGAGGTGGTGGTTGCCCAACACTGGGAATGTACTAAATGTCACTATATTAATTGTTCATTTTAAATTGGTTAATTCTATGTTATACAAATTTTGCCTCAACTATTTTTTTATTTCACCTTTTCCTCCCATAATTAGACTCACTTGACTGAAGAAATTTCCTTTCAGTGTCCACATATCCTCTATGAATGGGATCTGCAGAAGCCATTTTTACAAGTTTCTTTGAAAGCACTTATGTATTATTGTCCACTTTTACGTTATTAAAAAAACAACGAAAACAACAACAACAAAAAAACAGAAAAACTTCACTGACAGCATTTTTTTAATCAGTGAGACTT
The DNA here is from genome assembly GCF_000001405.40 of Homo sapiens. Taxonomy (NCBI): domain Eukaryota; kingdom Metazoa; phylum Chordata; class Mammalia; order Primates; family Hominidae; genus Homo; species Homo sapiens. The sequence goes on from NC_000011.10 coordinate 132,563,860, forward strand.
TTTTTGGTGGAGGTGGAGGAGATGTTGCAAGATTTACCTCCAAAATGCTGATTTTGCCCCAAAATGCTGTTGATTCCAGATAGCCATGCCCTGGACAACACACTGGTCAACCACTGCCATGTGAAGAAGGGGACTCTCAGCGTTGCATACCTAAAGAACATCAACTCACTGGTCCCTTTTATGGGTGAGAAAAGTGAGGCTGAGCAGCATGAAGCCATCTGACAAAAATCACGTGGAAAGTTGATGATGTTCTGGTTCAGTGACGCCTGCTCTCCCGATTGATCTTGAGTCTGGGGCTCTCTTGGCCTGGTCACCCTGGCCATTGTGGCCCTTGGTTTTTAAGCAATAAAGTCTCCAAGAGCCAAGATACTCTCCCTCTATTACTCAATTATCTTATGAAATGAAGTGCGTGAGAGACACAGCTCCTGCTGAGGTGGCACTTGACAGTGTCCAGAGACTACTGGAGCCAGGCTGGGAGACCTAACCGCTTCCTTCCACAACAGCACACTTTAACATCACTCTACAAGAGGGGCAAGTTTTGGTGATTCTTCCCAGATTGTCAGTTCTCAGCAATCAGAGAACACATCTCTTATTTCTTCTGAATCTCTCCATCATTTTTCTTATGCAAGAAGGGCTCAGTAAATACTGTTCACTGACTGACTAGTGGAGGTTGCCATTTCTGGAGCTCCGCATAAACTGATTATACTGAGGAAGTAATCCTACTGTACCTCCTAAGGTTCTCTAATGAGTGTGACAGGCGCTTAGAAAGTAGGCTTCCAAAATGATGTGATGTGAAGGCATTCATTTACACTGCTCCTAAGGGAGTGTTCCCCTGTGTGCATGCATTATGCATTCTACAGTGTTAAAAAAAAAGCAGCAATTCTGGTCTCTGTGGATGTGTTTTATATGCTGTGTTAAACATGCTAGGAAAGCTCAGTAGATTTTACAGTCCTGGAGACTGGACAAAGTCAACGGGGTATGGTAGACAGAAAACATGTAAATCAGAGACAAAAGACAGACATTCTACTCTTGCCTCCTCATCTTATTAATAGGGTCCTGGGAATGCCAGTCATTATTGTGGAACTTCTGTTTCCCCATCTGTAAAAAGGGAACAACAATGGCAAATCTCACCTTGTTATGTTGTGGTGACAGTCCAACAAGAAGAGGTAAGTGAAAGGGCTTTAAGAACTGTAAAAGCCTTCTGTTATTAAATAATCTTAACGGTATCTCTACAATCTGTCAGACTTGCACCCTTAAAAAACAAAAATAGGAAGCATCACATGGGCATCTCCCAAAAAATGTTCCTGCCTCTGGGAACCTCTCTAGGTTATCTTCTCCTTTACTTCCCAGATCCTACTCTAACCCATGGTTCCCTTTTACAATATGGCCAATATTTCCAAACACTAATGCTCATGCTCACCTTCTCAACTTGGGCTGTTTACCTTTAAAATCTGCTGGTGACTTCACAGAAATTCCCACACCTGGACCAAGTTCTGGCTAGTAATTGAACTTGAATGTTAATTTGGGAATCATATGTACTCAGATTTGACCTTCTCCCGAACGTTAGCTTTCACATGACTCCAGTGCATGAATGGACCCACAGGGACCAGCATTTCCAAAGTCCACTCCCAGATTCCTACCTCAGCGGCTCTCCTGCTCAGGCCCTTATGTGGACTCAACCATGTATCAGGCTTGACATTGACTACAGCTAAACAGAATTCTCTGGTGGCCCTCAAACCACCCCAGTCTGCGACTGACAGTTCTCAATGCTTACAAGAAGCTCTCTTTGCATTTAGTTCTATAGATATATAGAAAACCAATGTGTCTTCTGCTTTCATTTCTTTGATCATATTACCTAGACCTGTTTAGCAACTCTAATTTTTAAACATCTGACTGGGCACGGTGGCTCAAGCCTGTAATCCCAGCATTTTGGGAGGCTGGGGCAGTCAGATCACTTGAGGTCAGGAGTTCAAGACTAGCCTGGCCAACATGGTGAAACCCTGTCTCTACTAAAAATACAAAAATTAGCCAAGCATGGTGGCGGGCGCCTGCAGTCCCAGCTACTCGAGAGACTGTGGCAGGAGAATTGCTTGAACCCAGGAGGTGGAGGTTGCAGTGAGTAGAGATTGCACAACTGCACTCCAGCCTGGGTGACAGAGCGAGACTCCGTCTCAAAAACAGAACAAAATAAAAAAAACCTCCCATTTGGCTCTGTCTGATTAACATCTATTAAGCCCCCAATATTTACAAAGCATGATGTTAGGCACTGCAGGTGATATCTGGTAGAGGAGAAATATAAAGATAGAATATTATGAAGAATTTGGAGCAAGAAACTAAAAACCTTTTCTTTTCTTTTTCTGTTTAATCTTTTATGAAATCTTTGGTCCCAATTCAAACCATACTGTTGTATATGTATAATTAAGGAAGCTAGAGCATCTAATGCAGGGCTTGAAGTTTGAAATTGTTTGGCTTTATGAGCACAACATAGAGAAGGAAGACATCTGGATACTTACTTGTTGTCAGCTCTACTCTTTCAGCACAGCTCTTTTTATACATGTTTTGCCCTGAATCACCCCAACAGTACATCTAGAGAGGTGGACAGCTAGAAAATGCTACTTACTAATAGACTAACTTACTGGGTTAAAATGTTCCAAATTATTATGAGATCTAAGATACAGTCACTTGGAAATGTGTGAGCTTTCTCAAATGAGTTATTCAATTTGCAACAATAATTTCTGTTGAGAGACCACTTTGTTCCAGGTATTGTGATAATTTTGGGTGAAACAATCCCACAAAGAGCTTTTGTGCTGCTGGGCAGAACATCATGCTGCATTTTCTGTTTATCACTGCGAGGTGTCTTCACAGAGTTTGAAAACAAGTGCTATAAAAGCACAGTGGAGAAACCTAACCAATCTTAAAATGTCAAAAGATCTAAAATAAAGCCATGTCTAAGTCGAGATGCAAAAATAAGTAGGTAGTACAGGAGTGAAACTGGGATAGTGATGAAGGATATTGGATGAAGACAGAATCCCAGGCACAGAGACCAGCATGCACAGAACCCAAGGAGAAAGAGAACACGGTGCATACGGCAACAACATCAACATCAGTTAGGTTTTTTTTTTTTTTCCTGCAGAATGACTACTGGAATAAGTTAATGCAAAAAGGAGACTTTTAAAATAAGGATATAGGATGACAGTATAGATTCTACAGGCAGAAACAGAGTGGCCTCAATCATGCATTGGGAGCAGGAACATGAGTACAGTAAGGACACAGACAGTCCTCCTGCTCACCACCCCTTGCCTCTACTCCTCACTGAATACTTCTTTTTCTCTCTAGTGGGAAAAAGCTTTTATCGCTTCCCAGTTCTCATGGTGAAAAATTAACCAATGCCAACAGCAACTGAGTTGCCACGCTCATCATTGCAATCAGCTGATTTCAAATTTTTAGAAATGAGGTTATTGGTCTAACCCAGATCAGGAAGTACCTGTGGTCCTCTAAACTGTGCTACAGGATAAAAGTCATATTGAATAAACATGGTTCTCCTATTGCTCCTTTTGTCACCATGTCACAAGGTCAGGGGATCCGGGAGAGAGGTGGAGGGATGGTGAATTTGTTATGAAAGTGGAAAACACAGTGAGCTCAAGGGACAACTAGATAGGTCTCCACAATAGGGAAATGTAAGTAGTCAGATATGGTTATGGCTCATATCATAAAGCTATTATATTGCTCGGGCAGGGGGAGGCAAGGTCATAAAAGGCCTTGAAAATTATGTTTAATAAAATGGATTTTTATCTTAAGGACAATGAAAAATCATTTGGAGTTGGAGAGAGAATTGGGTAATGTTTTACTTTTATTTATTTTAATGTTCGATTCAGAGGTAGATTCTATCTGATCTATCCTTTAGAAAGATCACTTGTCATTCTGAGGTTGCATTGGAGGCAGCTGAAAAGCTTAGGTCTGAGATGACAGTCCGGGTAACTAAGGCTCTAGGAGTGGGCCTGGTGTTGCACAGAACAGTTGTTGCAAATTGTTTGACTTTGGTCATGTATGTGCCATTCACAGACAGAAGCCTGGGAAAATGGCAACATAATTAGGAAGTGCGGGTGTGAGAGTAACTCAGCAGCTAATGTTGAAAATAGAAAGGGGTCCCTGGACCGAATAGATCTGTGTGTGTGTGTGTGTGCGCGCGCGCGCGTGTGTGTGTGTGTGTTTGATTAGTCAAGGTGAAAAAAAAAACTTTCCTATTAAGCACCAAAACGTATGTCATGGGTGTGCAAATACCAAGACATATAGATGGATACAAAACCTAAAAGTAACAGCATTAATCACGTAATTTCATCACCAGAAGCTTATCCTAAGGAAATAATCAGTAACATACACAAAGTCCCTTATACAAGGTTGTTTACTGTCATGTTATTAATAGAAGGGAAAAAATCTGGAAGAAACCTATATTTCCACTGTTTATGAATCAATTAAATGAATCATCTCCGTTGTACAGAATGCTAGATAGCTGTACTGGGTTGAAAAGTTCTCCCCAGAATTTGTCTACCTCAGAACCTCAGTATATGACTTTATTTGGAAACAGGGTCTTTGCAGACATAACTATACTGGATTAGGGTAGGTCCTAATCCAATAACTGATGTCCTTATAAGAAGAGAGAAATTTGGATGCAGACACACGCAGAGGAAAGAATGCCGAGTGATGACAGAGACAGAGACTGCAGCGACGCAGGTGTGACTGGAAGGACAATAAGGACGGCCGCAGCCGCAGAAACTGGGAAAGGGTGAGGAAATATTTCTTCCTGGAACCTCAGAGAAGAATGGTCCTGCCAACACCTGGATTTTAGACTTCTAGCCTTGACAACTGTGAGAGAATACATTTCCGTTATTTTAAGCTACCCAGTTTGTAGTGGTGTATGATGGTAGCCCTGTGAAACTAACGCAGCTGCCATTAAAATCCATTTATTTAAAAAGTAATGAATAAGATACAAAAATTGTATGTTCCTTGAAAAAATAAAATCATGGATTTTAATTCATAGCAGAGTGAATAAAGAAATATGTTGTGATATACAAAAACATCTTTAATACTAAAAATAAATAGCTATGCTGAAAAGCAGGAGGAAAGCCATTATGGATCGCCAATGGTAAATGTGCAGATACAGGAGATGAAATCCGTGCAGTGGGAAAGGCATGGGGCAGGCAGCGGGGCAGGTTCGGCACTCGCCTGCGGTCGGGGCTGACTATGCCCATGCATCCTCCCCACCTCAAATTTGCAAATTTAAGTTCTAACCCCCAGTGCCTCAGAAAGTGGCTGTATTTGAAGGTAACATCTATAAAGAGGTAATCAAAGTTAAAATGAGGCCATTAGGAAACGCCCTAGTTCAATATGCTCCGTGTCCTCATAAGAAGAGGAAATTAGGACACAGATATCCATGAGGCGCAGGGAGAAGATGGCCATCAACAAGCCAACGTGAAAGGCTTCCGAAGCAATCAACTCTGCTGACACTTTCATCTCAGACTTGTAGCCTCTAGAACTGTGAGAAAATAAATGTTTGTTGTTTAAGCTACCCATTCTCTGGCAGGCCTAGACAAGTCATACACTTGTGTCACTTACATAACAGAGAGGCATCCTTGAAGAAAGATATAGAGAAAATGGGAGAGAAAAAATATTTCAGGAGATAATGGCTAAGAATTCTTCAGAATTAAGGAAAAACTTCAATCTTCATAATGTGGCAGTAGGGGGTAGCCTCATTGAATGCTGAACAAGAGAAGTAAAATATAAAAATTAAACTTCAATATAGTCCTAGACGTAATGAGAATGAGGAAATTTGTAGGCTGTCATAGAAAATCTTTAAAACTATCAGAGAGAAAAGTTAGATTACCTGCAAATAAGTGACACTGAGCAGATTTCTTAGCAGCAGCAATAGACTCCCTAATACAATGGTCTATTGCAATGAAAACAACCAATTTATAATTCTATACCCAGCTTTAATATCAATTAAGAGGGAGGATAAAATACAAACATCTTAAATCATAAAAGAAATGACAAATTTCACCACCCAGAGGCCTTGATCCTAAATGATGCATTCAGTGAAAAAAAAAAACCGAAAAGCTAATGAATCCAGGTGAAAGAAATGGGATTTCAGTAGCAGAGGTGAAAGAAGAAATCAGTAAACTAAGGGCAATTCTAAAAATTTATTATAATCATAAACATAATTATTATTTTCACATTAAAAATACCTGAATCAAAATTCATAAATAACGGGTTCAATAAACTGTATGCCACAGGCCAAATCTGGCTTTCTTTGCTTTACTAAATAAAGTTTCACTGAAATACAGTCACATTCATACATTTTACAATTGTTTCTGGCTATTTTCATGTTTCAACAGCAGAGTTGAATAGCTGTAGTAGAAGTCACATGGCCTTTGAAGCCCAAAATATTTTCGTTTGGCCCTTTACAGGAACATTGCTGACCCCTGCTCTAGATCACAATGACATGAAAATATTCAAAGAGATGCTAGGAGAGGATGTTTTGAGGGGAAAGTTTGTGAGGACATGAGGGTTTACTAAGGTCCTCATCTTCAGGAGCAGGCAGGATATGCTGATTTTCTTTAATGCAATTATTAAATACCATGAATGTAATTGTACATGCAGACTAAAATACTTAAAGGTAGCCCTTAAAATAATGGGAATAAAATGCATTATCTTTAAACTAGTAAATTCAAGTAAGTAGAAAGATAATTACATGTTAAAAGTTTTATAAATTAACAGTCTCAAAAAAGAAGCAGGGGAAATAATAGTAAATAAAAAACACATAATATGTTTTATACATATGTGTGCATGAAAAATTATTTAAATATACTGAAAGAACTCAGGGGAATAGGCAGGAAAGAGAGTATATATATATATATATATATATATATATATATATATATATATATATTTAGAGAGAGAGAGAGAGGATATATACTTTAGGCATGTTGATCAATAACTCCCCATTTTCCCTTCTCTTACATGATGGTTAATATTAGGTGTCAACTCAATTGGATTGAAGTATCTCCAGATAGCTGGTAAAATGCTGCTTCTCTTTGTGTCTGTGAGGGTGTTGCCAGGGGAGACCGACATGTAAGTCATTGAAAAGGGAGAGGAAGACACATCTTCAATGTGGGTGGGCACCATCCATTCGGCTGCCAGCCTGGCTAGAAGAGTAGGTGGAAGAAGGTGGGATAAGCTGCCTTGCTGAGTCTTCTGGCTTTCATCGTTCTCCCATGCTGGATGCTTCCTGCCTTTGGACATAAGACTTCAGGTTCTTTGGCCTTTGGACTCTGGGACTTAACACCAGTGGTTTGCTGGGGGGTCTCGGGCCTTCAGCCACAGACTGAAGGCTGCTCTGTCTGCTTCCCTGCTTTTGAGACTTTTGAACTGAGACACTACTGGCTTCTTTCTTCCCCACCTGTCAGACGGCCTATCATGGGACTTCGCCTTGTGATTGTGTGAGCCAACTCTCCCTAATAAACTCCCTTTCATATACACATATATCCTATTACTTTTGTCCCTCTGGAGAACCCTGACTAATATACCTTAGCTTCCAGTAACCACCATTGCAGTGTTTGCTTTGATGAATTTGACTACTCAGATATCTCATATAAGTGGGATCATGCAGTATTTGTCTTTCTGTGTCTAGCTTATTTTACTTAGCATAAAGTCCTCAAGGTCCATCCATCCTGTCACATATTGCAGAGTTTCCTTTTTGTAACTCTGAGTACTATTCTATCATACACATACACCACGTTGTCTTTAGCCACTCATCCATCAGTGGGTGTTTAGGTTGTTTCCACATCTTAGCTATCGTGAATAGTGCTGCAATGAACAAGGAAGTGTTTATATCTCTTTGAGATATGGACCTCAATTCTTTTGAATATATACTCAGAAATGAGATTATGAATAATGTAGTAGTTCTATTTCTTATTTTTTGAGGAACCTCTATATTGTTTTTCATAGCAGCTGTACCATTTTGCATTCCCACCAATAGTAAGCAAGGGTTCCAAATCCCCCACATCCTCACAAATATTTATTTTAAAAAAATTGTATAATACCCATTTCTGGTATGTAAGGTGATACCTCATTGTGGTTTAAATTTGCATTTCCCTGGTGATTAGTGCTGAACCTCTTTTCATGTATCTGTTGGCCATTTGTATGTCTTCTTTGGAGAAATGGCTATTCAAGTATTTAGCCCATTTTTAAATCATGCTTTTTTTTTTTTTGGTATTGAGTTGTACGAGTTCTTTACATATTAATATTTTTAGAGATTAACCCTTACTGGACATAATGGTTGCAGATATTTTCTCTCACTCCCTTGGTTGCCTGTTTATGTGATTGATAGATTCCTTTGCTTTGCTTTTTAGTTGGATATAGCCCCCACCTGTTGCCTGTGCTTTTGGTGTTATATCAATGAAATTATTGCCAAGACCACTGTCATGAAGATTTTTTCCCATGTCTTTTTTTCTAGAAGTTTTACAGTCTCATGTCTTCTGTTTAAGTCTTTAAACCATTTTGAGTTGGTTTTGTGTATGCTGTAAAGTAAGGGTCCAATTTCATTCTTCTATATGTGGATATCCAGTTTTCCCAACAGCCTTGATAGATAAGAGTGTCCTCTATCCATGGTATATTCTTGGCACCCTTGTTGAAGATCAATTGACTATGTATGTGAATTTATTTCTGGGTTCTTTATTCTGTTCCATTGGGCTGTATGGCTTTTTAAATGCCAGTACCATACAGTTTTGATTACTATGGCTTCATAAAATATTTTGAAATCAAGAAGTGTGATACCTCCAGCTTTATTCTTTCTCAGGATTGATTGGTCTATTCCTAGTATTTTGTAGTTCTATATGAATTGTAGAATTGTTTTCTTTTTCTATTTCTGTAGAAAAGTCTCTGATATTTTGATAGGAATTGCATTAAAACTGTAGATTATTTTGGGTAGTATGGACATTTTAACAATATTGTCTTCCAATCCACAAGAATGGGGTGTTTTTCTATTTGTTTGGGTCTTATTGAATTTCATTTATCGATCTTTTGTAGTTTTTAATGTAAAAATTTTTCACCTCTATAGTTAAGTTTATTCCCAAGTATTTCAATTTTTTGATGTTATTGTAAATGAGATTGATTTCCTAATTTCTTTTTAAGATAGTTTATTTTTAGTATATACAAACACAACTACATTTTGTATGTTGATTTTCCATCCTGCAACTTTACAGAATTTGTTTATTAATTTATTTAAGGAATCTTTGGGATTTCCTATATACGAGATCACATAGTCTCCAAACAGTTATAATTTTGTCTCTTCCTTTCCAATTTGGATGTTTTTTAAACCTTTTTTCTTGTCTAATTTCTCTTGCTGTTATACAACCTCCAGGACTATTTTAAATAGAAGGAGTGAGAATAGCTATGCCTGACTTGTTCCTGAATTTAGAGAAAAACACTTTTAGTTTTTCACCATTATATATGATGTTAGCTGTAGGCTTTTCATATATGACTTTTATCATGTTGATATATTTTCCTTCTTTTCTTAGAAGGAATACTGTGTTGAGAGTATTTATCACGAAAGGACATTACATTTTGTCCAACACATTCTCGGCATCTATTGAGATAATCATGTGATTTTTATCCTTTATTCCATTGATTTTGTGTATCACATTAATTTATTTTCACAGATTAAATTCCACTTGGTTGTGGTGCATGATGCTTTGAATATGCTGTCCAATTTGGTTTGCTAACATTTTGTTGAGGATTTTTGCATCTATATTGATCAGGAATATTGGCCTATAGTTTTCTTTTCCTGTGGTGTTTATTTGTCTGCTTTAGTATCAGGGTAATGCTGGCCTCATAAAAACAGTTTAGAAGTGTTTCCTCGTTTTAATTTTTTAGAAGAGTTTGAGAAAGATTGGCCTTAATTATTTCCATGTTTGGTAGAATTTACCTGTGAAGCCATCTGGACCTGGGCTTTTCTTTGTTGGGAGATTTATGATTACTGGTTCAATCTTCATACTAGTTATGGGTCTGTTTAGGCTATTTCTTCATGGCTTAGTTGTGGTACTTTGTATGTTCCTAGAAATGTATGAATTTCCTCTAGCTTATCCGATTAATTGGCGCTTAATTGTTCATAGTAGTCTTTCATGTTCTTTTTTATTTTAAATGGTGCCAGATGTAAACTCTCTTCTTTCAATTATGATTTTATATATTTGAGTCTTGTCATTTTTTCCCTTAAGTAGTTTAGTTAAGAATTTGTTAATTTTGGTTATCTTTTTTAAAAAAGGCAATTCTTAGTTTCATTAATTTATTTCTACCGTTTTTCTATTTTGTTTATTTCTGCTCTAATCTTTGTGTTTTTTTTTTTTTGGTTTTTTTGTTTGTTTGTTTGTTTTTGCCTAGCTAAACCTGGGCTTGATTTGTTCTTCTTTTTCTAACTCCTAGAGGTGTAAAATTAAATTGTTTATTTGTAATCTTCCTTCTTGTTTTTAGTGTATGCATTTATCACTATGAACTTTCCTCTTAGTATTACTTACTATTGCTGCATCCCATAAGTTTTTGTATATCGTATCTTTGTTTTCATCTGCCTTGCAGTATTACATAATTTTTTAAAAAATTCTTCTTTTGACCTATTGTTGTTCAAGAATGTTTTGTGTAATTTTTATGTTTTTATGAAGTTTTAAATTTTTCTCCTAATATTAGTTTCCAGTTTCATCTGTTTGTGGTCTGAAAATATATTTAGTATAATTTCAATTTTCTTAATTTTGCTGAGACTTGGTTTGTAAATCTGATGTATGATCTATCTTGAAGAAATATCTGTGTGCATTTGGGATGAACACGTATCTACTGTTGTTGGATGGAATGTTCTATATATGTCCATTAGACTCATTTGGCCTGTGGTGTTAAGTCCTTGGTTTCCTTATTGATCTTCTGCCTAGAGTTCTGTCCGGCATCAAAAGTGGAGAATTGAAATCTCTTACTGTTATTGTACTGTTGTCTGTTTCTCCTCTCAGTTCTGTCAAGGTGTGCTTTACTTATTTAGGTGCTCTGATATTAGGTATATCATATATATTTATTATGTAAATATATTGATTATTCCTCTAATCATTATGCAAGGTGCTTCTTGGTCTCTTTTGGCAGTTTTTAAGTTAAAGTCAGTGTTATCTCATGTAAGTATAACCACTCCTGCTTTCTTTTGGTTACCATTTGCATGAACTGTTTTTCTCCATTCATTAATTTTAAGCCTATGTGTGCCCTTAAATCTCAAATGATTTTCCCCTCACTTGAGTTGAGGTCATGTTTTTCTCTGTTCTTTTTAAAAAAATCCACTCAGCCACTCAATGCGTTTTGATTAAGCTAAGTATTGATAGTGAAGGGTTTACTATTGCTAGTTTGTTAGTTGTTTTATTTTAGTACTATAGTTCTTTTGACTGCATTTTCTTCATTAACTGTTTTCCTTTGTGTTTTACTATTTATTTTTGTACTGATATGCTTTGATTTGTTTCTGTTTTTCTTTTGTGTAAGTTCTATAATTTAATTTTTTGTGTTTACCTTGGAGCTTACACAAGACATAGACATAAGAGTCTAATTTAAGCTGATAACAACTTAAGTTTAATGACATGTAAAAACTCTGCACTTTAACTTCTCCCCCCACACTTTGTTTATTGTCATAATTTCCATTTGTTTTTACTCTGTATTTTTAAACATATATTTACTTATATTTATTTGTAATAATTTATCTTTTAAGTTTTATTTTTGAATTAAAAGTGACTTACTCACTACCATTACAGTAATACAGTATTCTGTATGTTTACATACTTACCTTTACCAATGAGCTTCATAATTTTCATGTGCTGTTTTGTATTGTATTGTATTGCTATTTAGTGTCCTTTTATTTCAACTTGAAGAACTCCTTTAAAATTTCTTATGTGACAGGTTTAGTGGTGACGAATACACTGCTTTATTTTTGTCTGAAAACATCTTTTTTGTCTTCTATTTTTTTAGATAACAGTTTTGCCAGGCATAGTAATCTTGATTGGTAGTTTTATTTATTTATTTTTCCCTCTTCCATTCCCTTATGGCCTGTAAGGTTTCTGCTAAAAATCCACTCACACTTGTATGTAACCAGTTGTTTTTTACATACAAGGAATTCCCTTGTATGTAACCAGTTGTTTTTCTCTTGATACTTTCAAAACTATTTGTCTTTGACTTTTGACAATTTGATTTTAATGTTTATTGGTGCTAGAATTTTAGGAGTTCATTTTACTTGTTACTTTTTGGTATCTTGGATCTAGATGTCCATTTCCTTCTCCAGGTTTGGAAAGTTTTCAGTTATTATTTCTTTGAATAACTTTCTGGTCCTTTCTTTCTCTCTTCTTCTTTAACACCCATAATGCATATAAGTCCTTTAAGTTTTTTTTAAACTTCTTTACATTCTTTTCTCTTTTTGTTCTCTGATTGAGTCATTTCCAATGACTTGTCTTAGCATTTGCAAATCCTTTTTTTTTTCTGCTTGATCTAGCCTGTTGTTGAACTCCTCTAGTGAATTTTTCAATTTGATGTTTGCACTCTTTAGCTTCCTAATTTTTGTTGGCATTTAAAAAATATTTGTATCTCTTTGTTGAAATTGTCACCTTGTTCATCCATTGTTACATTGACCTTGGTAAGCCTCTATGACAGCTCTTTTGAATTCTCTCTTAGGTAAATTATGTAACTCTATTTCTATCAGGTCAGTTTCTGGAGAGTTATTTTGTTCCTTTATTTGGGACATCTTTGCCTGATTCTTCATTTTCCTTGACTCTTTATGTTGGTGTCTGCATATTAGATTGATTATTTATCCTGGTCTTCACTGACTTCTTCTATACAGGAGACGACTCCTACCAATCAGCCTAGCTAGAAATTCTACTAACTCTTTCCCTCCCTAGGGAAAAGCAGACAGCTGTGTTTCTGTCTGCTTGCTCTGTGGGTTGAGCCAGGAAAGGGCGCTATAGTGTCTGCCAATCCAAGCTGCCACGTCCACTCTCTCCCAGGCTGCTGACTCATCCAAGCTCCAAGACTGGAAGGACTGAGATCACAGTCTGACCCCATTCAGGAATGCTTGCATGCTGGATGCACAAACCATCCCCTTATCTCCCTTGGGTCTCTTCCTGGTTGTAAGGCCCTGTGTCAGGTACAGGGACTCCAGTGAGAGAGTGTCCTGAATCCCCCTTACAGCTTTAGTGAGTCTGGTTTTGCAGTTGTCTGGATTGTGAAATATTTTCACTTAACTTCTAGATTTCTCACAAAGGGAAATTGTCCATGAACTGTTGCTGAATTGGTGAGTTTGTCAGGAAAAGGATGGTCCAGGGCTTCCTAGTCCTCTATCTTGCTGATGTCACTCTTTTGGTTGCTTATGTTAGGAAAAGACTAAGCAAAATACCAACCATTGTCAATTCTAGCCACGGAAATTAAAGGATTTTTTAAAATATTATCTTTAATTTTATGTAATTTTTAATTTTAAAAAATAAAATAAGACTTCAAAAATTGTTATTTAACAGTGTGATTGCAATTCAACTATATTTATATGCCCACACCTTCACAAACATATACATAGGAGATTGGAAACATGCATATCAGACTTTAATAGCAATGCTTCCACATCCCTGGGATGTAAAATACAACCACAGCAATGAATACCCTACCGAAAGGTAACACAAATACTCAGAATGGTAAACTATGAGTCATTTTATTTTCTTTGCAAATAATGTGATGATCGCAAGGAGAAGAATCAGAAATGAAACTTTCTCTAGCTAGATAACTGCCTAGTCCTTTGGTGAGTTCTTAGTAAACACCACCTCTGCTTTTCAGACTGTAATTAATAATACAAGTGATCTTATTAGCTGCTCAGTAACCCTGTCTACAATCAACCCATGATTTAGATCTTGTTCCTTTCAATTCTTTTTTCCTCTAAAATTCTGGAGTTTAAGTCTTAACTATTTGATACCAATCTTAGTGTTTAGAAAGGGACATCCTTCAGCGCATCAGCCATGCTCATAGTTATACTGATACCAGTACATAACAGGTGATAAAACAGGTAATGTCCCCTTAGAGCCCAACAGGTTACTATATATGTAGATGCACATATACAAGATACATAGAAAAAAAAAGAATATGCAACTCAATATTGTTATTTTGCCCTGTCTTATAAAAGCAGACTTTACCTGGTGTCTAAGTTATGTATGCATGAATGCCCCTTCAGGTTGAATTTCCAGGCTTTCAACAATGAATTTATAGCACTGACTTCTGCATACAAATGTCCAGCCCACTTAGCTTTTACTGTGATGTCTCCTGTGTCTGTTTACAGGTGCAATTAGAGAATCCTATTTTCCAAACTGAGTTTGCTGAGTTGAAAGTACAGTCCTCAACCAATGCTTTGAGTTTGCAAATCATATTCCAAAAAAAACAAGTTCAATGTAGCCAATGCCTGAAAGAAAACAATAGCAGTAAATTCTGCTACAGATGAAGTAGGATGTTCTACATCCGTCACTAAGCAAAAAATTGAAAAATAAAAAATAACCCTTGGTTCCTTCTTAAGTCCTAATGCTAACTGGTCTGCATTTGTGGAGCTTTATAACAAAGAGCTTTTGTCCACAACTTGTACTCATTTTAAGGTATGACAGTTCCAAAGCCTTGGTAATGTATAAGCCATCCTTGTTGAATGTAACATATTAAACAGTTCACTAAGCTTACAATGGTTCAGAATGTTAAAAATAAAATTGTACCAGTAGCTCTGCCTGTCTTTGTGCCAAAGCAGTACAAATGATTTTTGAATAAAGAAAACAACAGTGCTCATCTGAGCTTGCTAACAACACCCAATGACACATGCTGCTGTACAATATTCTGACTCTATCTTGAACACCCATTAGGGAGCATTATCATATGCAATATTACATATTCAAGAACTGACAACAATTGATGCATGGCTGGAAAATAATATGATAGCAAAGTCACACTTGGGTTTTACCCTCTGGAGATCACTCTGCAGGCTTAATTTGTGCTTCTCCCTGAATCAACAAGCCTCCCACACCTGCCCCTTTCCCGCTATATTGGAAAGAAAAAAAAAAGCAAAATTTTAAGAAATAAAATTAGCCATTTATTTCTAAAAGGATAGAAACAACTGAAAATGCACCCTGACTTTATCTCTGCCATTTTTCTAGGGCAGACAGTAATGATCAACTGGGGGGAGGCCTATATTAATCAAACAAATGTGGTAACACAGAGTATGCGTCATGACATCATGGGTGCTAGCAAAGTCTCCAGGTTGTCTATCTACATCGCTCACTTCCTCCAATCAAGAACTCCTGGGCACTTTAGAAGTACAAGGTGACTAGAAGTTTGTTTCTCTTGGGAAGAGTGTTTTCATCACCAATTGCAAATTCACACGCCTCAGTGACTTGGGTGGCCTTTGTCAAGGAGACAGGCCTGTCAAACAAAGGAGACAGGGAAGTTAGAATGAATATGTGTGTGTGTGTGTGTGTGTGTGTGTGTGTGATGAGGGAGGCTGGGGATAATGAGAGTAGTTGCACATCAGGCATGATTTTAAGCCATGGTGGTAATAACAGCTTATGGGCAAGTGGCAATGTAACTGGGGGTGTGCAGAAATGCCAAGGAAAACCCTTGATTGAATGCCCTTTGGAAATCAGAGGTCTCTCCTGCTCATGGTTTCAGGGAGAGAGCACCCTCCTATCCCCAAAAGTTCCCAGGACCTGAAGAATTCATTTGCACTCATCCCATTAAGAGCTTTTGCTCAGTACAGTGGCACATGGGGACAAGTTGTTCTGAGAAAGACGATCGAGCTCTGATAGACTGAGACACGCTGAAGACAGAGTTGAATCTCAGCAGTCTAATGGGCCCAGTGAGGCAGTAAATTTCGCAGCAACTTGACACATTAATATAGAAGTACAGTCTGTTATATCAAAGGGAGATTGTCTTAGTCCTTAAGGGGAAACCAGCAATCCAAAAATGAAAAGTGTGCACTGGCGACTTGTGAAAAATGTAGTTAACACTGAGAGCTGAAGTATAGAGCTTTACGCCTTCCCTGGTATGAGTTCTCATCAAGGGCAGGCTCTGGTCCCTCCTGGAGACCACACACCCCATAACATCCACATCTCCTAACCCTGGCTCTTAGCAACCTTGGCATCTTTGCAGCCTGAGAGAAGGGGAACCAGCAAACAAGTTTTTATTTGGTCCCATGGGACAACGCAGGCTCTGTCTTTCTAACGCTGTGTTTTCCCTTATGTCTTTGTGCCACCATAGCAGCTTGGAGCACATTTCTGTATGACTCCGCAGGGGGGAAACCCAACAACTTAATTATCCAATAATAGGGAGACATATTGGTAAATTACAGAATGTCCACTGGAGAAATATGACGAATCTGTTTAAATGATCTTTATAAAAATTAAATGGAAAGAAACATGAGAAGTATTTATGATTTAATGCTCAATGAAAATGTAGACTACAGCACTGTCAGAATAGATGTAAAATCATGAATTCATAGCAGTCAGGACTGGAAAGTAATAAGTGCAGATGGAACTAGTTATGTTAGAAGAAAGAGATTATGCAGGGTTTTTTTCATTTTCAAATTCATTTAACAATGTTGTAACATTATATTCTTAAGGTGTATATTTTTAATAAACCAGAGGAAATAAGAGCTAACTTAATTTATTAACACCTTTTGCCTTTCTTGCTTAGTAATTATCTAATACTAATACTTTCAGCACACACATTTAATCTTCTCCCAAAGCTACAGCCAAAGTATAACTGGAGACAGAAGGTGCTTTAGTTCTTACACCTATGGTTCTATCCGGTTCTATCCTTCCTACCTCCCTTTACTCACTTCTCAGTGGCTTAAGAGTTAAACATGGTCCTTGTATAATAGAAAATTCATTTAACCAAATCAATGTGCACTGGTCTGCAGAAGAATTAATTCCATAGGGGCCTTTCCATCCTTCTTTTTATTTTGTTTTCTTTTTGCTTCATATAATGCTCTGAAAGAGATTTAACATGAGGGTAAGATTTGATTAAATGATCCTAGCAGCTTGGGGTCTGGGGGATTTGAGTCCTGTCCAGACCACGTCTTATGTACTTTGGAAGAGGGTCTAGATGACTACACATCTGGAGCAACAGCATTTTCAGTCTTTAAAAGGAAGAGGTCTTTAATGTGATAGAATTAAAGTAGCTAGAGGCAACCAAGCGTGACTTGCCCCAATTCAGGTAAATGCTGTTCCCCACACCAAGAATTACATGATGCTTCCTATAGATCATCATGAAGGTGAAGCAACAATCTCCCAGTTACATGGGTTATAGTCATTTAATGATTTAATTTTGTGTTTCCAGCTATATTTTAACTTCAAAAATAGCCAAGCTTCAATACAACTAAACAAATCAACCACATCCTGTCCCCTGTGTCTACATATGCTTTTAGTCCAACTGAATGCAAAGGACCTAGTCAGGTTCTATAGGTGTCAGGCTAACTGCTCTCCTATGTTTTGGTTTATTTGTGATTGTGTATAAAGTTACATCCAACTGGATGGGAGTCTCCCAGGAAAGGAAGAACTGTATCTCACCTACTTTGTTCACACATAGGTAACAAAATTTGTTTTGAAAAGTAAATTATTTTGCTGGCCTCTGATGGCTAAGCAATGGGGATGGGGCAGAAAACTAAGGCAGAGAAGAGAGCTCAGCTCTGAATCCTGTCCCACCTCCCTACATCTTAAACCTGAAAATGGACTTAAAAAAGTTCACATATTTCTTATGAATAACCCTAACAGACACATACTTTTAGGTAGAGAAAACTTTTTCCTTTTGGACTAAAGATTAGAGGCAATGTCTGCTGGGAGAAACTGGGCTGCTTCTGCTTGACTGCCATGAGGTCTGGGGTTGCTCCTGGCACTGGTGGATACTCGGAAGCCCCAGTGTATTATCTCAAGGGGAGGGAATTCCAAGGCATTCCAGGTATTCTTATGAAGACAGACACCTGCCCATGATAAGGAATGACTTGTCTCAATCCCGGAAACATGGGTAGAGTTGTAAACAGTCAACCCAAGAACTGCAGCCCCCAGTGAAACAAACTGGGCTCAAATTACTAATAAATCATCTATATCTCAGGGCCCAGACAGAGCTATCTTAGCATGAGCAATAACAGAAAGAAATGATGGGACAACTATTCACACATACTTTGTGTGTGTGTGTGTGTGTGTGTGTGTGTGTGTGTGTGTGTGTGTGAAACAGAGAGAGAGAGTGCCTGCAAAAGACAAAGGATCCCATGTACAATTGGGAAAGAGAACAATTTTATGATAATTTCTACTATAGAACAACCTAAAAACAGTTTATTCAATAAAATAGAAGCTAATACCAATGAAAGGACATTGAAAGAAAGATCATAAACCTAAGTAAACAAGTTGAAGGTCAAACAATAGACTTGGAGAAAAGATATAAGAACTATCAAGAAATAGAATAGACACTGCTAAAAAATCAAAACGCCCACATAGCAAAAAAGTTTAAATAATCCCAGTGATGCAAACAACAGCAACAATATAAAAATAACTAGATTAAAGTATGCAGAGTATGCATTTTGGAAACCACTACTACACATAGAAGGCAGTCAATGATAACCTATAGTAAGGCTAATTGGACTCCTGGAATATTCAACTAAACAAGTGAAATAAAAGATGTTTTCAAAGATAAGATACAAGAAAATTTTCACCAAAATGAAGGAAGAATGGACTCTTAAAATTGGAAAGTTACGAAAGTTTCCAGGACATTTTGATATAGAGTAGTCAATATGGAGATATGCTTTCCATTTAAGCCACTTAATTTCAAAGATAAAGAGGTAATCGTTCAGTCATGCAGGCAGCAAAACGAATCATCTGCAAGAGGAAAATAATAGGAGTGTCTTCAGAGTTGTTTTTTTGTTTAAGGTTTTTTTTTTTTTTTTTTTTTGATAGGGTCTTGCTATCACCCAGGCTGGAGTACAATGGAGTGATCATAGCTCACTGCAGCCTCGAACTCCCAGGCTCAATGCATTCTCCTACTTCAGCCTCCAGAGTAGCTGAGACTATAGATGCACACCACTGTGATGCAAAATCAATAGGAAAATGTCTCTACACTTTTGGGGTTTTTTGGTTTTTTTGTTTTGTTTTGTTTTGAAACTGGGTCTCCCTCTGTCGCTCAGGCTGGAGTGCAGTGACAGGATCACAACTCTGCAGTCTTGACCTCCTGGGCTTGAGCCATCCTCCCACCTCTCCCACCTCAGCCTCCCAAGTATCTGGGATGACAGGAATGTGCCACCACACCTGGCTAATTTTTTTAAATTACAGTTTTAAAAGAAAGTTTGTTTGATCCAAGATTATTATGCTTAGGCTATTTTTTGTTTGTTTGTTTGTTTGTTTGACATGAGGCCTTGCTCTGTTGGCCAGACTGGAGTGCAGTGGTGTGATCATGGCTTATTGTAGCCTCGAACTTTTGGCTTCAAGTGATCCTCTCATCTCAGCCTCCTGAGAAACCGGGTCTACAGGCACGTGCCACTGTGCCAGGCTAACTTTTTATTTTTTTTATGAAATTGTGGGTCTTTCTTTGTTGCTTATGCTGGTATTAAACTCTTGACTCAAGCAATCCTCTCACCTTCGCTTCTCAAAGTGCTGGGATTACAGTTGTGAGTCACTGAGCCCAGCCATAGGCTGATTTTTTATTTATTTATTTACTTTTTGAAAGAGAGTTTTGCTCTTGTTTCCCAGGCTGGAGTGTAATGGCGCAAACTCAGCTCACTGCAACCTCCTCCTGGGTTCAAGAGATTCTCTTGCCCCAGCCTCCCAAGTAGCTGGGATTACAGTCATGCACCACCATGCCCAGCTAATTTTTGTGTTTTTAGTAGAGATGGAGTTTCCCCATGTTGGTCAGGCTGGTCTCAAACTCCTGACCTCAGGTGATCCGCTCACCTCGGCCTCCCAAAGTGCTGGGATTACAGGCATGAACCACTGTGCCCGGCCTATAGGCTGATTTTTTTTATAGTTCACCAATACAGTGTCATGTAAGCATTTTCAAACAAGAAAGGACTTAGGAAATGTGGCATCTAAGAATAAAACTCTACATAATTCCAAAATTTAGCATATTAATTCAAAAATCAAAAAAAGTAACTTGACAATATAGAAGACAAGATTTTAAAAAAAACAGATGGTTAAGCCAGGGCCATTTAAAAAATTACGGGAATTTGTGGCTAAAGAACAAAATGAGGAGTTTATATACCTGAATATATACACATAAAATTAACAGATATCAAGTAGAGGTAGGAGGAGCAAAGATAGGGTAAAATGCAAATATAGTAGTGGTATCATCTTCATTGGAGGCAATCAATTGATGCTACTTAAATTTAAAGCATTTTTTTATTAAAAAGGAGACCTAGATACAGGGAAGCCAATCTATTAATGATTTTTCACAATCCTATCCTCTTAACAGTAGAGGGATATTTTAAGACCTAATATGTTTATTTGAAGGTCAATTATTCCTTCATTTGCACTTAAATTTCTTTTTCTTTTTTGATAAATTTAAGTGATCAATGAGTTAATACTTTTATTTAAAATAAAATATGATTTTAATTTCATAAAGGATAATAATCCATTAATCTACAGAACTAGCTAGTTAACTGGATTCTGTTTATGTATGTGTGCTGCTCTCTGTAAACAGAGATGACTGTGTGAAATGTGGTTACAGAACTGGGCTCCCTGATAAGAGTGAAGATGATCAGATCCCAAAATAATGGTTAACAGATTATAGGATTCCCCAATAATACAGGCCAGGTAACAGTTGTAAAATAAAAACTTTAGACAAGTTAAATGTAACAATGTAATTGGGCAAAGAATGATTTGCAAATTGGCAAGCCCTTAGAGCTGAAATAAGTTCAAAGTGTCTCTGTGCCTGCCACATGGTTAGATAACATTTATCGACAGAAAACAGAAAGTAGCATACAGAAAACTAAAGTAAGGTATGGAAGCAGCTGGACTGGTGACACCCATTTGCCTTATTTGAACAGTTGGCTGCCTATGACTGGCCCAGCCTTCATAGGCTGTGATTGGCAGACTCGTTACAAGAGTAGGTTACAGTCTGTCTACACATCCAGTTGACTTATGGTTCACTATGTATGGAGACATCTTTAGGCCAAATCTAAATTATGTAAGGAGGCAGCTTTGGGTTAAATTTAAATTAACAATTCTCCACTTTTGGTCAACCTCTCAATTTTGAGAGGTTGGCCAAAACTTTAGGCATCGATGTCACTCTGTCTCATTCGTGAATGGACTATTTGGTCTCAAATTCTACTGGGAAGTAGCAGAACAGAGGGTTTTGCAAGATGGGAGCAAGGAAACAGACAACAGAAAAAAAATACTGATTGGTTAATATAGGGTTATTTAAGGTTACTTTTTGGAAAGGTTAGAGAAGAGGGACTTCCTTATGTTGAAATTTCCTGTTTTCAGAATAAAAAAAGAAAAAAAAAACTGGTCTCTTTTGGGATTTATCTGCTTCCTTAACATTTCAGTTTGATTACTTGACATTTAGCATGAATGACTCCATTTTGGCTTTCTCTGGCCTATCATGGCCTAGTGCATAAGCTGAGTCCAAAACAACAGCCCCGATAATTTTGTTTAACACAGTGATAAGTCATCAAAATCAAGATCGGGCAATTGTCACAATGAGTGACATTTAAGTGTCACTAAGGATGGGTCAAATTTTTCAAGACCTATGGAGATATGGACTAAAACATGATGTACTTAGAGCCAAGAGAGATGAGTTCTGCTTAATTTGTACAATCTAAAGAAATCAGGGACAAATTATCAGAAGTCTGAGGATAGTTACCGCAATAAAACTTACCATCTCTTGCCCAGTTTCTGGATCTTAAATAGTTTTAAGACTCAGAATCCATTGCAGGAAACAGAGCTGGCAAAGATTTCAATAGAAATTCCTTCATTCCTTCCTAAAGGGACTGAAAGCCATTTTCTCAAACATCCACACATTTGGAAAGGGGTAAGTTGTTGGATGCAGAATCTGAATTGACATTGTTACTCAGGATCCAAAGCATCATTACACCTGCCTTCTAGAAGGGAGGTGTGGGGGAGACAGCTGGCTTCCTCTCCCATGCCTTGTGTAGGGTGGGGGCACTGAGTCCACAGACCCACATGGGGATCATTTCAGTTCCCAAATGTACAATAGGATGGGCACTGCACCCACATTGTTTCATTTGCCTATTAACAGCTACCATAGTCGGGAAGCCCAAGTGGAAATCTTTGTACATGCCTCTGCCCCATCCCTAATCAAACTAGCAAGTAAAAGAAAAATGAAACTGCATCTCTGAGATTCTCAATTTCTGAGACTTAAAGAAATGTGATATTTCCCTGTTATATCCCCATGTACCTCTGAAATTTTTCTTTCTCCTACACAAGTCAGATAGGTCATGTGTGATTACAGTGGACTGTCACAAACTTAACCAAATAGTAACTCTCATTCCAGCTGCTGTGCCAGATGTGGTATCTCTGCTAGGGCAGATTAAAACAGACTGTGGGGCTTGTTATGTGGTCAGTGATATAGTGAATGCATCCTTTTCCTTTCCTATCAGAAGGGAAAATCAGAAGCATTTTGTATACTCCTGGGATGAACAATAATGTGCATTTATGGTTTGTCCCAGGGCTACGACAACTCTCCAGCTTTCTGACGTATTCCAAAGGGACACAGACTGCCTGGACACTTGGTAGAATATCACATTAATCTACTATATCAATGACACTGTGCTCAATAGAACAGATGAACAAGGAGTGGCAAGTACATTGGAGGCTCTGGTAAGGTGTGTTTACTCCACAGAGAAGGAATGAACCCTGCAAAGACTCAGAGGTGTATGATATCATGAAATTTTTAGGGATTCAGTAGTCTACAACATTCTAAGACAGTCTCTCAAAAATAAAGAACAAATTATTGCATTTCTTGCTTCCCAACACTAATAAAGAAGCACAAGGCTTGGGAGCCCTCTGCAGGCTCTGGAGGCAGAATATTATGCATTCGGGCATATGCATTCGGGCATACTAATATGATTTGTTTACTGGGTGACATAGAAGTTGGCAGCCTTTGTTGACTGAGATCCAGAATAGAAAGCTGCTCTGCAGCCAGTCCAGGCTGCAGTGCAAGCATTCCTGAGGCATAAGCCAAATGACCAACAGACTTGATGATACTGGAGCTAACTAGCATGGGGAAAGATGCAAAGTGAAGCTTATAGCAAGCACTAATAGAGGAATCTCCACAAAGATTCTGAGGGGTTTGCAAAAGGACATAACATCTCCAACAGAGAACTATACATCATTCACAAAGCAACATCAATAATATTAGGTGGTTTAGGAAGAGACAAACTATCTGCTTACCAGACATCAAATGACTGTAGTCAGAGCTGTCCTTCATGGTCTTGATTCTTCAGACACATCAAATCATAAGATTGGGCAGCCCAACAGCAAAACATCAGAAGATTAGGCAAAGCCATAGTCAGAGGACACAGGAGGCTGCACAATCAGTTAGCACATTTACAAGCTGTCCATCACGACTGCAAATGTGCCTCTCCCCCAGCCCACACCAGTGATGCTGAGGATGTGACCAGATGTTGGAGGAGGACAAAGGACTTTCTCTATTCATGCGTGAGCCTGAGCATTTTCTTCAGTGACAGGGCATCCTTCACAATATTGCCTTGAGCTAGAGCACCCACTTTACACCTAAGGGGGCACTGCCATGAACATAGGGCCATGAGAATTCCATGATTCTACCACATTCTGAGCTTTTCTAAAGCTCCTCCCCTAATGGAATTGTGAGTGGCTTCTTAAAATTGCAGCTGAGGTGTCAACTTGGTGGCAGTACCCTGTAAGTATTCCATTTTATGGGGCTGGTTTCTCAAGAGGTGAAATGCATCAGTACAGAGACCAAAGAGTAGAAGTAGGAGCTACCCTGATTACCATCTACCCTAGTGATTCACTTGAGAAACCTGCTCTTCCTGTTCTTGCAATTTCAGGATATGAGGGTAGAAGTTATGGTTCCCAGAGGTGCAGGGCCTCCCCTTGGGGATACAGAATGAGTCCCACCATACTTTACATTATAGTTGCCACCAGGCCACTTAAAGCTCCTCATGCCGTGAGATCAGAAAACCAGAGAAGTCACCACATTGATAGCGACAATTGATTCTGATCACCAGGATCAGAATCCTGGTGGTAGGGCTGCTTTCACATCATGGGGGCATCAGGTAAGACTATGTTTGGGATCTGGTGGTTCCCTGGGGCAGCTTTTGATGTCCCATGTCCGGTTTTAATAGTAAATGGACAAACACAGTAGCCACAGCTGAGCAGATCATAGAAACTAGGCTTCAGACCCCACAGAAATGAGGTTCTTGGTCAACCCACAAGGCCAAGTGTCTAGACCAGCAGAGATGCTGGCTGAGATGGGGGGAGTCTAGAACAGATGCCAGTGGAAGAAAAATAAAAATGATCAATCATAGCCTTGTATTACTACAGCAATGGATTCCACAGTCCATCCCTCTAACCTAGGAAACAAGACCATTCCAAAACTTTGAACAGCTGTTCCTAGATGACTGCAATTCCTCTAAGAAGCAAGCAGATGTGAGCAGCTCTGCTCCAGCCCCTTCTTTAGGGATGATTCACTGCCCCTTGGCTGCCAGGAATACCCACTGACAGTAGCTCAGAACTGAGTTTCTCTATGGGAATGGCTTTTACATGTAGGACTTCCATGTGTAAGGCTGGGCCCACTCAGGAGAGAATCCATGGCCAGTGTCTAACTGATTGAGGAAAATGAAAGTCTCACCAGGGATTGGCCACAGCTTCACCTGTAGCCAGGTTGTGCGTCAGCTTCTCTTTCTGTCCGGTTCTGCCTTCTTCACTTCTGTACAGATATATCTCCCAGAAGCACTTCCCAATAAACTCTCGGCAAGCAACTCTATCTCAGATTCTGTTCCAAGCAATGCAATCTAACATAATCTGCCCAAACTCGCATATAACTACAATGCAACACTGAGAAATAAACCTTCATTATGTTGAGTCTCTATAATTCTGGGATTGTTTATTAGCACGATATAGCCTATCTTGGTTTGCATTTGATACGCAATAAATAATGTCTATGGATCCTTGAAAGTGAACATAACCTCCATCAGTTATGAAAATTTGGTACAAAGATAGTCTGAAGAATATGCAATCCATCTAATATTCTGAGTATCATAGATTTTAGAATCAACCAGACAAAAATGCATAGAAACCATTGTTTTATACCAAAACTCCCAACTTCCTCTACACTGTTTAATCCCTCACCCAACACCACTTTAATAAAGAACACTTTGGTATTTGCCTACAGTTTCCATGTGGATGCTATAAAAAAAAGTAGCCCATTGAACATCTCTATTGTTATTTTTTCATTCAACAAATGTTTATTTACTGTTTATTTTGTGCCAAATACTGAGAACTAGAATTATCTAGCTGAGATTAACTGAATCATGATCCCTGTCCTCATGGAGAATTAAACAAACAAGTAAGTGAATGAATAGAAACTTTCAGATTCTGAAAATTGCTACAATGGAAAGTAACATGTTGCTATTCGAGACACAAGAAGATAATAGATTTTGGACTAGGTGATCAGAGAAGGCTCTCTGAGGAGGTAACATTTAAGTGCAGGTTTGAAGGACCAGTTGAAGTACCAGGCAAAGGCCGGGTGTCCTAGGCCACTAGGATACAGTGGAGAGGAACTTCTCCTTTGTAAGCTTAACCCAGGAGGAGAGAATAGGAGAATGGGCAGAGTGACTGGAGCATAGTTAAGAAGACGAAAAGTGGAGCAAGATGAATTGGAAAGGAAGTCTCTTTTGCGGAGGAGAAATTTTCCTTAGATATTTTTTCTGGGAAGTTGTTAAATTTTTTATGTTAAGGGCCAGAGAGAGTAACTAGTACAGTCTAAGCATCATATGCTGTTTCTGTAGCTTATTCTTCTGCATGTTTTTAAACAACACTTGAACATGTAAAACTCTCCTTGGCTCATGCTTTGGCCAGCTGGGCTTAGTTTGCTGACCCCTGACCTAAGTGAGATTGGTGTGTTTCTATTTATGGGCAATGCAGATCTTTTAATGACCTTCTTTTCCTCTTTGCCTCACAAATCAGGAAACTCACAGCTGAATTCCTATCTTCCTAGTTCTGCAGGGCTTTATAACATTTATTTTAATACATAAACTGCATATTCTTACTATTCAAATTTTATTTCTTGATATATATTATATACATAATAAAGAGGTCTGGATTTAAAATTTATTTTATATCTTTCTGTAACCTACTTCAAATATTTTTTGAATAAAATGAACATGGGTAAATGAATGGAAGGATGAACAAATCTAAGGCTAAAACAAAGGTGCCTCCCCCAGGACCACATCTACACAGTAGTGTGTAGTACAGTGTTCATTTCACAGAAATGAAGAAAATGGATGTCTGAAGCAGATCATTTAATCATCTATGGCTTTCATGTTGGTAATATCAATAACAATAACCAGAGGAATCATGATTTTTCAGCATCTGTGGTTTATAAGGCCATGTTATGAATGCTTTCCATGGACGGTTTTATTTAAAATTCTCAACATCTCCATGAGGTAGGTAAAATTCACGTTTTACAGATAAAGTCAAACAGATTAGAAAGCTTACTTAGCACTTTAGTGGAACCTAGGTTTTCGTGACTCCAAAGACTCTGCTCTTAACCATGACTCTACATGAATTAAACAAACGGCACACACGCATGACACCAGCATAAACAATAGAGCAGTTAAGCGGTGACCAGGGTCCCATTGTGGGCCACTGTCCAACACATCAACATCCCTTTGTGTACTCTGCCTGCCGGGTGCCCTTTCGTCCTGGAGATTCTGGTTTCCTTGAAAATTTATCTGACAGCTTGCCAAACACTAAACACACTTTTTAATAAATGTATATTTTTTAAGTTTATAAGGCTAAGGTAATTATCTCAGCACTTTCCATAATCCTCTAGAAGAACCAGTATCTTCCAGAAACCTTTGAAAAACAACCTATTTAAAACCAATGTCCCCTAGATCTTAGATTGCCTGTATTTCTCCTCCCTTCCGTCTTCTCTCCTGCTCAGATTTGCACAAAGCAAGATTGTTGTTCAATGAGAATCTCTCTCCTTCTGTTAGTTATCCCCGGCCTGAGGCTGTATAATCTCCTGCATGTGATGCCACAATCATCGCCCCCCTTTGGAGTTGCTGTGGAAATGATTATGGCGCCACAGACAGAGACGGGTGTGAGGAGAGCACTTTGGAGAAATGCAGATCCTTGAACCAGGCAGGTGGCTCTTAATCCCAAAGACTGGGAGTCTAGACACAAAGCCATTTTTTCTCTCTCTCAAGAAATGTGTTTCATATACCAAGTGGTTCTTAAATTAAACACTAAGAAATCTGCTTCATTACTTGTAGAGTAAAAGAGGAGCTGTACTTTGTACCTTTTATGTTTGACCTTTCCATCAATTTCCTTTAGCAATATTAAGTACCTGATTCTCCAAGTTCTAAGAGGTTGGATACATGGCACCAGGATCTAATGATCTAATCACAGGATCAGGGAGTTTGTCACTCTGAATTTTAATCCTCCACTGTGCTGAGAAATTTTCATATCGCCTTGAACAAGCGAGTTCATCTCTCTTTGTCTCAGTCTCCTCATCTTTAAAATGGTAACAGTGAGGATTCTGCCTCCACAGGCACCTATGAGGATTAATTAGTTAAAATAAATGAGACGTTACGTAGATGCTGAGTACAGTATTATTTTGTGGTTTATCAGAGGAATAAAAGGAAACATCATCCCTGCATCTCTGAGAAATATTAGCACATACACATTTCACTAGAGACATTTATGTGTTCTTGTGTGTATAAAGATAGGAAGAAAGATGGATGGGTAAACAGATTGATACTATATAGTGGGGATAAAGCTGTGCCCAGTTTTGCAGTGTAGCAATCAAACGTGATATACTCAGGTGAAGAACAGGCAGTGAGAGGAGATGAACACTGGGGAAGAAAGTATAGATTCTGTTTCTAGGCAAGTGTCCTTAATAGTAAAAAATGAGGCAGCAGAAATACAGAAAATGTGTGTGATATAAACAGAGTTGTTTCCAAATAGAAAGCTATACGAAGAGCAATATCAACTCATCAAGTCAAAGTGAGACGGAAGCCTCTCTCTAGGCTTTGTCTAAGTGAGGAATATTTTCCAAAGGTCTAGGGGGCCACAAGCTGCTTTTCAAAGTGTGCATGTTTTGCGGGTATATCGGCACAGGCCTGTGCACGTGGAGGCATTGTGAGAGATGGACCAGTTCATTGCTGTACCTTGGAGCCTGAGGGAGGGGCATATGGAGGGAGAGATCTGTGGGGAAAAATTAAAAACCCAACCCAGGATAAGCCAGGGTACCTGGCTGGTATCTGGAAAAAAAATGGAGAAAATGGGGATCCAAGTTACCATAATAGGTTGAGAGACAGCAAAGGGCCAGGGGCCTCAACTGCTGGAATACTGGTGACTGTCCAGGCCCAGGCTTTGCCAAGACTTTGAGCTGTCTGATGTATATAAACTAGTGGTTTACCTTGTTGGGTGGGTGACGGGGTCCTCCAGTGAGTGAGCATGCCCATAGCAAGAGACCTGCAGTGCAGGACCCTCCTTGACATGCTTGGCTTAAGCTTTCTGAGCACAACCAGGATTCGTAGACCAGAGCTCATTCTTGGTTACATACGTACCTGCATTCATTGTATGTTTCCCCCAAAAAAAGGAGTGGTCCAGAATGTACAAAGATCAAAGGAAGACCCACCAAAATCACAAATGATTGATGACCAACCTCTTGGTCTAAGACCTAGTAATTCTGTGTGTACCTGGAACGTAGTAAACACACAAAATAATTGCTCATTTATTCATCTAACAGTTACTGATTTTCCATTCTATTGTAGGTGTCAGGCGTACAGCAATACATAGAAAATACTGCCTTTCTCTTCGAGGAGAGAGCAT
Organism: Homo sapiens; assembly: GCF_000001405.40. Classification (NCBI taxonomy): domain Eukaryota; kingdom Metazoa; phylum Chordata; class Mammalia; order Primates; family Hominidae; genus Homo; species Homo sapiens. Next base: position 132,592,971 of record NC_000011.10, read on the forward strand.
GTTCACGGAGTTCTGGAGAGTGAGAAATGGAAAAAAAGCACTGGAAGACATAAATAGAAATGACAATAATTTTAGACAGTGATGGGGTAATTAAGAAAGTAAAAGACTATAAAGGAGTATGAGGTATCTGAAGTCTGGGCAAGAAAGTCAGGGCAGGTGTGCAGGAAAACATGGCACTGGGCAGGAGCCTGTGTGAAGGTCTGGGAGGAGAACATTCCAGGCAGGGTGAAGAGAAAGTTCAACAGCCCCACAGAGGGAAACAGCTTGGTGAATTCCAGAACCAGCAAGGATGTCGGTGTGGCTGGGAAAGGCAGCTGCGGAGGAGAGCAGTGGAAGGCGAAGTGGTGGAGGCAGGCAGGGGCACCTCACTCGGTTTCCTGTAGACCATGGCAAAGAGCATGCATTGTATTCCAAACACAATCCTCAGTCGGTTTCCTGTAGACCATGGCAAGGAGCGTCCATTGTATTCCAAACACAATTAGACCACATTCAAGAATTTAACTGCGAAATAATTAAATATGTAGCCTCCTTCATATTTAAAGAAGAGATCTGCTTTCAATGTTGAAAATGGATGGAGGTAGAAGCTGGGCAGAAAAAGTTAGAGAGAAAAAGGCCAGCCAGCAGACTGAACAGATCAGGGGAGAGATCACTGAGATCATTGTAGCACTAGACATGGGAGAGAAATGGAGAGAATTCTCTGAGATGAAGTTTAGAGGTACAGCCAACAGAATCACCTGTGGCTTGGGTAAGAGAATAAAGATGACTCCTAGGATTAGTTGAACACAGAATAAATTAATCAATTAATGGTTACAACAAGCAATTAATTAATTACTGATACTTGTCCTGTAACCATGAAAAATCAATTCTAGGAGAAAGAATTATTTAATGGATTACAGGAAAAAATGATGATCATAATGATGAACATTTTAAGAGGATTTGAGAGTGCTCAAGAGTGCAGCAAGTGTGTAAACATACTGTCTCAGTCAATTTTCTCGTAACAGTAATGAAGAAAGTTGTATGTCACTGCAAGCTTAGAAAGATTAACAAATTTGATTAATGCCACACAAATAATAAAGAGAAAAACAAGGATGTGTGCCCCCTCCTGTCTGTGTGCTTAGCTATGATTTTGTTCTGCTTCACCATCTATAAGCCTACAAAGCAACATCCAAAGGGGCTGTGAGTAAATGCAAACCTACCTGAGCTGAAGATTCTTTACCCTTGAGATAAAAAGGCAGGTTAAAAAGAAAATACATAAGGTCATAAGTGCTGAAGTAGAGGAAGGTTAAATAATTATTAACATGACATTTTTCACTTACAGATTTGCCAACAATATTTTTAAATAATAACATGCAGTCCTGGAGCAGATATGGAGATATTGCTATCCGATGCTGTCAATAAATCACTAAATTTCTTAAGATATATGCATGAGAAAAGATTGAGAAGAATATAACAATAGCTATAACAATGAGATAATGGAGTAATAGTATGTATATATTTAAAATATATTGAAATGTATGCTTTTATAATTTTAAAATTACCATTTACATTCAACCCTTTTGTAATAATTTTTATATCTATAAATTTCTAATTCAAAAATAATTTTGGGTCAAATTATGAATACCATATTCATTTCAGAATGCAATACATACCACATAGCTAGGTACAGGGAGAAAAAAGCATAAGTTTTCAAAGGGATGGGCTGGTTTTAACTCAAGAAAGTCTATTGGCCAAGGGTGAATATCCGATTATATCACCATGTCCAAAATAGGTATGAAAATCTAAGCTGGTCAAATCTGGGGAAAATAACAAATGGTCTGATCTTCATAAATGAATGAATCAATCCATCAGTTTAGTCCAATGCACTTATTTTATACATAAAAGCTAAGTCCACACTACTAGTTAATGGCAGAGCCAGAATTACATATGATGTTTCTTATCACTCAGATTTCCCAACCCCGAGTTCAAGGCAGATATGCTCTATTTCAAGACGTGTGTGTAATACAAAATTAAATCAAAATTTTAAAATCATCATTGAGTTGTTGGGCTACATTTTGACCTGTATTGGAAAGTATTATTTTCAATGTATGTAATTAGAGTTCTGTCTCTCAGTGAATTTTGTCTCTCTGTGAACTGAGAGACTGTTTTTGCTGGTGATGATGGCCTCTGTTTGAGGCTGTGCTGCGGTTTGTGAGAGAGCTGAGAAAAAGGTGGTACATCAGGAAAGGGGAGGGGGAGGTCGGGGAGGTAGGGAAAAGGCATATTGAGAACATGATCCAGGGAGAGGAGGATTTTAAAAAGTAAATTAAAAAATATAGCACGTTGTGCAAGTAATAATAATAATATTTCTACAGAAATGATAGTGGAATGGAATGGGCCCAGCATCACATAATAAATGTGTCCCTGTCCTGCTGTATGAAAATCTGTGGGCAAGTTATTAACAAGCAGATGGTCCTCTCTGCTGTTACCTGTCTGTACCACAACACTTTTACTTTCTTTTTTTCCCTTTTGCTGAATTGCAAGTTTCCATTAATGAAAACTCTGAAAAGTCTGAAACCTATTTCAGCCCTGGGAGCTGCCTGTAGACAATCAACTACTGCACTGGAAAGGTAAAGGCATCTGGGGGAGATGGGGCATGTGTTGATTTCACAGACTCCACAGAACTCTCTGAGCCCCACAGTTAGGACCTGTGCATCCAGAACAAAATAGCAATTTCCGTCCATGACATTTAAAGGTCTTGGAGGAGATCAACACCAGCACTTAAGCTGTTAAGGCTCAGGGCATCAGGAGGACGTGGCAGAGGCATCAGCCATGGAAGTTTTTAATTGGCTTGCTTTCTTGGGCTATGTCAAATCTGTGTTTATGTTGCTTATCTCTGGAAGTGACAAGGGTTGGATCAGCTAAGAGCCATGGACAGCATATGCCTGAATTTGATTTGGCTGTAAATCAAACTAGCTTTTTCTAACAGGTACTTACCCTCTATTGTATTTGGCTACAATTTCAATGAGTAAGTGATACATTGTTTTAGTTAAAAGAAGTAGCTTTGGAATCAGTTAGATCTGGATACTGTCCAGACTCCACCACTTGGCTGTGTGACAGTGAGCAAGCAATTCAACCTCCCAGAGATTGGATTTTCACATACATGACATAATCATGTCATGTCCATAGTGGCTTTGTGCAGACTGAATGAGAAAATAAAGCTAAAGTGCTTATCATAGTGCCTGACACAAAGTTAAATAATCAATAAAATTTGGCTACTGTTATTATTGTCATTATTATGCCTGGACAAAGTACCAATTGCAAAAATGCCTAAGAGGCCAGATGGGTTTGAACAGACATATGTCTGCCCTATCTATATTTTTATTTCTATGTGTCTCCCTCCTTTCTTCTTTTTCTTTTTTTTTAACAAAAACTGTCAGTTGGAGTTCTGCCTTATACTTTTGTTTATGAACATTTATTCTATGAAGACAAAACATCTCTTAATTTTTTTGTTGGGGCCAGTAAGGAAAGAAACATAGAAAGGGAGAAAATGACAGACAGAGAAGTTTGCATATGCATGCACCCCTAGACCCCAAGGACTAGAGCAAAAACCTCTAAGGACCTACTCTGTCAAGGGTTGTGTTGTGTTTGTGTGAAACAGTTTGTAGACAACAGATCTAGGAGGTGGGGAGGACAGTCTTTTGCTTCTGTGATTAGTAGACTTGTTACCTAAACTGAACAGGGCTCCTAGTCTTGGGAAAACTATCTTCTTTACTCTTAATTCCTAAGCACCATATCTATCTTTCCCAAAGTATGTAAAAATGACCTTTGGTTGAAAAAGTAGAGCAAAATGGAGCCACAGGAATTGGCTTCCCATTGAAATAGGTATGTCATAAATTGACTAGATTGTTTAAGAGCATCCTAGAGGATATAATCCTTCTTTTCAGGTAGCTGAGCTACAGCTGGTATTTTTGCTTACACAGATATCTACAGCATACCTCCTTGAAGCACTTGAATTTCTAGTAGCTATATCACCACCCTCACCCCCAACCTACTCCTTCTCTCATATAGAATCTATGTAGACAGCAAATAGCATTTATTGAGACACTATCCTTTTGGCTAAATATAGAACACAAGACATGTCTACTCATACAGTGTGATAACATTTAAAAATCAAAGAAAGAGAAAGAACCAACATGCCACTTTGTGAACTCTAAACTGTTATCTTTCTATTCTTCTAGGAACTTTCTGCAGCTACCTCAGCTTAAAAACAGCTTGATTTAGACTTTATTACTACTCCATTTCACAATATGCTATGTGCAAAGGTATTAAATAATGAAGACATATTTTCTCATTGTTGAATATGATGAATAAAGCGAAATGAAAGAGGATAACACAGAGGCATTTAGAAGAGACTGTTTAACTTGTCTCTAAAGGCTTTTAACATATGGCTGGCATATATCTGCTTGCCCCGTGATGATTCTGACGATCTTACTGGCCTCTTATTCTTGACTCTTTTCTGCTAACAAGCTTTGGAATAGCCCCAAACTTTATCAGATGCAAGACAAATGAAAGGAAAGATCACATTTCAGTCAGGACTTCGATCTCCTCAAAGGTTTTGTGGTAACAATTGACAGTGACTACTGATATTATTGATTAACACGAGGTCTGAAAAGCACGAGGTTTGCATAGAACACATGAGTGACAATTGTGATGGTAAATGCTGTCATCAGGGTATAACAGGGAAGGCAGGGCTTGACCACGGCTGATCCTCTAGAGCAGATGGCTTCACAGCTGCAGAATTTTTAAATTTATATGTATAGGATACCCAATATTTGGATAAAATATATAAGGATAAAACACACGTAACAAAAATATCCTTTATCTGTGTATGTATGCGTGTTGTTTAACACATTACATATACGCATTTTAATGTGGCATAGCTTCCTTCTATTCCACACATTTGACGTGAATTTTCCTTAATGTGCTAAGCCTCTACCTGGAACGCCCTCTTGTTTCTTTTCCACTTTACTCATTTCTTTTTTTTTCAAGACCCAGTTAAAAGGTCATATCTTCCACGAAGCTTGCTCCAGCAACCCTCGCTCCATTCATAGTTCCGTTCTTTCTCTCATTCTACCAATAATTATTAAACATATACCAAGTATCAGGCATTGTGGGAGGGGCGTAAGGATACAGAGAAAAAGAGACGCAACCCAGTCTTTGCTCACCTGGAATTCGCAGTCTAGCTCTCTTCCATCCCCGTATTAGCAATTGCCAACCTCTTTCCTAACATCTATTGCCTTTTATTGCTATTTTTGGTATGTGTCTGTTTCACCTACTAGGCTATTCACTTCATAATGTTAGAAACAATTAAAAATTATCTTTGCATTGTGACCCCTTGCAGGCTACCTGGAACATAGTAGACACTCAATGAATTTTTTTAAGTCGAGGCATGGGAGACACGCAGATGCTCAATATCTCAAACTATTACAATAATTTCCAACGCACGCCATTTCTATAAATTAAATATGCAACTAATAGTCACCATGAAAACAAGTATCAACACATTCTTTTTAACAACAAAAATCTATCATTTTAGTTCTTAGCACTGCTAAGAAAATTTCATCAACACTGTGTAATATTAATCCGAATAAGTTGGTACATAATGTTTGGTGTGTCAAAAAATAGATTTGCACTATAATTTGTTTCTCAGAAAGGCCATGGAGAGAAGTGCAATGAGAATGATCTGCCTCTGAATTTAATACAAATCACTCCCTTACTGATCATCCTTTATACATTGAAATTTGAGTCACTTAATAGTCTTTCTCCCATGGTTCGGTCAATATTTGTGAGCATCTTCTAGTTTATGTTTTTTTTAAAAAAATTTCTCTGCTGGATACTGAAGCTAACCTTTTAAAAAATATATTTGGCTTTTATGTGTGAGATTGTTCTCTCTCCTTTAGCTCAGCCCTGAGTTTTGAGGAAGAGGCTTTACTAGTTCCGTGATCAACTTTGTCACTATTCAGCAGACAGAAAACCTAAGCCAAGCATGGCCATGTGCAGTGGTTCATGCCTGTAATCCCAGCACTTTGGGAGGCCAAGTTGGTGGATCACGTGAGGCCAGGAGTTCAAGATGAGCCTGGCCAACATAGTGAAACCCCATCTCTACTAAAAATACAAAAATTAGCCAGGAGTGGTGGCATATGCCTATAATCCCAGCTACTCGGGAACAAGTATTCTGTGGGAGGAGAATCGCTTGAACCCGGGAGGTGGAGGTTGCAGTAAGCCGAGATTGCACCACTGCACTCCAGCCTGGGTGACAGACCAAGTCTCTGTCTCAAAAATAAAAACTATGAAAAAGAAGAAGAAGGAGGAGGAGAAGAAGGAGGAGGAGGAGGAGGAAGAAGGAGGAGAAGGAGGAGGAGGAAGAAGGAGGAAGAAGGAGGAAGAAGGAGGAAGAAGGAGGAAGAAGGAGGAAGAAGGTGGAGGAGAAGGAAGGAGGAGGAAGAGGAGGAGGAGGAGGAGGAGAAGAGGAAAGAAAAAGAGACAAAACCTAAGCCAAGCATAAACCGAAGCTCTCTGACACAAAAATACAACTCCAAATGGCAGGCTCACATCTCACATTTCTCATTTTCTGACAGGCTTTGGTGGGCTCCACTTGTTATCTTACCAAAAGGTCAGTGCAGAAGAAGCCCCGAGTGCCTACACCTAGTTGTATATACAGGAGTCTATAGTTTTGATTTGTATATTTTTTACATGAATGGAATCATACTGTACATATTGTTTTGTCATTTGTCTTTTTAAAACTTAACACTATTACTATATATCCCTATTTAACAGCATACTGATGTATTTCATTCTTTTTATCTGCAGTATAATATTCACAGTGAAATTGAGCCATAGTATATGCAAACATTTCCTTTTAGGGGAAAATCAGGTTATTTTCTGGGACGCTTTTGGATAATCTCAATCAATGTTTTTCAAACTTATGTAACCGAACAATCATTATTTTGCCTTCAAATGAAATGTTATAGAGCTCTCCAGAATACAGTGCAATCAATAAAAGAAGATTCGCTCTAGTCAAAGATCCGTTTAAGGGAACAGGTATGGGCAGGATCTGGAGCCCACAGCATAGCTGTGGGGTGTCCTTCTGAGCTGCTTGGTCCATGTGCTCCTACAGCAAACTCTAGGCATCTTGACTGAACCCTGGTGCTCCCATGCCATAATTTGGAAAACTCAAAGAACCAGGACAAAAAGCTTAATGGTGCTCTGTTCTAAGAGATAAGGATACCAGACCAACTGGTCCAGAGATCAGAAAAGCCACTCACTCGGGTGGATATCTTTAACCAAATGTTTTCGGCCAGCCTTCATCTTTGCAAAGACGAAGACTCTGTAAGTGACAACACTCTGGAAATAGTCTTCACGTAGGCCTAAATACGAAGGGACCAAAGGCCAGCATGGGTCTTCCCAGCCTCTCCATGTGGAGTTTCCTTGCTTATTATTTGAGATGACAAGTGGCTGTAGTTTATTTTGTATGAGAGGGGCTGTAAGAAGTTTTTTATTGCAACAAATTTGTCTTCCAAATTATGTTTTTCTTAGGCTAAAAAGAAAAGTACATTTTCAACTCCTTTGTACACCGACTGACTAGTCTGCAACCCTGATATATGACGTGTGACAACAAGAAAATAATTGGGGACCAAAAGCTATTCTTAATTCAAAGTGAGTAATTTATATAATGTTAAATGCAAACTATAAGAGTAGATAAATACCCAGGTTATTATAACAGGTAAATTTCTCAACCCTTAAATGTATATCATATTTCATAATTTTGAGTGACTTGTAACATTCTTATACTTAGGTGATAGTAAATATCTGTTGATTCAAATAGTTAACTTTTTTTTTTTTTTTTTTTTTTTTTGTAGAGACACGGTCTCTATATTGCTTAGGCTGGACTTGAACTCTTGGAACTCCTGGGCTCAAGTGATCCTCCCACCTCAGCCTCCTGAGTAGCTGGGATTACAGGCGTAAGCCACTGTGCCTGGCTTAAACAGTTAACATTAATCAAATTTGTTTTTCGATTGCCAATGTATAATGTATATACAAATTAAATAATTTGAGGGAATTAAATAATAACTGTCAAGTTGAACAGAAGAACTGACTGTAAAATGACTATTTGGGGTTAAAAATTAAAACAAAAAATTCTGTAGCACCAACAACTCTCTGTAAACTACCCCCATGTGGGCACAGCTGTGAAATGGTTTCTCCTGCTCAGAATGCCCTCCTCCCTGGTCTGCCCCTCAGCCTCCTCCTAGACCTATCCCTGCCTCCCAGAGCTCTTATTCTGCTCCAGGACTGTATAGAGCTCCCCATTTTGAAGCTCCACCTGGGATTACTTAACAAACCAATTCCCCACAGTTACATAACCATGTATCTCAGATTCTTTAGAACAGCCCAATTTTAAAGTAATCAATCTTGCTTTCCCTAGAAATGCACTCATTTGTCAAAACCTGTGTCTTGATTAGAAAGCACGAATATTATATCCACGCTACCACGTAACCCTCCATCCTTCTCCTCACCTTGCATCCCATCAGAACTAACATTCATTCCAAGAAGATAATTAAAGGATATCTGGTGAAATGAAATCTCATCAAGTGGAGAATGACTTGACCAGCCATGATGGCTGTTTATTTAGGAAGAGGTTTAGTTCAGATCCATGAGTCTCTGATTCCAGCAGCTAGGTATTGGTCCTTGAAGACCTTCCTAGCACCCATCTAACTCCACCTAAACTGATCATGGATATAAACAACTCATTAATTTTTCTATTTTAAAAGTTTCTTTATATTATTTTTCTCCAAATGGAGTCAGGGTGAGGGGTACATCCGTTTATAGGTACATACAAAAAGGAAAACTATAAGAGGCCATGGCAGTTTGGTTGCACACTACAGTTACACAGGGGCATGTTCTTGTATCAATATTTCCCTATTGTTACTAATGCTCTTAATCATAAATATTCCATGCATTCTCTATTCCCTCCAGGCACTATGATTCATGTCTGCTCAAAAAGACACTGTTCTCACAGACTGCCACTCACAACCGTTATGAGAGACAGACACTTCAGCATTCACTATGCAAGTGTTTACTGAATTCACAAACAGGAGACAGCTTCACAGAGACACACATCGCAGCAGAGCCTCCTGCACAGATGTCAGATTTCCACAGAAGCCTCCCAGAGGCACAAAGATCTCACAATGGACTATTTTTAGTCCTGATAATTAATATTGGAGGAGAAAGGGAGGAGAATGAAAATGTAGCTCCAGCAAAAAGGCAATTACCATCGACACCATATATTCTCACCTACAAGATGTGTTATTTTCAAGGAAATGTCAAAGAAAAACCCTCCCAAACCTATAGATTGTTATACTGCACCTCCTGTGAAAGGCATTTAATTTTTCTCTTTTAAAATTCTAAAAATAGCTTGGTTTCGTAGGTTAATATAGACAGCCTGGATTCTACCAGCCTAGATTTTACAGTTACAAAAAAATTCTGTTTGCTTCTGAGTCCCGGAAGGCAAGAGTTTGGTTCTCTCACACATACTGAGTAACCATGATCAGCAGTTGTCCAAGAGAGCCCTGGCGACACCTTCCTACTCCTTTGCGTGGGGTCCCCAATGTTGCATTTTAAAAGCATTTCTCCATTCCCCTAAAGTTTCATGGAAATCAGTTTTGCCTGTGAAGACCTGGGCATTGCCTGTGGACTCACCCCTATCTCTTAAGTAGGATGATTTGCGCCACCTAAATTAGATCCCAGTCCATGAGGAGATGTAGAACAACCTTAGCGTCCCTTGAGGTCCAGCAATGCAGTAAAAGGAATCGTGGGAACCACATGGGGCCCAAGTTTGCCTCTGCATCTCACTGTTGTTCACTTTCCCTAAACCAATGGCTTAGTGCTCAGGTCACGGACAGTAGTGAGTTGCATCATGGGGGTCCACCTTGTGCTTTGACTGCTTAATCCAGTTCTCTTTTTAATGGACACCTCTGCTCTGCTTGAGATCAGTGTCCTCTCCTTCTTAGGCTTCTGCGTTTTCCTCATTTCTACAAAACTTGTACAAATTTAGTCTTTTTCTGAGAGCTTCTCTATTTCCATCCTAGTTTGCTCTTCATCTGGGTGCCT